>NC_000002.12:196883557-197186587 GCF_000001405.40 Homo sapiens
TGTGCAGCTATCCACTCTAATGGCTTTTAAGTATTTATTCTCAACAATGGCCAAGTGTTGAATTTATACGTGCTTTGATGGAGGGCTCCATCTATTTATTAAAAGTTCAGTCCACAGAAATGCCTAACAATGATATAATTCTCATCTGACATTACTTTTATTGAGATATTAATATGAATAAAATTTATAAAATGTATTTGCTTTAGTCATCCCTTCAATTTCAAAGCAAAATAATTTTGTGTGCTGTTTATAAATGGCTAATACATATTACATTCAATTTTGACTTTCATTAAAATAAAAGATCTATCCTCCTAAGCTGAGAACACACAAGATTGCAGAATGCTATAATACTTGTTTTCTAACTTCTCTCTTTCAGCATTTGCCATGAAAAGTAGGCAGCTGAAATAGCTTGTTCTCCTGCTGTTCAGCCAGCTGTTTCTTACATTCAGAACAAACAACATAGGGACCTATTGTTTGATATAGAGACTGATTAATCTTTGGAGATTTAAAAGAATAATATAAAAATTTTATGATTTAAGAAATACCTTTTAAAACATAGGAAGCAAAGTACATTTTATTGGGTTTTTAATAATTTATTTCTTCTTAATCTTTATAGGCTGGATAGAACATCCAAATTAATCTATACAATTCATCCACGTAATAAAAAAATCACCTATACCCCTCAAGCTATTGAAATAAAAAAATAAGTTGAGGAAATATTTAATAACACCTTATAAATGAGTGTGCAGTAAGTATATCCTAACACTTTTGTTTGTTTTGATCCTGGTTAGGATAGTACCAGTGAGAAACCTTAAAAATGTTCAAGAGTCAATTTACTTTCCTATCATATTTGTTTGATAAACACAAGGTCACATGAATGAATATGTACAAATAAGATTGACCAAGGTGACAAAAAAATTGCAACCATTCCAAAGTGAAGTGTGACTTGCAATTATTTCTTCTGTCACCATTCCTCTCTGTTAGCATAAGTTTCTCATTCTCTGTTTGTATAGTATAGAGTTGACTATTCATACAAATAATTATAAGCATTCATGAGCAAAAATAACTAACTTAATTGGAGTTAATCGTGAAATAATTGGAAACCACCAGATGATTTCACTTTCAAGTCAATGAATGAGTCTAGGATTCATTATGAAACTATATTTTTAAAGTACAGATTTACTTGAAGACTGAAAACTATCAATCCGGATAAAATTTATCAGTTACAATAAATACAATTTGGAAATTAGAACAGATATTTTCATCACATTTTAGGATTATTTTGCTTTTTCAACAATAGATTTTGAGACTGCGCAAATAAGCCCTTTATAAAAGAACTTGCTGACCTACCAGAGTTGCTTAATCAAATCACAAACAACTATTAAATAAATCCCTGCTGTGACTTATCACCCTGGAGAGCACTAGATAAACTAGTTATTTGAGTGCTTGACCATGTATCATATCTGTTTGAGATGTCCACTTCCCAACTGCAGGCCCTTCCTCCCAAAATGAGTTCTAAGTATACTAACTCAGCTCATATTTTAAGGCAGGCCATTCAAACATATCCTCAAATTGAATGTTAGAAATCCATCCAGTTCTTTTTGTATGAAGTTATAATATACAGAGATTTAGAGGACTGTTAACTTATAGTTTTTATCTCTGAAAGTAAAAAAAATATAAATAACACTAATTGTATGTTATTCCCTATCAAATGTATTTCTAGAGAAAATATTTTTTAAATGTAGGTTAGTAAATCTCAAGTTTATTTAATACCAAGATAAGCTAATGAAAGAGAATATTTTAAAATGTGTATAGACTCAAGTATTTTTTTCAACTGAATATTAAAATTCTGAAGCCATAATTTACCTTAATTGTTGGCAGCAGTTCAGCTTTCCATGATAAATCAACCCCTTGCAGGCTTTGAAATAAATATGAAAATATAATTAAAGGACAAATATATGGAAGTATTACAAATTATAAATAAGATTCAGAGGAAAAAGAAACCATCTCTACACCTAGTAGAGATGTCTATTGAGCCTAATCCAATATACTCTGTCCACATATTTCCCTTAGCAACAAAAATGTTTTTCCCAGCTAATTTCAATGTTTGCAAAAATTACTAGTATATTCATTTCCTTTACTTTTCATTTTAAAAACAATATTATAATTTCATATAGCATCAAAATGAAAATAACAATGTATGAAACTATTCTAAAAGTGTGGTTTCCGAGTATTGTTTATGTTGAGATAAATGAACATGCATTCAAAAGACTTACCACATAGAAGTGCTGTTTATGCAAGCAAAAATCCAACTATTTGTATCCTGTTGATGAACAGCACAAAACAAAACACACTAAGTATTGTAGAAAATAATTATACAAAACAAACACCCATTTTCAACACTTTTTATTGTTATATGATATAGGGTGACTAGGAGCAAGTGAAACGTAAATAACAGCTTATTGTTGAGAAACATATCCAAGATGTTCTCAAAGTCAAATAAATCAAGGATGGGTAAAGAAGTCTAATGTCAACATTGATAGGTAAGCAGTTATCCTGGAGCCAAGAGTACGAGAAGGACTGCCCTGACTGGTTATCTCTTTTTTTTTTTTTTTTTTTTTGAGATGGAGTCTTGCTCTGTCACCCAGGCTGGAGTACAGTGGCACGACCTTGGCTCACTGCAACCTCCTCCTCCTGGGTTCAAGTTATTCTCCTGCCTCAGCCTCCCAAGTAGCTGGGATTACAGGTACCCACCACCATGCCCGGCTAATTTTTGTATTTTTAGTAGAGACGAGGTTTCACCATGTTGGCCAGGCTGGTCTTGAACTCCTGACCTCAAGTGATCTGCCCGCCTCGGCCTTCCAAAGTGCTGGGATTATAGGTGTGAGCCACCACGCCTCGCCATCTTTCTACAGCATATCACCTAAGTATTCCTAATTATTGAACCAAAATTTTCAGATTTCAGTAATGTCCATACTTTAATTAGATAGTTATATAGTAAGTAATCTACATTTTTTAAATGAAGAATGAAAAGCTGGAGGTAGACTTTTATACAAACATAAATCCAGAGTCAAGCAATTAAAAATAATTTATATACTGTGTTTTACTTTATCGTTTGAGTTTCCATTTGGTTACCAGCAAATAAGTCCCTTTTTTTTTGAGACAGAGTCTTGCTCTGTCACCAGGCTGGAGTGCAGTGGCACAATCTCGGCTCACTGCAACCTCTGCCTCCTGGGTTCAAGCGATTCTCCTGCCTCAGCCTCCAGAGTAGCTGGGACTACAGCGGTGTGACACCACACACAGCTAATTTTTGTATTTTTAGTGGAGACGGGATTTCACCATGTTGGCCAGGATGGTCTCCATCTCTTGACCTCATGATCCGCCCGCCTCAACCTCCCAAAGTGACCAGCAAATAACTTCTATACAACCAAGAATGTGTTGGACTAAAGCCCAATTCCAAGGGCTCCAGACTAAAGCTGGTTATGGTTCATCAGCACAGGATGGAAATGCTGCAGAGATGATTGTGACATTTTAACATATTCTGTATTCAGCTTTAGTCAATTAAAAGCAGTGTGACCGCACTGTGGGAGGCCAAGGCAGGCGGATCACAACATCAGGAGATCGAGACCCTCCTGGCTAACACGGTGAAACCCCGTCTCTGCTAAAAATACAAAAAATTAGCTGGGCGTGGTGGTGGGCGTCTGTAGTCCCAGCTACTCAAGAGGCTGAGGCAGGAGAATGGCATGAACCTGGGAGGCGGAGCTTGCAGTGAGCCGAGATCGCGCCACTGCACTCCAGCCTGGGCGACAGAGCGAGACTCCATCTCAAAAAACAAAACAAAACAAAACAAAAACAAACAAACAAAAACAGCAGTGTGACCTGAGATCTTAACTGCAACTTTTAAGGAAGTAAGAGCAATGTTCTGAGATATGATTATCTAACTAGTGAAATCCTACCAAGACATAAGAGGATGAGAAGCACTGCTCACATAGCTACATAAATTTGTCCTTTGAATCACAGATAGGACAACCAAGAAATCAATGCTTTTATTCAACTGATACTTATAAAGTCCATTCTATGGCCAAGGAATGATATACTAAGCCCTCAGGGAAAATGATGAATCAGGCAGACATAGTCTCTGCTCTCATTCAGCTTACATAAAATGTTAAGACATTTTTCAGGAATATATAAAAGAAAGCTGACAGGAAACAAATAAAAAAGTGTGGTGTTTCTCTGTAGGCAAAATACTTGTGTGAGTCCTGTATCAGTTACCTGTACTTCCCAGAACAATAATGTGACATTAAAGAAGCAAGACAACAGAACAGATCTGCACAGCCTGGACACAGAAAATCTAGCAGCCTATAAAGATCCAACCCATTTTTGTAAAGGGTTTTTGCCGCTACTAAGAAGGGGCCTATCCTCAAAGGTAACCCTCATTATGAAAATTGCTGATATTCCATACTACTTCGGTGTATAGGGAATTCTGACTCATTCATCAATGGATTGAATAGATAGAGTATCTAACACCATCAAAGTCCATCAAAACACCATGTTGATATAACCTAGATGTCAAAAGGTGAACTAATTACAAAAATCATACTAAAAACCTTAGAAGTTATTCAAGGATTATTGACTAACTCCTAAAGTATACAGGAAAGAAAATGCTACTGATCAAAAATTTATAGTTCTCAAAAAATTCTGTCTACTGTATTTAATGGCTACTAAAAACCATCAAGTGAAAGACTGACTGGGCACTTTATAATGGATGGATCATGCTGTCACCACTGAGCCTACCAATATCTTTTTCTCTAAAAGTGGTAAAACCAGATATTATGTACCTCCTGGTACCATAAAATAGGCGATCCACAGCTCTACTTATAAAACATTCTTACTATAAAAAATTAATCTGAATCTAATCAAGATTCTAGATCTAACTACCAGTTTACAGAAAACATAGGGGATAGAAATACATACTAAAAGACACTATGGGAATACAATCAGTTAAACCTAGATTGTGGGAAATTCTGTAAAACATGTAATACATTTCTTTGAACATTTAAGTAGCATGGGGGAAAGGGGGTGGGGCTATTTATTATAAAAGAGACATAAGATCTAGGAACTAAAGGCAATGTATACTTTGGATCCTGATTCAGATAAACTTAAAATTTAAGTGAACCAAGGAAAACTGAACATGGAGTGAATATCAGATGATACTAAGGAATTAGTATTAATTTGGTTGGATGAAATAATGGTATTATGGTAATGTATAAAATCCTTATAGGAAAACATACTTTATGGATGAACTAATAAAATGCCCAGAATTTACTTTTAAAATTTTTCAGTCAAAAAAAGTGTAAATAAATAAATGATTTAAGAATGACAGAGTATTGATAACTGTTAAAGCTGTGTGTTGATTATAAAAAAATTCATTCTTATATTTTCTTTCTGCCTTTATATAAGCTTGAAAATTTCTATAATAAAAATTGAAAAGATTTTTTTAAAATTCACATGAGTTTATGTTAATTAATACCCATGAACATTAAATACAGAAAAAAGATCCTCCCATCAGCCAAATGAATAATTTGCACTTTGACAAGCATTTTTCTTAATATAATACTGACATTCTGATTTGAAATTTAGTATTAAGTGAGAAAAGATACTTTAAGCTTTTACTCTCAAGGCCAGAATCTGCCAGGGTAAACTGCCCATCTAGATTTTAGGCTGAGAGATGCAAGTCTCTGTGAGAGATGCAAAAGTCTGGTAATTTCACTAAAATATAGTACCCATTAGCATCCAGCCCACAATGCCTATCATCTTTTTTTAAAATATTTTACTATATAATCAAATGTCAGCATCTCCAGCAAAGTAATAGATCTTGGTTCTAAATAAATACAAATAACCTAACAAAAGGGAGAAGAAGGAACAGATACAAATATAGAGTGAAGAATCGTGAGATATGCCAAAAAAAAAAAAATCAGAATAGAGGAAAAAGAATCCAAATTAAGAAACAATCCTGAGGCCGGGCGCGGTGGCTCACGCCTGTAATCCCAGCACTTTGGGAGGCCGAGGCGGGCGGATCACGAGGTCAGGAGATCGAGACCATCCTGGCTAACACGGTGAAACCCTGTCTCTACTAAAAAAAATAGAAAAAATTAGCCAGGCATGGTGGCAAGCGCCTGTAGTCCCAGCTACTCTGGAGGCTGAGGCAGGAGAATGGCGTGAACCCGGGAGGTGGAGCTTGCAGTGAGCCGAGACTGCGCCACCTCACTCCAGCCTGGGTGACAGAGCAAGACTCCGTCTCAAAAAAAAAAAAAAAAAAAAGAAAAAATCCTGAAAGTAAGAAATGTAGATAAATTATTGAAGTACTACTTAACCTTTCCCTTTTTTTTCTTCTGAGACAGGGCCTCACTTCGTCACCCAGGCTGGAGCGCTAGTGGCGTGATCTCAACTCATTGCCATCTCAACCTCTCGGTTCAAGTGATCTTCCTTCCCCAGCCCCCCAAGTAGCAGAAACTACAGGTGCTACCACCACACCCAGCTAAGTTTTTTGTATTTTTTGCAGAGACGGGGTTTGACCATGTTGCCCAGGCTGGTCTCAAACTCCTGAGCTCAAATGATCCACCCACCTCAGCCTCCCAAGGTGCTAGGATTACAGACGTGAGCCACCACACCTAGCTTCCATTCCTAATATCATAATAAATGCACGCTACAGCATTTTTAAACAACATCACATTTTTTAATAGTGCCTAACATAGTAGGTACTCATTAAAAAGAAACACAAAAATCAAAATCATTATTCTGATACAGTAAATCTAGATAACATTGTAAGTTACTCTACTATCTTAGAGAATATTTGGTATAAAAAGTACCTCAAATTTTAGTATGTAAGCCAATGGAAAACAAAATTCCCTTTATAAAATTCCTATTGAATAGCTTTGCTTAATTACATCTATTCTTTAAAGTACTAATAGAAACTTAGAATTAAAGGGGTTTTGAATTCCATTCCTTCATCACGAACAGAGTAAAATGAAGGCAGAAAGACAGGGTGGGAGACCTAAACTAGAACCAAAGTTACACCTTAATAGCATAGTATCTGTGATAAAAAAAAAATTTGATCAATACTTTTCAATCAAAACACTCGTCCAGAGAAATTATTTTTCAACTACTTAGATTTAATAGTAATATTTCATAGCTAGGTCTACCAGTAGAATTTGAAAAATGAACAACAGTTAGCCTCTTAAATTTACATAAAATGTACCAATTATCTTACCAGCATAGTGCTCTGACAATAGACATGAGTGTAGATTTTTCTATGATTTTCAAGAGGAAATGTAAAATATATCTTCTCAGATTCCTACAAAAAGAAGGAAAACACTCAATATAGCTGTAATGAGCAGATTAGTTTCATCATTCAAAAATCCAGATATAGCAAATGAGTAATTATTCTAATTCTATCATTCTTCTTGTTGTTGAGAACCAATTCTCTAGGAGTGGGAGAAGGAAGATACAGAAGGGCAAGAGAAAGATTAGGTATAAACTCTGTAGTCCCCAGTTTGTCCTGGAAGTATCAGTGTGAATGTACTTTTTTGTTGTTGTTTTATTGTGGGTTTTTTGCTCTTCTAGTTAAGATTTTATGCAGTTCTTAGCTCTGGCCATTGAAAAGGCCTAGAAATGCCAACCCAATAGTCACAAGCATTTCTAGTACCAGATTATGGTTTTGAGATACCACTTCCCAAAGAAAAGGAATAGTTCCTTAAAGAAATAGCTGATTCACGGTTTGGGGCAGGAAATGTACAAAATAAGCTAAAATATCTTGTCCTACTCAAGAGTGAGGAAACTGTTAAAGACAACTAAAGAGCTGTATCAACAAAGCTCAGGAACTTAACTTGAAATGGTTTGCACTGACCAAATATGGAACGATTTTAGTATCAACAGACTGAAAGAAAACATATTTAAATGCATGAGTGCATAATAATACTGGAGGAATAAACCCACTAATGGTCACTAATAAGAGGAAGCTTGTGAGCCAACTCACCATTCTGATAATGAGTAAATATAAGGTAAGATCCAAAGATCCACACAATTATCACTCTTTTCCCATATGATTTATTCTACTTTTGATAAATTTAGTAGATAAGCAGTTTTTCTGTAAGTATATAGAATTAACTAGAATACTATTCTAGTTAATAAATAATAAAATTAAACATCATAATTTTTGCATCCTCCTTAATCAATTAATAACTCCAGGCATTCCTCATCAACAGTGGCTAACATCACAAAAAGAGAGAAAGTCTAGCAAAAACAAAAACAAAACAAAAATCTGAATATGAAAAAGCAGCTAGATCCAGCTACTAAATCACAGGACCACAACAGGCAAAGGAACATGTTGAATGACTACAGGAATGCAATCAGTAAAATCAAGACTGTGAAACTCTAGAGGACAAATGACTTGGTATTTTTTTCAACAAATAAGTTTCAAGAAAAAAAAGGGGAGAGTGGTGGTAAGAGAAAGTCTTCCAGATTAAAAAGGAATAAGACATTAATCAATAACAACGTATAGGCCTTGTTTGGATCCTGATGTAAACAAACTGAACGTCAAAGAAAACAGCAAAAAAGATAAATTTATGATAAAACTGATTACTGACTAGATACTTATTAAGGAATTATTATTAAATTGTGGGAAAATGGCATGCAGTTATCTTGTTTAAAGAGTCTTTAACTTTTAAAGATAAATACTAAATTATTTCTGGAAAAAACATGAAAAAAAATCCATTGGTGGAATACTTACGTTGTAAGCTACATAGGTCCATTTGGACACTTTTACTAGAACCCACATAGATGTCCCTGAAGGTAAAGGAAATTAATTTATTTGCCTTGTTTTGTTTTTATACTACATAGTTTCTTTCTTCTTTGAATCCTGGTGAAATACTTCTCAATCACAATAAAGAAGTGGTTTTCTGAACACTGGCTATATTAAAACAGAAAATCTAGTAATATATTTTCTATACACTCATCACCAACTAGCATTCACATCAAGTAAAGTATAAATCTGTTTGGTGTCCTTTAACTCTAAGGAATTATCAACATAGGAAATAAATATTTCATTTCCCAAACAAGACACATAATTAAATATAACAGGTATAATTTGCTTTATATTTAAATAGACAAAGCAAGTTATTTTGTTAAAAGCAAAATTTATCAGCAAAAGATATGTTGGTAATCCAAAAGAAGAATGAAGAATAACTGATAATTGAGGAACTAAAAGGAGTCAAGAATAATATGGCACTTAGTTTATGCAATTGTTAGGAGAACAGTCATTTAACTGAAATTTTTCTATTTGTCATGTTATTTTCAAGACAAAATTTTTACCAGCAATCTCTTACATGTTGCTTCTTTTTCCCTTCCTAACCAAGAACTGCACCAGCATCATCATAGGGAAATTAATAATATATGTATATATATAATAGGATCCTAAAACTTGAAGTATCACAGTTTCAAAGATTTTGTCTGCTATAAACAAATTTACCTAAGATTAATAATGAAATACTTCATTTAAAATTAAAATATGTTATTGTCACCAACCTGTTAAGTCAGAAATTATAGCTGGATTTTCCTCAAAATGTTTTGATGGGTGTCTTATAAAGTGGTGATACAAAACTGACAGTTTCTTCTTGGAATTTTGAGTTATCTAGAAAGAACATTGATACATTCTGTATCATTTTGTATCTATTGTAATAGCTTGATGAAACATTGCTTCAGTAATGATGACAACAGCCAACATTTATTACTCTGAGCCAGGCACTGTTCTGAGCACTGTACATAAACTCACTCAATCATCACAAAAACTCTAAGAGATAATGATTTCGCCTGCATTTGAAATGTGAATAAACTAAAGCACAGAGAAATTAAGAAACTTGCCTAAGTTCACACAGCTCTTAAGTCTGGGCTGGGATTCACACCCAGGCATTCTGGCTCTAGAGTCCATGCTTTCATTATTATGCAATAGTGTCTCTCAAGTAACATTTAAGAATAAAACATTATAAAAATGTATAGAACCAGAAGAGAATTTTAGAGATTCTCTGGTCTTGTGATCCCAATGTACTGATTTCCAAATTCAGACTACTGCCAACACCATAACAAAGAATCCACTGGTCACTAGAGAAAATAAATATTGTCAACTTTCCTACCATAGAAATTACTCTCTTTTATTCTATCCTTCTACCTGTTTTTTAAATATCCTGGCACAATAAAAAGTTGGCAACTTTAAAAAAGTTGTCATCCCTTTAAAAAAGTGTACTGGGTATAAAATCCATTTGGTATTGACCATTATTCAACTCTCTAGTTTAATAATTGAGGCCCTGACAGGTAAATGACTTTCTCAACCACAGAGCGAGAACGGCAAAGAAGTAACAGTGAGGATCCAGGTCTACTAAACCTTTCCAATCCCTTTGGAAGTCACCCAGCATTTGCCTGAACATTTTTAATTCACTACTTTGTAAGATCATGCATTCCAATTTTAACAACTCTTACCAGGAGAATGCTTTATTTAGAGCAAATAACTGATTCCTTATTACACTGCTATCTTAGATTGGGAGACAGTCCTTCAAAAATTAGAAACTTGCTATGTTCTCCATTCAAATAAAACATTTCTTCTGCAGATAAAACAACTTCAAACATATCAAGTGTTTTTCATTGAACTCTTTTGGTCCCTTCACCATTCTGATTGCCTCCCCTGGATAAACTTAAGTTTGTTGATGTCCCCCTCAAAATATGATGCATGAAATAGAATACAGTTCTCTAGATACGGTGTCAGTAGAGTGGAGGACAGTGGAACTTTTATACTAATTGATGCAAACTCTCTACTTCAAATAACTCAGTCTTATACTAAATTTGTTTGATTTTCTTAAGGGGCCACATCTGTTTGCAATCAATTAAATGTTACAGCCTGTCTATCAAAACTTTAGGCCGGGCGCAGTGGCTCATGCCTGTAATTCCAGCACTTTGGGAGGCCAAGACGGGTGGATCACAAGGTCAGGAGATCGAGACCATCCTGGCTAACACGTAGAAACCCTGTCTCTACTAAAAATACAAAAAATTAGCCGGGTATGGTGGTGGGCACCTGTGGTTCCAGCTACTCGGGAGGCTGAGGCAGAAGAATGGCATGAACCCGGGAGGCGGAGCTTGCAGTGAGCCGAGATCGCGCCACTGCACTCCAGCCTGGGTGACAGAGCAAGACTCCGTCTCAAAAAACAAAAACAAAAACAAAAACAAAAAAACTTTAAGACTGGATTCCACCATTCTTACTCACTCTCAAGGTAATCCATCTACTCACAAGTTTTTAGCTATGACTTTTATGCTAATAACCACTAGAAATTACTCTGATTCCTGCCTTATCACCATGCTTAGGACTAATTATTCTTTGCATTTTAGTTTCCCTGAATATATATGTTCTGCTTTTCTCCTGGACTATATGCTTCCTGAGGGTTAGATATCATACCTTAAGTTTTTATTTTCTACTATTTAGTCCAGTCAATTACACATAGTGAGTTTTTAAAACAAAACTCAGTTTCATAAACAGTATTTTTGATTCTTAGTAATATGGTTATCAAAAATTTCTCATTTTCTCCTTAAAATGCATATTTATACATTCAGAATTATAATTTATTACATACTAGTACTATAGTTCTTTTCTCATCTTACAAGTTAATGGAAAAACATGCTTGTATTTATTGAAATTAGTTTTATGTCCAATTTTTTTAGGAATATACCTGTCTGACGTATCCTGTTCTTCACCAGTCGGAATAAGGTTTTTCTTAAGTTTACCAAACGTCAGTTGAAGTAAAAACTGGTCTAGCAATTTTAATTGACTCTATTATTGTATGTAGTTGTACTCCCTCAAGTAGGCTTAGAATTTTTACCACAGTTAAGTCTCACAGTTAAAACAATGTCAACAAACCAAAAAATGTTTGTGTTGCATGACCAAGTCACAGTGTCAACTTGGTGAAGCTTGTTTAAATCAATAAATATACTAACTTAATACCGAATCTTGTAGCTTAAAATGTGGTAAAACACAAAATGATCTGGACCTTCAGGAGAGAGCTAAGTATCTATGATTCTCTCTAAGAGTGGTTACACAGCTTTCTGAAGAGTTAAGGAAAAAAATCCCTATCCTTCTAAGACAGTACACTACAGGGTAAAGGTGCTTTCCTCATTGTTAAGAATTAAGTATTACCTGGAGACCTATTGAGAAAGAGGTCACCCATACTAGTTGCCCAAAGAATTGGAGCCTTCAGGGGAAATACTCCAAAAATATCCGGGCTGCAATGCTTTGCCATGAAAAAGACTACTTAAAAAAGAAGGAATTTTTTCTCCAAAAGAAGAAGCCAGAGCCATAGTTCTCAAAATATATTTCCATGAATAAGATGACCTGAGGTAAAAGGCTGTTTAAGATGAATAATGGCAATCTGTTCCCAACTTACAGAAAAAAAAATTAAGTTAATGGAAAGAATTCTCTGAATTTTGCTGAAATCCTGCTACCATTTATCTGCTAGCAGACAAGAAAGAGATAAAAGAGTAATGTGATAATCTGTAAAGGATACTATGATTTCCATATGTTCTGCTAATTGAACAATTTGGAAAATTACTAGTTTGAAGAGTTTACACTGTGAAATCAAATTACAGACAAGGTAAAACTTATAAAAGTACATAATTTAAGTTCTGGTGAGCTTAGGTTATTCAATAAATTACACATTTCGATCTTACCAGAAAGCTAAAGTGGTTTTTAAAAAAGCATGGTTCAAAAATGTTTAATAAACTCAGGAGGCTGAGGTGGGAGAATCACTTGAGCCCAGGAATTTGAGTCCAGACTGGGCAACATAGTGAGAACTTATCTCTCAAAAAGAAAAAATGTCTAATAAGATAGATCATGATGTTTACAATGTATTACAAAAAAAATTATAAAATAGTTTGTAAGAAGTATTTCCCCTACACTTAAAAAATAAAAGAAGGCCGGGTGTAGTAGTTCACGCCTGTAATCCCAGCACTTTGGGAGGCCAAGACAGGTGGATCACCTGAGGTCAGGAGTTTGAAACCAGCCTGGCCAACATGGTGAAACCCCATCTCTATTAAAAATACTGGTGGTGCACATACATAGTCCCAGCTCCTCAGGAGGCTAGGTGGGAGGATCGCTTGAACCTGGGAGGCAGAGGCTGCAGTGAGCCGAGATCACGCCACTGCACTCCAGCCTGTGCAACAGAGTGAGACTCCATCTTAAAAAAAAAAAAAAAAAAAAAAAGGAAGGATATATGTCAAACTTTAAGCAGTGGAAAGAACTGGGGGAAGATTTAAGGTTCTTTCACTTTTCATTTTCATTGCATTTTACAAATCATTCGCAGCAGTCAAAGTATTATGAGAAAAAAAGATATTTCCATTTTGGAACTAATTAAAATTGATATAAGGTATATGCTTCTATTTTCATCAAAGTAAAAAAATTACATTAAATCCATCATGGCTGTAAATGATATAGTAAAGTAAAAGCTTTCATTTAAATAATTTTTAGTTTAAAAATACATACTTGTTTAGTATCAGCATCAATAAGATCAAAGAATGCTCGAACTGTAGTCAACTGCAATTGTTTACACCTAAGGAATAAAGTAAGTGTTACAAATAAAACTTTCTTAAAACATATACTTTTGATCAAAATATGCACAATTCTATTGTTTAGTGGAACATTTGAGTTTCCTTTAGTGCTCTAAACTCAAAAATTATGTAACAAATCATTCTTATTAAGCATATATCTTAAATATGAAACCTATAAAAATAAAGCAAATTAAATCTTCCTGGATGTTTGCCAGAATTTTCAGGGTCCTTCTGTTTTCCCTGAATCCCCTCACCTAGCCTAGCCATAGATGTACTATCTACCCCATCTTTATATGCCTGAAGTATGTCATTCTAGCAGATACTACTGCTCGCACAGCCAGAGAAAAGTCAAAAGAGAATCTTTAAGCTGAAACACAATGAGATAAATATATCAGGGGCTGCCTATTTCTTGACCCATATGGATAAATCTAATCCCTACTTGGTTTTCCATGTGCTGCTCCCTAGAATAGTCACTGCCGGTGATTGGCCAGAAGCTCAGACAGTCCTACCAAAAGTGCAGTTGATTCCACCCAACTAGTAAAAACTCAAAAACTTTGGTATTTGATATTAGCTTCATTTGAGACTGATGCTATTGGGTTTTTGGGAGATTATTTTACATGTTGTCAAGAGAACCTTGGTCAAACTGAAACAAGAACCAAGATGAGAGTTCCAAGCTTCTAAATTAATATTTCTCCCATAGTCTTATTTATAGATGAAGTTCTAAGAAAGTTAACAAACCAGGCCAGGTGTGGTGGTTCACCCCTGCAATCCCAGCACTTTGGGAGGCCAATGTGGGTGGATCACCTGAGGTCAGGAGTTTGAGACCGGCCTGGCCAGCATGGTGAAACCTCATCCCTACTAAAACTACAAAAATTAGCCGGCATGATGGCACATGCCTGTAATGCCAGCTGCTTGGGAGGCTGAGGCATGAGGATCACTTGAAGCCAGGAGGCGAGAGGTTGCAGTGAGCTGAAATTGCACCACTGTCCTCCAGCCTGGGCAACAGAGCGAGACTCTGTCTCAAAAAAAAAAAAAAGTTAACAAGCCAATTAAATTACTGCATTGAGGAGAAAGAGGACCATGACAACTCATCAAAACAAGTTATACAAGTATTAACTTACCACACAATGGAGAGGTGGTCTGTTGAGACCCAGGTCTTAGGCACTGCTGAACTCTAAAAGAAAAGAAAAAAATAAACTTACGAAAAGCACATTTGTTATTCTCTAAAAGGTATGAAATTCTTACAAGCTAATATTTAGAAACACATAATATAGTTTCACTATATTGTGAGGCCTAGACATTTTTAAATGATATTCTTATAAAAGGTGATCCAAATATATTAGAATTTTCTGTATAAATTTCTCTGTATAAAACATAACTCTTTCTAAATATCACTCCTGGTTAGTCAAGTTTAAATTACCATTTAAAAATTACTAAAGCAACCACAGACTCCTAAAGTTTAATGTCTAACTTTTTATTACTCTAATGAGAGACAAGTTTAAGATTCTTTAATAAATCACAGTTAATGTATAAGTTACAAAAGACATTTTAGTAATTTAAATTTTGACGAAACTACCACTTGATAGATTCTAAGATGTTAACTTCTTCATCAGTGGTGTACCTAAGAAATACCTAGGCCTAAGGAGAGTTTTCAAACCAAATATGCCTAATCACAACTGCAAAACTACCAAATCTGACTTTCCCAAGCGGGGTCCAGGGTTATATATTTTGAAAAAAAAAAAAATCCCTAGCTGACTAGGATGTATACAACTAGTAAAATATACAAGGACAAAAGGCTTCTAAAAAATATAAGTATTTGCAGAGGGCTTCCTAACAATGGCACAGCACCCTTCAAGAACTAGAGACTCCTTTTCACACCAGATAATGATCTCTCTGTGAATAGCATCTCACACAGAATAGGGGCTCATTAAGTAAATCTGATTTTATTTTTCATAGCATCTCTTTATGTACCATCAAAGAGACAAGGAGCTGCTATCACCAGAACTGTCAAAACCAAATGAAAATAGAAGACTAACAGCATAGATGCAAGAAAATTTACAGAGGCCTAAAATGTCTCTTTAATAAATGAACTGAAAAAATAAATATGTATAACTTCTAAGGAATCACTAACACCCTGAACTCTATAAATAATAATGTATCTTTGGGTTCCATGTTCTGAAGTGGGAGGAATCTACAGCTTACTTGATGAACTTGTAAGTACTTGATATATTTAGAAATTACTGCTGATAGTTTACTAAAAAAAATTAGACAACCAGAGTTCACTGTCGTTCTTAAATTACATTAATGGTCAGTAGAGTAAGAACTCTTAGTAGACAGCATTTACCATTACCAAGAATATAATGCTGGTTTACTTTCATTCAGTTTAATTAATGCATGTGTGCTAGAGTTGAAAAAGGAAAGGCAACACAAATCAAAAAGTCAGTTGCTCATGATTGTTGTGTTGAAAACTGCTAAATGTCTACCAAAATCTATTCTTTTCTTGCACACTTGGCTAGACTACAGCTCTTAGCCTCTCTTGCTTTAATATGTGACTGAGATCGGGCGTAGTGGCTCACGCCTGTAATCCCAACACTGTGGGAGGCCGAGGCGGGTGGATCACCTGAGGTCAGGAGTTGGAGACCAGCCTGGCTAACATGGTGAAACCGCATCTCTACTAAAAAAATTTCAAAAAATTAGCTGGGCATGGGGGCGTGTGCCTCTAATCCCAGCTACTCAGGAGGCTGAGGCAGAAGAATCGCTTGAACCCTGGAGGCAGAGGTTGCAGTGAGCTGAGATTGTGCCATTGCACTCCAGCCTGGGCAACAAGAGCGAAACTCCGTCTCAAAACAAAACAAAACAAAACACACAAAGTGAGTTTTTTCTAATGGTATGTGAGCAGGAGTGATGTGTGCCATTTGTAGGCCTGACATTTGCCTTGTGTTCTTTCTTCCTTCTTGTGGTTGAAGATGACTGGAGCAACCCTGAAAGAAAAGCATTCAAGATGGAATGCCCACTCTCAGCCTGAGTTCCTGAATGGAACCTCTTGGAAAACCACCCACCAACCTAAATATCCACCCAGGGCAGTTACATGAATAAAACGTCAAGTTCTATTGTGCTTAAGTGTCATTATCTGTGTGGGACTATATTACAGCAGTTTAGTCAACCCTCTTGATACAATTATGGTCTCTAACTTAAAAGATTTTCCAGTCCTAATGGATGTAAACATCATTTAACTATTCTTGAGACAATCATTCAAAAATTGTTACTGTTAATAACTTTTTAAAGGGAATATACATGTAGCTATATGAAAGACTGGAATATCTGGAGGCTAAAAAATAAATCTTAGGTTATACAATGGCAAGCTTTGATAAAGTTCCATAAGTAAAATATCTTCATCAGAGATACAGAAATCAGAGATAACAAGCTCCCTTGAAAGCAACACATTATCAGCTGGGTGTGGTGGCTCACACCTGTAATCCCAGCACTTTGGGAGGCCAAGGCAGGTGAACCACGAGGTCAGGAGATCGAGACCATCCTGGCTAACATGGTGAAACCCCATCTCTACTAAAAATACAAAAAAAATTAGCTGGGCATGGTGGCGGACGCCTGTAGTCCCAGCTACTCGGGAGGCTGAGGCAGGAGAATGGTGTGAACCAGAGAGGCAGAGCTTGCAGTGAGCGGAGATCGCGCCACTGCACTCCAGCCTGGGCTACAGAGCGAGACTCCGTCTCAAAAAAAAAGAAAAAAAAAGAAAGCAACACATTATCAAATAGATTAGAAAAAATAGGGAAGTACACACACACCCATGCCTACACACACACAATTAAAGAGATCAAAGTTCTTTAAAAGATAAGCTTTAGGATGTGGTATCAATACAGCATCATTCTCCAGACAAGGTCCAGGAAATAAGTTACATCAAATTTCATATGACTAAATCGTCTGTGTTTACAAGGAGTTGACACTTAGTCTTTTGAGGACTTCCAACAAATATCTGACCAAAATATTCAACACCAAATAGCAACATTCATACCTCTAATAATGAGGTTTGATAGTTTTACTAATTTAGTTCCAAAGCTATTCTGGCTACATCCCAATTCCTCTAGTTACATGAAAATGGTGGGTAATAGCAGAATAGCTTAATAATTTTTGTTCTATGTATGGCAAGCATTCAGTAAATAACCTATTTAATGAATGAACAGTAATCTAAAGTAGGACAACAATAGGTGAGATGAAAAAAGGAGTATCTATGAAGAGGTATAACTATGAAACAGTGATTTTCTAGTGTTATCTCCTAAAAAGCAAAAGGAACAGGCAGACTACATTCTATGCATCTTCTCTTTAGGAAGTAAGTTATATTTGGAGATGATGTGTATACTGAGTTAAGAAGCTAAGATCTTAACTGAAGACTTCAAGGTTAAATACACATGAAAGAAGTCCTAAAAGGAAACTTGACTCACTTTACACAGATTATGTATCCCAGTTAAAGACCAAATACTTGATGTCCTAGCAGGGAAGAATAAGTAGCAAATTAATTAATCAGGTTCTACTTATACTACTTATACTATCAAAGCTAATCATGTTGTTATAAAATTGGTAAAGTTTCATTCAAGTTTAACATTCAGAAGTATGTGATATATTTGATATTCCACTATGATTATATCTAGTACAACACTCAGATATAACTGGATTCCCCTGGATTCCAGTCCACACATTCTTATATTCACAACTCTAATCAATGAACAGGCTCTTATTTTAGACAAGAAACCATTACTCCTCATAAATAAGGGTCATTTTCATCAAGTTTCTAAGATCCTTTGTACTTACTTTTTTTTGTTTGTTTTTGAGTCAGAGTCTTGTTCTGTCATCCAGGCTGAGGTGCAGTGATAAAATCACAGCTCACTATAACCTCGAACTCCTGGACTCAAGTGATTCTCTTGCCTCAACCTCCTGAGTAGCTCGGACTATAGGCACTTACCACCATGCCAAATTAGCCTGGCTAATTTTAAAGATTTTTTGTATTTTGTAGAGTTGGGGGTCTCCCTATGTTGCCTAGGCTGATCTTGAACTCCTGGCCTCAAGCAGTCCTCCTGCCTTGGCCTCACAAAGCACTAGAATTATAGGCATAAGCCATGGTTCCTGGCCATCCTTTTTACTCCCTATGGACATAAGCATCCACAATTCTGCCCTCCCAACACATTCATATTCATTCATTCATTCATTTTCTCTCTTTCTCTCTTTCCCTCTCTCTCTTACACACATGCATGCCCACACAGCAGTCCAACACCACTAACTCAGCAGTCATTACCATGCAGCTATATATTATTTCTTCTTTCATGCTCCACTGGGTCTATTACATTACTATTTCAATAGAATCTTAAAAAAAGATTACCACAACAGATAAGGCACTGGTATGATGGCTTAATTTTGGTAGAAAAGTCAATCCTGAACGAACTTGGTAATCCCGGAATCCTCCAGCTACAGAAAGTGTGGTTAAATTTATGTGTCGAGCATTTAGAATCCAATAGTTGTTTACAGTCGTATAAAAATCTGGTGGGGAATAAAAAAGAGACATTAAAAAACAGTAGCCATTCCCTGAAACAATAAGATATCTATACAGTAATATTAATATGTAACTGAATTTTTGCTTAAGTCATTTCATCTATAAACAGTTGAGTTATTCACATTTCCCTATTTTCAGTAAAATCAGTATCTTTACACATATTCCTACTTCCCGATTAAATAAAAGTATAAATACTAAGAGTTACTAAAGGTATCAATTAAAAAAAAACAAATTTTACTAGCTTTGGATCCATAAGCAAACACATTTCTACATTCCACAAGGATGATGCTTATTTATGAGTCACACAGTATAGCTAAAAGAGAAAATTCTAATATTCTTCGAAAGATAAGAATTTACCATGCTAGAGTTGTAGACATTTGTGGTGTTAGTTTCATGGTATATGCACATGTTCAAACTGTATACATTAAATGTATACATTACAAACTGTTATATATGTGCGGTATTTTATATATCAATTACCCTCAATAAAGTGGTTTAAAAAAAAAAAAAGAGCTGTAGATCCCTCCCTATGATGGCAGTATCCCAGCTTAAAAAGGCTTAGCTTGGGAGGCTGAGGAAGGCAGATCACGAGGTCAGGAGTTTGAGACTAGCCTGGCCAATATGGTGAAAGCCCATCTCTACTAAAAATACAAAAATTAGCTGGGCATGGTGGTGCGCACCTGTAGTCCCAGCTACTCGGGAGGCTGAGGCAGGAGAATCGCTTGAACCCGGGAGGCAGAGGTTGCAGTGAGCCGAGATTGTGCTACTGCACTCCAGCCTGGGCAACAGAGCGAGACTCTGTCTCAAAAAAAAAAAAAAAAAAAAAGAAAAGAAAAAGGCTTAGCAAATCTCTTCTGTGGCCAACCACCACCACACAAGTACTATTTAAATTCTTACAATCTATCTGGACAATACCATTGACATTAGTCTTAGGACTATGCTGCTGCTGTGGAAAACCTCAGGGTTAGGGTTCAACCCATTTATTGTAACAAGTACTTCAAAGGGAAGAACCTGCAGACAATTTTTCACTTTGTCTATTGAAGGTGAAAAAAGCCTAGTGTCAAAGATTAAATTGAGGCTAGGGCAGGGGATTTCTCAATTCTTTTTGTGATTATCAAAATTTAATGCATTTTTATCCTGACATTTGATCCCACTCAGGGCTTCAAACACTGGGTACAGCAAGCTGCCCCCATTAAAGATCTCAGCAGTACTTACTTAGATTACCACCTAGCAGACTGACTCTTAACATCTGGAGAGCCTGGGATGTTAAGTACCAGTGGGGCACACATGCCATATGTCTAGATAGTTTAAAAAGTCAAAAATCCAGCTAATAACCTGTTAAATCAAATATATTTTTTTCTGCCTATCTTTAAAAATATATCATTGAAATAACCTGGAAGGCCAGGTTCAAATTAAGAATTCTCAGACACCTCAGAGTTAGCCACTGGATGGTGGCAGCATGGGAAGAGCAGATCTTCAGTCTCTTACTGTGCTTCTCTTCCCATCCTAATTCGATCCCGCATTGCAAGGGCCTCATGTGCACATGCAAGCTCTGTCTGTACTTTCAGCAGCGCTATGCTTGGCCACAACTCAAGCTTAGGATTCTACATACCTGCCCTCAGGAAAACAAAGAAAATGAAGAGACCCACACAGGTCTTAGAAGCAGGCTTAGGGCACATAGACAAGAAAAGTCTAGAGGCAGCTGGGCGCAGTGGCTCCCTCCTGTAATCCCAGCACTTTGGGAGGCCGAGGCGGGCGGATCATGAGGTCAAGAGATCGAGACCATCCTGGCCAACATGGTGAAACACTGTCTCTACTAAAAATTAGCTGGGCGTGGTGGCATGCACCTGTAGTCCCAGCTACTTGGGAGGCTGAGGCAGGAGAATCGCTTGAACCCAGGAGGCGGAGGTTGCAGTGAGCCGAGATTGCGCCACTGCACTCCAGCCTGGCAACAGAGCGTGACTGTCTCAAAAAAAAAAATAAATAAAAGTCTGGAGGCTTGGTTAGCTGGATCACAGTGCAGAAGTAAAGATACAGGCTCCACGTGGGGAGGCTACTTAGCCTTCATACTTCTCACCCTGTGGGAAAGGCTAGGGGCAGAGCAGCAGGAACCTCTAAAGTGCAGAGCCCAGTGCAGGGCCTCCTTCCTCCTATTGAAAGGCAGTATTTTCAACAAGTATAAACAGGGAATCTACTTCTGAGGTCATATGGATCTCTGTCTCTCAAAACCTTAAAATTTTCATTCTAATTTTGACTTAGTAAAATAAAAAGAATAAATATAGAATAAAAAGGAAAGACTAATTACAGGAAAGGTACAGGATTCTTGACCCTAAGAATCACTTTCAGCCTGAGCCTTATAGAGACAGAACAGTGCCACCCTCCAAAGCAATAAAACCTATTGAGGGTGCATTCCTCAAGTAATTTTTAAAATATCTTTGAGTCATTCTAATTTAATCTATACGGGTCATCTACATACACCACACAGAATGCAACAATATAAAGAGTTCTCAATTACGGTGACAAGTACTATGACTTTTAGCCTTTAATTTTTTTCCTAAACCTAAGGTCATTTAAGATTATTAGACTACAACAAATTTAAACAACTTCATTATTAAAATTAAAATGTTTCCTTATTAAAAGACTTCTACAAGCAAAGTTTTAAATGTACCAACAGAAAAACCGGGCCTCATAATAATTACTGTTGCACCAGATACTTAAGAGCAAATAAATTATTTTTTGGCAATGCTGTTATGTTAAGATGGTTTGGAGTCACTGGGGAATATTTCTCACTTAACTACAAACAAAATTTTCATCAAAATTAAGATAATGCGGGAGGGAGGAGCCAAGATGGCCGAATAGGAACAGCTCCGGTCTACAGCTCCCAGCGTGAGCGACGCAGAAGACGGGTGATTTCTGCATTTCCATCTGAGGTACCAGGTTCATCTCACTAGGGAGTGCCAGACAGTGGGCGCAGGCCAGTGTGTGCGCGCACCGTGCGCGAGCCGAAGCAGGGCGAGGCATTGCCTCACCTGGGAAGCGCAAGGGGTCAGGGAGTTCCCTTTCCGAGTCAAAGAAAGGGGTGACGGACGCACCTGGAAAATCGGGTCACTCCCACCCGAATATTGCGCTTTTCAGACCGGCTTAAGAAACGGCGCACCACGAGACTATATCCCACACCTGGCTCAGAGGGTCCTACGCCCACGGAATCTCGCTGATTGCTAGCACAGCAGTCTGAGATCAAACTGCAAGGCGGCAACGAGGCTGGGGGAGGGGCGCCCGCCATAGCCCAGGCTTGCTTAGGTAAACAAAGCAGCCAGGAAGCTCGAACTGGGTGGAGCCCACCACAGCTCAAGGAGGCCTGCCTGCCTCTGTAGGCTCCACCTCTGGGGGCAGGGCACAGACAAACAAAAAGACAGCAGTAACCTCTGCAGACTTAAGTGTCCCTGTCTGACAGCTTTGAAGAGAGCAGTGGTTCTCCCAGCACGCAGCTGGAGATCTGAGAACGGGCAGACTGCCTCCTCAAGTGGGTCCCTGACCCCTGACCCCCGAGCAGCCTAACTGGGAGGCACCCCCCAGCAGGGGCACACTGACACCTCACACGGCAGGGTATTCCAACAGACCTGCAGCTGAGGGTCCTGTCTGTTAGAAGGAAAACTAACAACCAGAAAGGACATCTACACCGAAAACCCATCTGTACATCACCATCATCAAAGACCAAAAGTAGATAAAGCCACAAAGATGGGGAAAAAACAGAACAGAAAAACTGGAAACTCTAAAACGCAGAGTGCCTCTCCTCCTCCAAAGGAACGCAGTTCCTCACCAGCAACAGAACAAAGCTGGATGGAGAATGATTTTGACAAGCTGAGAGAAGAAGGCTTCAGACGATCAAATTACTCTGAGCTACGGGAGGACATTCAAACCAAAGGCAAAGAAGTTGAAAACTTTGAAAAAAATTTAGAAGAATGTATAACTAGAATAACCAATACAGAGAAGTGCTTAAAGGAGCTGATGGAGCTGAAAACCAAGGCTCGAGAACTACGTGAAGAATGCAGAAGCCTCAGGAGCCGATGCGATCAACTGGAAGAAAGGGTATCAGCAATGGAAGATGAAATGAATGAAATGAAGCGAGAAGGGAAGTTTAGAGAAAAAAGAATAAAAAGAAATGAGCAAAACCTCCAAGAAATATGGGTCTATGTGAAAAGACCAAATCTACGTCTGATTGGTGTACCTGAAAGAGATGTGGAGAATGGAACCAAGTTGGAAAACACTCTGCAGGATATTATCCAGGAGAACTTCCCCAATCTAGCAAGGCAGGCCAACGTTCAGATTCAGGAAATACAGAGAACGCCACAAAGATACTCCTCGAGAAGAGCAACTCCAAGACACATAATTGTCAGATTCACCAAAGTTGAAATGAAGGAAAAAATGTTAAGGGCAGCCAGAGAGAAAGGTCGGGTTACCCTCAAAGGAAAGCCCATCAGACTAACAGCGGATCTCTCGGCAGAAACCCTACAAGCCAGAAGAGAGTGGGGGCCAATATTCAACATTCTTAAAGAAAAGAATTTTCAACCCAGAATTTCATATCCAGCCAAACTAAGCTTCATAAGTGAAGGAGAAATAAAATACTTTATAGACAAGCAAATGCTGAGAGATTTTGTCACCACCAGGCCTGCCCTAAAAGAGCTCCTGAAGGAAGCGCTAAACATGGAAAGGAACAACCGGTACCAGCCACTGCAAAATCATGCCAAAATGTAAAGACCATCGAGACTAGGAAGAAACTGCATCAACTAATGAGCAAAATCACCAGCTAACATCATAATGACAGGATCAAATTCACACATAACAATATTAACTTTAAATATAAATGGACTAAATTCTGCAATTAAAAGACACAGACTGGCAAGTTGGATAAAGAGTCAAGACCCATCAGTGTGCTGTATTCAGGAAACCCATCTCACGTGCAGAGACACACATAGGCTCAAAATAAAAGGATGGAGGAAGATCTACCAAGCCAATGGAAAACAAAAAAAGGCAGGGGTTGCAATCCTAGTCTCTGATAAAACAGACTTTAAACCAACAAAGATCAAAAGAGACAAAGAAGGCCATTACATAATGGTAAAGGGATCAATTCAACAAGAGGAGCTAACTATCCTAAATATTTATGCACCCAATACAGGAGCACCCAGATTCATAAAGCAAGTCCTCAGTGACCTACAAAGAGACTTAGACTCCCACACATTAATAATGGGAGACTTTAACACCCCACTGTCAACATTAGACAGATCAACGAGACAGAAAGTCAACAAGGATACCCAGGAATTGAACTCAGCTCTGCACCAAGCAGACCTAATAGACATCTACAGAACTCTCCACCCCAAATCAACAGAATATACATTTTTTTCAGCACCACACCACACCTATTCCAAAATTGACCACATAGTTGGAAGAAAAGCTCTCCTCAGCAAATGTAAAAGAACAGAAATTATAACAAACTATCTCTCAGACCACAGTGCAATCAAACTAGAACTCAGGATTAAGAATCTCACTCAAAGCCGCTCAACTACATGGAAACTGAACAACCTGCTCCTGAATGACTACTGGGTACATAACGAAATGAAGGCAGAAATAAAGATGTTCTTTGAAACCAACGAGAACAAAGACACCACATACCAGAATCTCTGGGACGCATTCAAAGCAGTGTGTAGAGGGAAATTTATAGCACTAAATGCCTACAAGAGAAAGCAGGAAAGATCCAAAATTGACACCCTAACATCACAATTAAAAGAACTAGAAAAGCAAGAGCAAACACATTCAAAAGCTAGCAGAAGGCAAGAAATAACTAAAATCAGAGCAGAACTGAAGGAAATAGAGACACAAAAAACCCTTCAAAAAATCAATGAATCCAGGAGCTGGTTTTTCGAAAGGATCAACAAAATTGATAGACCGCTAGCAAGACTAATAAAGAAAAAAAGAGAGAAGAATCAAATAGACACAATAAAAAATGATAAAGGGGATATCACCACCGATCCCACAGAAATACAAACTACCATCAGAGAATACTACAAACACCTCTACGCAAATAAACTAGAAAATCTAGAAGAAATGGATACATTCCTCGACACATACACTCTCCCAAGACTAAACCAGGAAGAAGTTGAATCTCTGAATAGACCAATAACAGGCTCTGAAATTGTGGCAATAATCAATAGTTTACCAACCAAAAAGAGTCCAGGACCAGATGGATTCACAGCCGAATTCTACCAGAGGTACAAGGAGGAACTGGTACCATTCCTTCTGAAACTATTCCAATCAATAGAAAAAGAGGGAATCCTCCCTAACTCATTTTATGAGGCCAGCATCATTCTGATACCAAAGCCGGGCAGAGACACAACCAAAAAAGAGAATTTTAGACCAATATCCTTGATGAACATTGATGCAAAAATCCTCAATAAAATACTGGCAAACCGAATCCAGCAGCACATCAAAAAGCTTATCCACCATGATCAAGTGGGCTTCATCCCTGGGATGCAAGGCTGGTTCAATATACGCAAATCAATAAATGTAATCCAGCATATAAACAGAGCCAAAGACAAAAACCACATGATTATCTCAATAGATGCAGAAATGGCCTTTGACAAAATTCAACAACCCTTCATGCTAAAAACTCTCAATAAATTAGGTATTGATGGGACGTATTTCAAAATAATAAGAGCTATCTATGACAAACCCACAGCCAATATCATACTGAATGGGCAAAAACTGGAAGCATTCCCTTTGAAAACTGGCACAAGACAGGGATGCCCTCTCTCACCGCTCCTATTCAACATAGTGTTGGAAGTTCTGGCCAGGGCAATCAGGCAGGAGAAGGAAATAAAGGGTATTCAATTAGGAAAAGAGGAAGTCAAATTGTCCCTGTTTGCAGACGACATGATTGTTTATCTAGAAAACCCCATCGTCTCAGCCCAAAATCTCCTTAAGCTGATAAGCAACTTCAGCAAAGTCTCAGGATACAAAATCAATGTACAAAAATCACAAGCATTCTTATACACCAACAACAGACAAACAGAGAGCCAAATCATGGGTGAACTCCCATTCACAATTGCTTCAAAGAGAATAAAATACCTAGGAATCCAAATTACAAGGGATGTGAAGGACCTCTTCAAGGAGAACTACAAACCACTGCTCAAGGAAATAAAAGAGGACACAAACAAATGGAAGAACATTCCATGCTCATGGGTAGGAAGAATCAATATCGTGAAAATGGCCATACTGCCCAAGGTAATTTACAGATTCAATGCCATCCCCATCAAGCTACCAATGACTTTCTTCACAGAATTGGAAAAAACTACTTTAAAGTTCATATGGAACCAAAAAAGAGCCCGCATTGCCAAGTCAATCCTAAGCCAAAAGAACAAAGCTGGAGGCATCACACTACCTGACTTCAAACTATACTACAAGGCTACAGTAACCAAAACAGCATGGTACTGGTACCAAAACAGAGATATAGATCAATGGAACAGAACAGAGCCCTCAGAAATAATGCCGCATATCTACAACTATCTGATCTTTGACAAACCTGACAAAAACAAGCAATGGGGAAAGGATTCCCTATTTAATAAATGGTGCTGGGAAAACTGGCTAGCCATATGTAGAAAGCTGAAACTGGATCCCTTCCTTACACCTTATACAAAAATCAATTCAAGATGGATTAAAGATTTAAACGTTAAACCTAAAACCATAAAAACCCTAGAAGAAAACCTAGGCATTACCATTCAGGACATAGGCGTGGGCAAGGACTTCATGTCCAAAACACCAAAAGCAATGGCAACAAAAGACAAAATTGACAAATGGGATCTAATTAAACTAAAGAGCTTCTGCACAGCAAAAGAAACTACCATCAGAGTGAACAGGCAACCTACAACATGGGAGAAAATTTTCGCAACCTACTCATCTGACAAAGGGCTAATATCCAGAATCTACAATGAACTCAAACAAATTTACAAGAAAAAAACAAACAACCCCATCAAAAAGTGGGCGAAGGACATGAACAGACACTTCTCAAAAGAAGACATTTATGCAGCCAAAAAACACATGAAGAAATGCTCATCATCACTGGCCATCAGAGAAATGCAAATCAAAACCACTATGAGATATCATCTCACACCAGTTAGAATGGCAATCATTAAAAAGTCAGGAAACAACAGGTGCTGGAGAGGATGCGGAGAAATAGGAACACTTTTACACTGTTGGTGGGACTGTAAACTAGTTCAACCATTGTGGAAGTCAGTGTGGCGATTCCTCAGGGATCTAGAACTAGAAATACCATTTGACCCAGCCATCCCATTACTGGGTATATACCCAAATGAGTATAAATCATGCTGCTATAAAGACACATGCACACGTATGTTTATTGAGGCACTATTCACAATAGCAAAGACTTGGAACCAACCCAAATGTCCAACAATGATAGACTGGATTAAGAAAATGTGGCACATATACACCATGGAATACTATGCAGCCATAAAAAATGATGAGTTCATATCCTTTGTAGGGACATGGATGAAATTGGAAACCATCATTCTCAGTAAACTATCGCAAGAACAAAAAACCAAACACCGCATATTCTCACTCATAGGTGGGAATTGAACAATGAGATCACATGGACACAGGAAGGGGAATATCACACTCTGGGGACTGTGGTGGGGTCGGGGGAGGGGGGAGGGATAGCATTGGGAGATATACCTAATGCTAGATGACACATTAGTGGGTGCAGCGCACCAGCATGGCACATGTATACATATGTAACTAACCTGCACAATGTGCACATGTACCCTAAAACTTAGAGTATAATAAAAAAAAAAAAAAAAAAAAAAAAAAAAAATTAAGATAATGCAAATTTTTATAGGTAAGAAGCTATATACATTTACTAACCAGAAAGAATTCTTTCTAAAGATTTTCATCTACTCATATAATATTCCTATAAGCAGTGAGGATAATCTCTGGCTTTTTTTAACAATAAGTTGAGATAACAGACATTTAATTCTTATTCTGTGACGTTATCACTATTTGATTAGACGATGTCAATCACAAACTCCTACTTTTCATTCAAAATTCCTGCAAGATTATAGTATTATCTACGGTTTTATTTCCTATGTTAATGTACTTCAATTAAGAGGCAGTACAGCATGCAAAGGTTAAGAGCACAAGCCCAGAAGCAATTTTGCCAGGGTCAAATACTGGTTTCACTACTTTCTTGCCACATGACTCTGGGCAAGAACGTTATCTTGGCCTTTTTCTATCCATAAACATGAGGATAATAATGGTGCCTACCTCATGGGACTGCAGTAAGGATTAAGTGTGGTAACACATCACATGAAGTCTTTAAAATCCATAACATACTAAGAGCTCAATAAATATTAGGAATTATATCTCATTATATAAAGTGTTAGCATACCTTTGTACTTAAAAACTAGACATTGCTACTATCTTACTTAAATATAAGCTTATTTTGGATACAGTCCTAAAACAGTTAACAAAGCATAGGAAGTTTAAACACATCTTAAGAGACAGGGTACCATCCTCAAAAATAACTAAACTGGCCAGGCATGGTGGCTTATGCCTGTAATCCCAGCACTTTGGGAGGCTGAGATAGGCAGATCACTTGAGGTCAGCAGTTCAAGACCAGCCTGGGCAATACGGCAAAAATCCCAGATACTTGGAAGGCTGAAGCACGAGAATCGCTTGAACCTGAGAGGTGGAGGTTGCAGTGAGCTGAGATTGCACCACTGCACTCCAGCCTGGGAGAAAGAGCAAGACCCTGTCTTTAAAAAAAAAAAAAAAAAAAAAAAAAAACTAAACGGAAGCCCTAG
Organism: Homo sapiens; assembly: GCF_000001405.40. Classification (NCBI taxonomy): domain Eukaryota; kingdom Metazoa; phylum Chordata; class Mammalia; order Primates; family Hominidae; genus Homo; species Homo sapiens. The sequence goes on from NC_000002.12 coordinate 196,912,625, forward strand.
TGCCTAGAAATTATAAAACACATGTCAACCATGTTAAGATGCTATGGACAGACAAAACTTAACAGTAGTTTCAATTATAAGCCTAAGTTCAATAATATAAAGAGACAGACACTCAGAATTGGAGGTGCTGATTTGCAACTGAGTTGCTTCATACATGGATAAATCTGTAGCATACTCCTAGGGGAATAGCCACAGAGATTGATTTATTTAATCTTAAATAACAATGGGGAGGTTAATGTTCATGTAACAGTACTCACCTGTAATGAAACGATCTAATGGCATCACAGGAGCAACATGAGGTGTGGCTTGTGTAATAAGAAGATTTATCAGATCATGCTTAAAATTTTTCAGTGTAAGCAATGCTCTTGCAACAAGGCCACCCATAGAATGACCAATTATTGCCACACTTTTTGGAGCAAATTCTTGACCCTATTAAAATAAATCACCAGGTCATAATTGCGGCTTTGTATCATTTTTAAAATACTAAATATTTCTCTCTGCATATGACCAATTTTATAGGAAAAAGAAAATCAAACTATTTATATAACCTCCCATCATAAGGTACAGAAATACATTTTCATATAGTTTTAATTAGTGTATACATACTATTTTGTGTTCTGCCAAACATTTTTAACAGGTATATCTTGGTTTTCTGGGCCAAGAGGAACAGTTGGTCTAGCAAATCATGTTTATACTGTTGGTTACACTACATGTAATGTGAGGAGTAATTATATTTGGTATATACCAGATTATTAGGTTTTACAAGACATAAGAAATCGGATAATTTGTTTGAAACTGAAAATATCACCCAAAAAAGGCCAAGACAATTACAGTTGCGATAGCAATATATTACCTTATCATGTTGTTATCTTTTATCTCATCAAATTATTTCTCTATTGTGCATTTTGGTTTAAAAACGAAGCAGCATTCCAAACATTTATTCACTGACAATTCCATATTTTATTTTTTAGATAAGTGCTTTTCAAAAAATCTTTTGTTTTCAACAATCTCCTCAGTCTCATTACCAAACTTTTGCTCATCATCCCCAACACAGATCCTTCCTATGTACCATCGCTTCTCAATGAATAGACTGAATCTTGTGCAGAAGAGTTAACATAGGAGGCCTGAGACTGCTGTCCTTGGCATGGGCTGGATACAAGGTTGGCTCTTGGCTGGAATCTGGAACCTTATACTTGGGGGAGATTCTCACCATTCCCTAAATGATAAGAGTGCCTAAACTGTTTGTGCAAACAACATGTTTTATGCTGAACACCTGCTGTCCTCCAGGCTGGAATTTTGGTATGTGCTAGGCAGAGGGTATCTATGTGATAAGTCCCCAGTAAAAACCATGGGCACTGAGTCTCTAATGAGCTTCCCTTGTGGACACTATTTCAGCCATGTCACAATATGCTGGTATAGGAATTAAGTGGATCCTTGGTGATCTCCAATACAGACCTGATCTTAGCAAAAGCCAAACCCTACAACTGTGCTCTGAAACCTATCCCCTTTGACCTTCGCAAGTACCTCACTCTAGCAATCCTTCTCATTTTCTTCTTGCATTATTGCTTTTCCCTATCAACTAGATCACTTTCATTAGTGTATAAATATACTGGCATTCTCTCTTAAAAATAAAAATAACTCCCTTTTAATTCTCACTTTCCCCTTAGTGACTACTTTACATTTCTTTACAGCAAAACTCTAAAAGCAAGTTGCAGGCCAGGTCCGGTGGCTCACACCTGTAATCCCAGCACTTTAGGAGGCCAAGGTAGGTGGATCACTTCAGGTCAGGAGTTCGAGACCAGCCTGGCTAACATGGCAAAACCTGGTATCTGCTAAAAATACAAAAATTAGCTGGGCGTGGTGGCACATGCCTGTAGTCCCAGTTACTCAGGAGGCTGAGGCAGGAGAATCACTTGAACCTAGGAGGAGGAGGTTGCAGTGAGCTGAGATTGCACCACTGTACTCCAGCCTGGTGACAGAGTGAGACCCTGTCTCAAACAAAACAAAACAAAACAAAACAAAACAAAACAAAACAAAACAAGTTGTATACACAGTACTTGCTATTGCTATCTCCAATTTCTCAACTTCCATACACTCTTAAATCCATTTCAATCAGACTTTCACCCCAACATGCCACCAAAACTGCTCTTGCTAAATCACCAAGGAATCCAATAGTCAATTCTTAATTCTTTTTTTTTTTTTTTTCTGAGACAGGGTCTCACTCTGTCACCCAGGCTGGAGCGCAGTGGCACGATTCATGGCTCACTGCAGCCCCAATCTCCTAGGCTCCGAGTAGATCCTCCTACCTCAGCCTCCCAAGTAGCTGGGACTACAAGTGTGCACCACCACATCCAGCTAATATATATATTTTTTTGTAGACACAGGGTCTCACTATGTTGCCTAGGCTACAATGGTCAATTATTAATCCTCATCTTATTTGACCTATCAGTAACATTTGACACAGTTGATAACTTACTTCTTCCTTCTTTGAAATATTTAAGTTAGTTTCTTTGACAACAAACTCTCCTGGTTCTCCCTTTGCCTCACTGGCTCCTCTTTTTTAGTTTCTGTTTCTGGTTCCTTCTCATCTCTCCTCATTTCTTAAAACTTAGGTGACTCAGGTCTCCGCCCTTAGATCACTGCTCTTTCATATCTTTGCTGAAACCATCAGTGATCTCTTCCTGTCTAGTGGCTTTAAGTATATCTACACACTGTCAACCTCTCAGTAATTATCTCGAGACTGTACTCCTTCTCTTGAACTCTAGCCTTGAACTCCACCTGTACAGTAGCATACATGGAATGCCTAATGTGCATCTCAAACTGGATCTATCTAAAACTAAACTCTTAATCTCCTCCATATCTGTTCCTCCTGTATTCTTCCCTACCTCAGTTAATGGCAGTTCAATCTTTCCAGTTGTTTAGCCAAAAATCTTGGGGTCATCCTTAACTGTTCTTTTCCTCTCACTTTGCCCTTCCATATCTGATCTGCCAGCAAATTTACTGCCTCAACCTTTAAGATTTACACTGATCTGACAATTTCTCATCACTTCAACTGCCACCACCTTGATTTAAACCACCACTATGTCTTGAACACACTCTACCACTTCCTCCTTAGCATGCCACTGTTTTATAGCTACTTTCCCTGTGCAGCATGGCATTCAAAGATTGAAAAACATACATTTTTAGAGCCCCTTTCTTTGCCTCACTCTCTTCTTTCTCATACCATGTCGCATTTAGCTGCTTCAGCAGCCCCCAATTCCAATTCTCTGCTTTCTTTAGCTAAGTGATATCAATGTACCTCCCTTACTTGCCCCATAGTCTGGAAAACGCTTCCGGGCAGAAATCCAGAGCAATCATGGAGCTTACTTCTTCCAGGGATCATAGTCCTTTGCTGCTCTGTTGTCCAACATCTCAAAACAGGTGCTTCACATATCTTGACCAGTTTTACAGTTGTTTACATATGCAGGTGTTCTATCCTAGTACCAGTTACTTAGTCATAGCTAGAGGTAGAAATCTATACCAATGGTTTTTAGGTAATGCATTTTACTCCTAATTTATATATAAAGTTTTAAAAAGTTTTTCTTCCTGAATTCACCATAAGAAATGTTTCTTATAAATTTAAACTTCAAAACCATTACGGAGGCCAAGACAACAGACTCTCACAAAAAAAATTTGTGCCTTCTCTGCTTCAACTTCCATATAAACAAATACATGATTTAAAGTATACTGAATCCCTTTTTTAAAAAGGTGCCGATAGGTTGCACCACTATTGATTTGCATACTTATCTCTCACCTTATAGAGTTTGAGAATTGTTTTAATACATTCATGTACAAACTTGGTCTGCTTCTGAAGACTTCCACCATACAAAGCCACCAGTTCTTCATTGAAGTTCACACTAAAGAAGTCAAAGTGGTACTTGAAGTCAATGTCCTCTGCTTTTCTAAGTGCAATGGAGCCAATAGAACGAACTGCAGAGGAAAAGAGTGAAGTGCACATTAAACAATATTTACAGGTTTCATCCATTCTTTCTTCAGAATTTCTTAGTAAATAACCTTATCCTGCATCACGAATATAAACCACCTATTTCAGGATGAAATTCATTAATAGCACCAATTTAGAACAAACTAATCTAGCAACTGTATGCCTTGAATGCAGTAAGTGTGTCATAAATATTTTTAAAATTAAATAAACAAAAAGCAAACAGATCACTCACTCTCTACCTTCTTTTCCTTTGGTAGGAGCAACAATAGCTAAAAGGGCAGGATTCTTTGAAGAATAAGACATATAAATTTTGCCACACTTATTGAGGTTTTTAAGAATGACAAGGTTCCTACAAGAAATATCCATTCATCACTTGGTTTAGATACTCACGCTTGATTTGTCTTTTTCTCCTACACAGGACATCCAATCCATCAGTAAGCGCTTTCATAATGTACCTTCCAAATCTATCCCCAGTTGAAATTTCTCACCATTCCCACCACTATTGTCCTAATCCAAACACTATTATCTCTTATCTGAACTACTCTAACAGGTTCTTTACTGGTCTCTCTGCTTCCACTCTTTTTGTTCTTGTTGTTGTTTTGCAAATCTTTTTAAAAAATATATTATAAATTGCTTATATTAGGTGGCACAAAAATTGTAGCATATGGTTTAGCAAACAAAATACCTGTTTGCCATTTCATTTTGTAAAAACATATACTATAGATACATTATAATCCACATATTATACAACTCACTATATAAAACTGTAAAATTCGATGGTTTTTAGTATATTCACCATCTCTGGTATATATTTTACAACCATCTCTGAAATCTAACATAAGATATTTTTTAATCGTTTCAAAAACAAAACTCTGTGCCTACTGGCAGTCACTCCCCATTTCTTCACTCCTCCCAAATCCTAGGCCTAGCAACCACTGATCTACTTTCTGTCTCTACGGGTTTGCCTATTTTGGATATCTCATATAATACGTGGCCTTTTGGAACTGGCTTCTTTCACATAGCATGTTTTCAAGGTTCACCCATGTTGTGACATGTATCAGTACTTCATTCCTCTTTTTTATTGAATAATATTCCATTATATGAATATGTCATATTTGATTCATCTATTTATCAGCTGATGGTCATTTAAATTATTTCCACCTTTTGGTTATTATATGCTGCTATGAACATTTATATACAAGTTTTTGTGTGGGTATATGTTTATTTTTCTTGGGTAGATACCTAGGAGTGGAATTTTTGGGCCACATGAGAGCTCTATGTTCAATATTCTGAGGAACTCCCAAACAGTTTTCCAAAGTGGCTGCACATTTTACATTTCCACCAACAATGTATGAGGGTTCCAATTTCTCCACATCTTCACCAACACTTGTTGTTATCCATCTTTCTTATTATAACTATCCTAGGAGGTATGAAGTGCTATCTCATTTTTTATTTATAGTTCTCTGATGACTTATGATGTTTTAGCATCTTTCCTGCTTCCATTCTTGCCCTTCAAAGGAAATTCTCTTCATAGTGAAGCCAGAGCAACTTTTTTTAAAAGTAAATCACACCTACCAGGTTGCTTAAAAATTTAATGTCTGACAATTCTGGTGTTGTAAAAGGATGTGGAGCAAAGGAAGGTAAAATATACTGCTTTTAGGAATATAAATTAGCACAATCAGTAAAGATTAAAAAGATACACATAACCTGTAACATGGAATTACACTCTTGGGTATCTAGCTTACAGAAGCACAGGTTTATGTGCTCCAGGAAACATATGGAATAATATTCATTATTTGTAATTGCCAATAAATGTAAACATTTATTCTGTCCAAAGACAGAATGGACAAACCATGGTATAGTCATACTACAGAATAATACAGAGTAAGGAAAATGAATGAATCACAGCTCACACAACAACTTGGATGAATGTTAAAGATAATGCTGAGTGAAAGAAGCCAGACACAAAATAATACATACTGAATGACTATATTCATATTACAAAATTTAAAAACAGCCTCATATACATAGATTGCATTAAAACTACAAAGAAAGTTAAGGAAATTACTCTCTTAACATTAGGACTGTGATTCTGTCAAGAAAGAAGGGAACAAAGTTTTAATCATGAAGGGGCACAGAAGGGGTTTCCAGGTTACTGGTAATCTACTTCTTGACTAGGGTTTTGGTTTCACGGGTGTTCACTTTATAATAATTTGTAACCAAATATCTATGTTCTATGTGTTTCTCTGTATGTAATATTTCAAATACAAAGATTACTTTTAAAAATCAGGTTATATTTTTCTTACCCAAAGCTCTCCAACAGTTTCTCATTCAAAGTCTTTTCCACAGCTTATATGATATGGCCCGTGGTTACTTTTCCATTCTTATCTCTTTTTACTTTCTCTAGTCACGATAGCCTCCAATGCACAAAACACGTTCCTGCCTCAGGACCTTCCCTCAGTCAAGCATCTCCTCAAATGTCATCTCCTCACAATGGCCTTTCCTGACCACCTCATCTAAACTAGCCACTTCCTGACCCTTTTATCTTCTACCTCCTGAGTCTGTTTTTGTTTCTAGCTTTTAACATTACTGACATATTTGTTTGATTGCTGTCTTCCTGATAAGCATATAAATTTGATGAGAGAGGGACTTTGTCTTGATATGCTCTGGATCCCTAATACCTGGAATACAGCCTGGCTCATGGTAGATACCTGTAGACACGTGCTAGATGAATAAACACGTAAATAATTGCACATGTTGAAACAATTCTAGTCTCATTACATAACAATTCTAGTCCATCAAATAACAAGAAAGCAGGTTTTAGTTTAAAACGAAATTAATTCCAGGTTATTTGGCTGTTACGCCAGAAATAACTGCTGTATCTCCAAGCCAGCATCAATTTGGAATCTGTACACGTAACTTCCCTATCTCACCTTTCTATGTTCCCCCCAGTACTTCCAAATCTCTCTAACTTAAATAACTCCAAAAGAAGAAAACGAATCTCTCTTGTTCTGCATAACATTAGTCACTGATTTACTTCCCTAATCAATGCTTAAGGTTCTGTTCTCTTTACCCTCCATTTCCAACATAAATGTGTTTCCTCTGCTGATTCCCCAAGGGGTTCCCCTTTATCATCTACTTATCCCATCCTACTCTATCTTATTCTTTGTACCCCTCTCTTTGCAAAGTGGTCTTCAACTTTTCTAAGTATTTCTCACATTATTCTCTCTCAGAGAAAATATTATATTTTGGTCTCTCTGTAAGCCCAGCACAGCACTTCACACACAGCATGCATTTCATTTACTTTATTTGATTCACCGAGTATGGATATGATTCAAATTCTTGAGTTGAATTTTATAGCTTTCAAAATTTACTTCCAGTAAGACTTACCTTGCTTATAACTTCCAGCATTACCAGGAAGAAAGAGAACTGGAATACCCGTCAAAGGGAGAATTTTGTGTTCTTCAGCATAGGATCCCTCTCCATAAAGATACAACTCATATGCGGGATAGCGTTTTGCCAGTTTCTTTGGAAGTTCTATTTTCTACATTTAAAAAAAAGTAGTTTCACTTTAATCAGTTTTATTAATACAATTCAGCCTCACCATATGCAATTCTGAATTACGCAAATTTGAAATAGTGCAATATAAAAATATTACTGATATTAAAACCACACTTCATACACAAAACAAGTTCTACTTGTAGTTTATTCATATAGAGAATCAGTCTTGAATTGTGTATATTTTGAACCATGTAGTCTTTAGGAAAACATAAAAGAGGACTACGTGAACTTCTAACCAATACAAATTACTCAAAATAGCCACTGACAATGGCAGAAAGCACTGGTATATGTCGACAAGTTACATGTTAACATAATTGGATAAGTATCAATTATACTTAGAAATGATAAAGGCTTTCCATCATCAAATCAATTCTTTTTTTCCATTTTTAACTATTTTGTAATGTCTCTCCTTTTACTCAGACCCAACTATCTATTTCAGTTGTTATATCTTCAAAAGAAAGTAAGTTGTTTTATAATGCAGCTTTCTGACTTCTCAACTTAATATGCTTTGGCCTACAATATGTGTAACAAATTAATCTTAACCTTATAGCCATGTCTTGGTCAAGACATGTACACTCTTCTTACCATAAACATTCCAGTGAATTAGTATCTATTTCAGTTTTCATGGGCCAGGTGCATGATTTGCTGGCAAACTTTAAACTACCCTGCACTTCATATTATTGTATACCAATAATACAGCAGCTCACCTAACTACTGAGTCAGTAGTTCACCTACATTTTTTTCAGCTTAGTATAAATTATCTCTTAATGTCATCCTCAAAGGTAGACATCTGTGGTAGTAAAGTATACATACACCCTTTTGCTCCTTTTCTTTTTTTATTTTAAAGGAGAGAAACCATTAAGAGTGAAACCAATTACATTGGACGGTAATGTCTATTTAGGTATACATAGATCTAGCAGTGCTGTACATGTGGCATGTGCTTGATAAAAGAATTTAACTATGGAGTGAATTTCAAAACCTGTAAATGTTGCTAATGACTAATGAAAACCCTCGTTGTTCTAAAAAAAAAAAAAACACACACACACAAAACAACAAAATTCTGATCATTTGTGCACCTTCCTAAATATCCCTTTGTAAACAATTTATGCCAATAACACCACAGAAACATCTGCAGAGACTGTAAGCTTATTAAGATACTAGCAATCTTAGTTATCTCCCCAAATACTCAAAATACAGAAATACTAACCCCACTATTCGTTTTATATTTGGTATATGTACTTCAATTCAAATTAGTCCCAATACTGATTGTGCACAGAATACAATCAAAAATGAAAATGATGTGATAGTTTACTTCTTTAGGTACAAATTAAATAAAAAGAAAACATAAGAGAACAAAGAAATAGTTTCCTATTTCCTCCCAATTTAGTACACCATTATTCTTTTAGTACAGTAGCTAAACAGAGTTTGGACAAGTCGAAAATTAACTCAGAAGAACAGGAAACTATCAAATATATCTAAAAAGAAATATTTAATTTTCTTGAGACAGAAAAGCAAGCAAAAAATATTTTATATACTTCATAAAATACTATTATGAAAGCAATTTTATAGTGAGAAAGAATATTTTTTAAAATATGAATATATACAGAATTTTTCAAAAAGTATGGAGATGGGCAAATAAGTTAGAACAAAAAAATAAGAGAGGAGGCAAGAATGGTGGGAGTTGTAGGCAAATGGCAAAACTCCATTTCCAGGCAGAGTTCAAGTTGAAAGGGAATAGCAAAGACCCAGGAGAGGTAATTGACCACATTGACAGAAAAAGCATAGGCATACAAATAGGATGCTGATAAGAAAACAGAAGACGGTCAAGGGATATAAAAGGAAAATACTTACAGGAGCAGGACTCCAATATAAATTTTTTATTCTATGTAGTTTATTTTAAATGAGCAACCCCTCTACCATATTAAGATCAATTACCTTTGTATTTAAATATTATCTCCACAATCCTGCCTCTGCTGTCCTCCTTCCTTGACTCTGCCTTAGTTCAGGTTCTTCTCATCTCTACATAAACTCAAAAGGTAAAAATTCTAATAAACTCCCAGGTAATAGAAAAATGCTGATTTAAGAAACTAAAATATCTATTTTATGATATTACTTAATTGTAAACTTAAACTGAAAAATAAAGTTTTATTTCCATAACTAACCAAAAAGAAAAAAGATTTTGATCTAGATGAATACACATAGTTTTTAACTTCACATAGTTTTTAAGTTCTCACAAAGAGGTCTCAGTAAGGCCTTTGCTCACCATCCCCCATAAGAATAGTTATAGGGGCTCCATTAAAAAAAAAAAAAAGGCCTTAAGGACAACTGAATTTTTCAGACTTGTCTCTATCCTTGCCTTCGTCTCCCTTCTATAATCCATAGTTCATACTGCTAACACACACACACACAGACACACACACACACACACACACACACACACACACACACAACAAAGCTTAAGAGAGAGACATCCTTTAAAATCTGGCTCTAATTATTCTTACCTACTTTTTTTTTTTTTTTTTTTTTTTTTGAGACAGGGTCCCACTCTTGTTGCTCAGGCTGCAGTGCAGTGGCACAATCTCAGCTCACTGTAGCTTCGACTTCCCGGGCTCAAGTGATCCTCCTACCTCAGTCTCCTGAGTAGCTGGGACTACAGGCAGCACATGCCATCACACTTGGCTAATTTTTTGAATTTTTTTTTTAGCAGAGACAGGGTTTCGCCATGTTATCCAGGCTGGTCTTGAACTCCTGGGCTCAAGTGATCTGCCCGCCTTGGCCTCCCAAAGTGCTAGGATTACAGGTGTGAGCCACCTCATCCCGCCCTTACCTACCTTCTTATAACTTACACATGACATGCTTTAAAATGTATTTTTAATATGTTTTTGAATTCAAGATTCAAAAGGATATACATTGAAAAGGTTCTCTCCTACCCATGGTCCTTCAGCCATCCAGTTGACCCTAAAAGGCAACCTGTTATCAGTTTGTGTGTGCTTCTAGAGATATTTTACATATATACAAGCAAATATGTTTATCGATTATTTTTTAGTTTTAACATAAATGATAATATATTATAAATACTGTTCATGCAATGTGTCCCAGCGCATTACCACCTTCACATATACTATTTATGCCTGCAATGTTCTTTCAGTACTTCATACACCCTCCATGTCCCAGTTCACTTTGCATCTTCTCTAAAGCCTTTGAACACCCAAGACAAACTTGGATGCTCTCCCTTATATGAAAAGCTCTGTACATACTCTCTTATTGTGAAATTATAAAACTCAGTACATTATATTGTAACTATACATTACATGCCCATTTCCCCCATTGTATTTATCAAGACATAAAGACACAAGGTATAATTTAGTTCTAATTCCCTTTCACCTACACCAAGTAGCTAGATATACCTGGCAAAGACTAGTCATTCAATAAATGACTTTCTAAATAAATAACACACTTAATAACAAAATATATGACTCATATTTTCTTTTTTTCTTTCTTTTTTTTTTTTTTGAGACAGAGTCTCACTGTCGCCCCGCCTGGAGTGAAATGGCACAATCTTGGCTCACTGCAACCTCCGCCTCCCTGGTTCAAGCGATTCTCCAGCCTCAGCCTCCTGAGTACCTGCGACTATAGACGCACGCCAACATTTCCTTTCAGAGAGCAACCGTTAGGTTACACATACGAAGATAGCCAGACAAATCACTGTATGAGAGAAACAACTCAGACGTTTCTTCTAAAATTCTGCAATTTGCCTAAAACCATTTGCTACCAAATAAAAGTTTTGCCTTGCTGTCGTAATAGGGCAAGAAGCTTTAAAGGATAAAGTATATTTTGCCTAGTAGGCTTGAGATATGGGTTCGTGAGATGTTCAATTAACTCTGAATAAGTGAATCTGGGAAAACCAGAGGTAGAAGATGAATAGAGATAATCAAACAATTTTAAATTCAAAACTTCATTTTTGCAAAGAGTTTCAAATTTATGCCCCATCTTTTAAAAAAATGGATAATAAAACTGAATGTGTTTCAACCACCTTTCTATTTCTGCTGGCTAACTAAAGAAGATGCAAATGAGCAGTAAAAAAAAAGAAAGGCATCAAAAGAAAGAAGAAAACCCAATGACTAGGACATCTCACATCTGGGTATCAACCTGTGAACAATTAGAGAGCTGACTATAAAATATAATTAAAAGTAAGCAATATGTAAAATATCTTTAAAACATTTTTATTCATGAAAGCCATTTGGTTCTCAACAGAATGGCCTCATTTATCCAGAAATCTCACTATGTTCAAAATGACTCATTTCTATAGGCTGGTTTTAATTGTATTTGTAAGATAACATGACCTGGTATGCAAAACAAAAAGACTTAAGAATACAATATAAATACTATCATGAATTAACACAGCTTTTTACATCATAAAAACCTGCTAAAAATCAAAAACTTCTGCCACTGTGATTATTACTGTATTAGCAAATTATTAATAGAAGTGTAAAACCCCAAAAAAGCAACTTAAACCAAAATAACTAAACCTAGACTACTCAACAACAATAAAAACCCAAAGAGCTCTTTACCATTAGCTACACTAATTTTCTGTTTTTCCAGTCAATTTATGAGGCAGGAAATGCGTCTGTGAGATCCATATGCTTTGTTCCCAACGCTAAAGAGAACAATTTCTACTTCTGTGAATATTAAAATAGCTTCAATAATTGTAGGAAATCTAAAAATAAATGGGAATTAGTACTGTACTGTCACAAAATGATTTTAACCAAACTCTTCAATGCGGTACAAAACTAAAGTGACCTACTTCAATCTATTGGGAGTTTCCTAATTATTAAACCAAAAATAAGGAGGGAATTATAATAGCTCTATTTTCAGTTTTTTAAAATACTAAACTAAAAAGGTTTGCTTAGAAATGAACAGAGACGACAGTAACATGTCAAAATCTTCTCCTTCGATAGCATCCCTACCAAATGTTTCCACTCTCTTATCATCATAAATGCAAAACCAAGGTAAGGATCTAAACACAAATGAAATCTAAATTTACTAGAATTTTTCCCATGGGAAAGAATGCTCTTCAGCAATTTAAACCTTAAGTAGTCTTAAGATCAAAATAATAGCAGCGTAATCAAGTAACAGGCTTCCTCCATAATGACTTGTACAAAGAAGCAATCAGGACTTGCATCCTTCACCCTAAAAAAAAAACTGCTGTGATTTTAAGAGTATACTAAAAATGTATTTTATCAATATATGTTATAGTGCATATACATTTTATGGTAGGGAATTATTACAATAGGTAGTCCATAATTAAGAGATGCACTTAGAAATAAAAGAATCATTCGGAAAAATTCTCTTAGGACAGTTGTGTAATTTGTCTGCGCCTCTTTTTACAGCTAGTCATGAATGAAATTCTAGATCCTACTATGCCGAACTAACGAAGCCATTGATTGAAAACATTCAAAATGGCATGGAAGCGGTAGGGGTGGAGAGAGAAGGGTTGGCTCTCTCTTAAACTCCGAACCCAGCGAGAAAACAAAAATAGCACCATGAAATAGATTTTGTATGCAACTATTAAGAGGCTCGGCTGCTGAGAGACATGCATAAACACAGGTATGCACACACACAGGCAAGCCCACACACGCACGGCCCCTTAACCTGCAAAATAAGAGGATCTGCAACATCTTTCCAAGAGGGGATCTAGTTTCCAATTCAATGACTCGCCAGTTTACCCATAGGCAAAACCCTGGAGTCTCTAAAAACAGCCTTGGGAACTATCTAGCCAATATACACTCTGCAGACGCTCGGTCCCTTTCTAGAAATGCGAAATCTGACGAGCAGATCACCGGGCGCGAGGGGAATTTAGGCGCGTGGGAAGCAAAGGAAGGTCCTGGGGCACGGGTTAAGGCAAGAACGCGAGAGGGATGGAGCTTCGGTTTAGGGAGAAGGGTTGAGGCTGCCTCTCTGGGCATGAGGGGGGCTGGGCCCGGCCAGTCAGAAGAGCTTGTGCCCAGGATTTGGGGCTGGGGAGGAGGCGGAGGGACAGCGGAGTAACTACGAGGACGACCACGAGGATGCTCTCGGGAAATCGTCTAACAAACACCCCACCGTGAAGAAGGGACACAAAGGGGAGGTGAGGGGGGCAGAAGGGGGATGCAGAGTCTCCCCGGGCGGAGAAAACAGAGGCGAGGACGGGACAGGGGGCCCGAGAGGCGCAGAGAGCCAAGGCAGGACGAACCCACAGAAGGAAAAAGGCACCAGGGGCCAGAGTCTTGGAGCGCCCGGCTGAGGAGAGGGCAGAACCTTACCTGATACTCCGGGTACTCAAACATGTAGCTCATACTGCACTTATTCTCCTCGAAGCCGAAGAAGACATCCCACAGCCCCAGGGTTGCCAGAAAGACCATGAAGACATAAAACGCCAGGTTCCAGAGATTAACTGAGTGAAGAAACATGGTGCCGCCACCACCGCCGCCGCCGCCGCCGCCCCCTCTACCTCCTTCTCCGCCGCGGGGCCCCAAGCCCGGACTGAGCGTGCTAGACACTGTCCGACCGCCACCCCCGGAGCCGAGCCCCAGCCGCGCGCGCCTGCGCTGATGCCCGGCCTGCCCGTTCGCCAGCCGCGCAGTGCGCCTGCGCGCACCAGGTCCGCGGCGCCTCTGGCCTGGCGACTCCCAGAGCCGAGGGAGGAGTAGGTGTTGCAGCGCGAGCGCGGATCTACGGGAAAGAGAAAGAGGGAGAAAGCAGGGTGGGCTGGGCTGGAGGGTGAGGGGAAAGAAGGGAAGTGGGGAGAGAAAGACGCGAGGAGTGGCTGGCGGGAGGGAAAGAAGAGAGAGAGAGGAAGCATCCAGAGGGGGATGGGCGGAGCGCGGGAGCCCTGGAGACGAGCCGGGGGATTGGGCAGGAGGCGGGTGTCAGATGGGTGAATCTGGGGAGGGGACTAGAGCCCAGAGTCCAGAGGCGATTAAGGACCGAGAGCGGACCGAGAGAGGGGAGGAGGACTTAAAAGCCCAGGGGTCATCAGCTGTCACCTCGCAAACGCCTCTCCCTGCGGCAGTTTAAAAACGCTTCCCGTTCAATTTTGAAAAGACTCAGGCCTCCGCAATTTCGGTTTTCCCAACGGTAGTAGAGCACACTCACAGCTCTCTGGAGCAGTTAGCTTGAAGAGGGAACAAATGGCTTTATTTTCCCTCTTCTACCGCCTACTTGGGCCCAGTAGGTAACAGCGCTTAAAAGCACCGGCTCATTAAAAAAAAAAAAAAAAAAAAAAAAAAAAACACCCGCAAGCCGACGAGATTCTGCTCTTGGTATCAGATGAAAGCCTGAATCACAAAAAGCATCGTTAGTCCTTAAAATATGTTACCAAAATATCTATTAGCACTGACGTCCCCAACAGGTATCTGCGTAATCAGTTTGACGCTGACTCGCCTTGCTCTCCAGAACCTCCATCTCTTGGGGAATGGGTTCCACGTTAACTGGAGGAGGCAATTTCGTCCAGCTTCCATTCAAACTCGCAAATGACTTAATTCGTTTTGAAGAATTTCGGTTCTGTTTTGTACAAAGGAGGAGTTTTTAAAAAAAGCTCGAAATCAATCACTTGTAGCAGCTTCAAAACACTAGAATGTTAGGAAAAAGACATCACTCTTTAAAGCTGACTCAACAGTAGACGGTGTGTGTGTGCGTGTGTGTGTAGTAACCACAGGATTCTTAGAATGGTCTTTGGCACTAAATGAATTTCATTGAACTTGGGCTGATTTTCTGGTATATTTTCTGTGCAGAGGAAGTTTGGCTACAATACATAAAATCAAAGAATTTTAAAACCAAAAGGAAGCTTATAGTTTATCTTGTACAACACCCTGATGTTCAGATTACGAAACTATGAAGAAGAAGTGGAGTGATCCTGAAAATCAAGATAGTCTTTACCCTGCACAGAAACAGTTGCAAGTCTAAACAAACACAGCTAGCTACGGAATGTGGAGTATTGACGGAGAAAGACAGAAATGGGAAAATGCGGAAGCAGTCTCCTTTTTTGTAGGGAGATAAGTCTGGAAAGACCAGGATAACAGGGGAGCTGTAGGTGGTACTGATCAGGAGGGCAATTAAGTAATATGTCATTGAAGTAAGTCCTGTATGAGACGTGTCGTTTTTGTTTGTTTTGAGACTGAGTCTTGCTCTGTCGCCCAGGCTGGAGTGCAGTGGCGCGATATCGACTCACTGCAGCCTCCGCTTCCCGGGTTCAAGTGATCCTGGTGCCTCGGCCTCCAAGTAGCTGGGATTATAGGTGTGACCACCACACCTGGCTAATTTTTTTTTTTTTTTTTTTGAAACGGAGTCTTGCTCTGTCGCCCAGGCTGGAGTGCAGTGGCGCGATATTGACTCACTGCAGCCTCCGCTTCCCGGATTCAAGTGATCCTGGTGTCTCAGCCTCCAAGTAGCTGGGATTATAGGTGTGACCACCACACCTGGCTAATTTTTTTTTTTTTTTTTTTTTTTTTGAGACGGAGTCTTGCTCTGTTGCCCAGACTGGAGTGCAGTGGCGCGATCTCGGCTCACTGCACCCTCCACCTCCCTGGTTCAAGCAATTCTCCTGCCTCAGCCTCCCGAGTAGCTGGGATTACAGGCACACACCATCATGCCCGGCTAATTTTTTATTTTTAGTAGAGACGGGGTTTCACCATGTTGGACAAGCTGATCTCGAACTCCTGACCTCTTGATCCACCCGCCTCATCCTCCCAAAGTACTGGGACTACAGGCATGAGCCACTGTGCCCGGCTTACCTTTTTGTATTTTTAGTAGAGAAGGCATTTTGCTATGTTGGCCAGGCTGGTCTCAAACTTCTGTCCTCAAGTGATCCACCTGTTTCGGCCTCCCAAAGTGCTGGGATTACAGGTGTGAACCACAGCACCCAGCCTGAAATTCTTTATGAAGTGGTGATTTCACTTGGGAATGTCATGTCTGTTATATTCTATTAATAGGTATAGAATGTGTTAAATTTGTAGAATTACACCAACATGACTGGATTATCAAGAAGAACCCATTTTGATCGCAAGATGTTAAGAGATAAATGTGATAAAGAGGAATATATACTATAGGGTTTTGACATTGTTGACCATAAAAGAGAATGCATGTGGGGTTTGGGATGCAATTACCAGTGAGTGCAGAGGATTACAAATCATTTGGGGAAGGCTTTAAGTTATAAATAAAAAGGGGGGAATACATTGAGTCTGGGTGCTAAAGAACATCAAAGGCAGAACGTCTCCTCTTTATTTCTCCTAGCATGGTAGGAGTAGTATTATGACAAATAAACCCAGGGTGAATCCATACTCCCTCATCTCTATCTCAGTGCTTCTTAAAGTTAATGTGCATGTGAATCACTTGGAGATTTTGTTAAAAAGCAGATTCTGGGCCGGGCACAGTAGCTCATGCTTATAATCCCTGCACTTGGGGAGGCCAAGGTGGGCGGATCACGAGGTCAGGAGTTTGAGACCATCCTAGCCAGCATGGTGAAACCCCGTCTCTACTAAAAATACAAAGAATTAGCTGGGCATGGTGGTGCACACCTATAGTCCCAGCTACTTGGGAGGCTGAGACAGGAGAATCACTTGAACCCAGGAGGCGGAGGTTGCAGTGAGCTGAGATCCCACCACTGCACTCCAGCCTGGGCAATAGAGCGAGACTCTATCAAAAAAATAAAAATAAAAAAAAGAAGATTCTGATTTAACAGTTCTGGGGTGGGACCCAAAATTCTGCATTTCTGACAAACTACTGGGTGATGCCAATGATACTGGTCAGTGGACTACACTTTGAATAGCACGGACCTGTACTGCCTGAGGACTCTGTTCTATGGAGAAATCCCTGAACTCCAAGATGACAGAGCTTCCTCTTTTGGTGGCCTTCATGAGTTGTGGCAACTAGCTGCATTGACTGTTCACTCAGAAAGGAGTGGGATAGAGAGTCAATGGATTCTTCATGTTTGTAATCTTTCTATCCTAATTTTTTACTGTCTTTTCTCCTATCCATCATTATCCACTCCTAGCTTTACTTTTATATCTAACCTAACCCTACTGAGCATCACTTCAACCACCCTCTGCCAGAGCTGTCAACTGTCTTGACCGCTTGTCTTTCTATCCCACTCTACTTACAAACTTCCAACCTTGGGACAATATAATCTGGCTCTGAGCTCTGACACTACTGTATCTGACTACTGCTAGAGAAAATGACACAGTCATTTGAATTAACTCTTCAAAAATACTTGGCCAGGCACAGGGCTCACGCCTGTAATCCTAGCACTTTGGGAGGCCGAGGAGGGCAGATTGACTGAGCTCAGGAGTTCGAGACCAGCCTGGCCAATATGGTGAAACCCCATCTCTACTAAAAATACAAAAATTAGCCAGGCGTGGTGGCGCACGCCTGTAATCCCAACTACTGGGGAGGCTGAGGCACGAGAATTGCTTGAACCTGGGAGGCAGAGGTTGCAGTGAGCCGAGATCTCACCACTTCACTCCAGCCTGGGCAACAAACAGAATGAGACTCTGTCTCAAAAAATACTTATATATGTTTCTGGTCACCACCTTCCTCTTCTATATTTCAGACCACCACTTTTTAAGTTCCCTGCCACTTTTTAAGCTCCCTACATTTCTTCTTCCTTCTCTTTTAGTAGGTTTTTAGTACATAACCTTATCTTCATATTACAGAGATAATTTTGATTTTCAGATGCACATTGCTTCAGCTTCTCATTCCTAAGTTCATTATCTTCACCCAGTCCTAATTCAGTTAATACATCTGAAGTGTTTGGCACAATGACTGGCATATAGTAAGCATTACCATGGTACTTTGCTATCCTTAGAGGACATAAAAAGCACATCTCTCTAGCTATGTTTTATGTTCCCATCTCATGCTCCTTTCTTTTCAGGAAGTTAGTTCTATCAGGTTAAGGGCTCTATCAATCTCTCCCTTTCTATCCTCCCTCCCCAAAGCATATAAATATGTGTTGTTGTTTTTTTTCAAAAATCTTCCTCGTGGCTCTCACCTGTAGCTCTTCTCATCTCAGTCAGGATTCCTAAAGATGTGATCAATACTTATGTCTAATTCCTCATCTCCCCTTCATGTCTCAGCTACACTGTAATTTTTGCCCCCCTCCCACTCCCATGAAACTTTTCTTGCAAAGGTAACCATTGACCTAATTACCAAATCCAGTTTACACTTTTCAGTCTTACTTGATCCTTCTACTACATTTGCCACTTCTTTCTTAAAACAATGCCCTCCATTGTCTTCTGTAACATCATTTTCCACTGGTTTTCTCCTGTTGATGTAGCCTCTCAGTCTCCATCTCATGTGACTTACTTTTTTTACTTATCCCTTACATTTTATTAATCCCATGATTTTATTCCCAGTCATCATTCTACTTTCCAGCAAAAATCCTTTAGTGGCCCCTCAGAGCGTGAACTCTAGTCAGGATTCTTTTGGTTGCAAGAACACAAACTAACTCCAGTTAAAATGGGGATTTTTTTTTTTAAGGTAAAAAGGAACTTGGGAATCCAGAATAAGCTGACAAGTTAGTACACATGCCGACTTCAGGGTGTACACAGTTCCCTCATGGCCACTCCCAACTCCAAATTTAACCAACCTTTTAGCTAGTCACTACTGGTTATAACTCCTCTTGTCAATTTAGATCCAAATCCTGCTTTGGAGGTTGGAAGGTGGGATATCTCTCATTGATCTAGGTGATTCTTTTGAACCAGGACTCACATAGCAAAGACTATTAAATAAAGATTTAGAGTAAATAGAACTAGAAAGGTAAATAGGAGCCAAAACTGCAGTAAACAGAGTAGAAAAAAGAATATGAGTTTTATACAATAGGTAAGTGGAAGCTACCGAAATGGGAAGTATTAAGAGCTAATTGTTCAGGAAGATTCAGCTTACATCAAAGTCCAGCTGGACTGCATGGCATAGAGTCTCTAATTCAGACCAACAAGAACTGTGTATTTAGTCCAGGTAGAAGAATAAAAGAAAAGGAGTTTTTTATATTCTTCATTATAAAGAACTATAAAGAATATTTGGTTAACTAATGAAGAACAGGTCAGTCAGCTAAAATGGAAAGGTTCCCAAGATTATATCATTAAGGGAAAGAACAAGGTGCAGAACAGTATATATGTATGTTGTCTTTTGTGTGAGAAAGAGAAATACTGGAAGGAAAATGAAAGTAAGTGTTACCTAGAGGCAGAGGAAATGAGGTGAAGGGGACAGGAGTAGAAACAAAACTTATCTATGGATTTGTGTGTGTGTGTGTGTGTGTGTGTGTGTGTGTGTGTTATGGTTTGAATGTGTCATAAAGTGCATGTGTTAAAAACTTAATCCCCAATGCAATAGTATTAGGAGGGTGGGGCTTAATAAGATGTGATTTGGGTCATGAAGGCAGATCATTCATGGATGGATTAATGTTACTATCAAAGGAGCAGGTTAGTTATTGTGTGAGTGGGTTATTATAAAGCAAGTTTGGCCCCTGGTACCTCTCTCTGTCTTGTGTACTCGCTTCTGCCTTCCATCTTCCACCCATAGGATGACCCTCTCCAGATGCCAGCTCTTGGACTTCCTAGCCTCCAAAATCAAATAAACCTATTCTTTATAAATTAATTACCAAGCCTGTAGTACAGCAGCAGAACATGGACTGTCACCTCTCTATATATCTTTTGACTTTGAACCATAAAAGTGCAGTAGCCAGTAGAAAATAAAATAATTTAAAAGCAATTCTATAATTGAAAATTGAAACAATAAATTTAACTATAACAAATACTTACGATAAAACTATTGTTAGGAATTCAGATTTTTCAGTGCCAGAGAATAAAGATGCATTAAAAATCAAAGAAAAGTTTTCAAAGTTGATACAGCCCAAGTGTCTTATAGGTAGTAGGCTGAGGAATACAGACTACCTATTCAAAAGGACAATAAGAAGAAAGGAATTTTGTACAATGGGGATAATCAGGGGTAATCCCTCGGGGATAATCATCCCTGTCATACAAAAAATGTAGGACTGTAAGGGAAACATTTAGGAAACAAAATTGTATATATAGTTATTCTCAACTATACAAAATGCATAGAAAAGTGTCTTCAGGGAATGTGAAAAAATGTTAACACTATTTACCCCTTGGTAATGAGATTATGAATGATCATTTCAGCATTCTTTTAATTTTTTCTCTACTTTCCAAAATTGTTTCAATAAAGTTTTAATCGAAACTATTTTATCACTATTACTAATGCAATCACTATATCAAATAAATTGAAATTTCGTTCAGACATGTTTACAGTTGTGTTTGGGTTTGTTTGTTTGTTTGTTTGTTTTGAGACAGGTTCTCACTCTGTCACCTAGGCTGGAGTGTAACAGCATGGTCATGGCTCACTGCAGTCTCGACCTCCTGGGCTCAGGTGATTCTCTCATCTCAGCCTCCTGAGTAGCTGGGACTATAGGCATGCACCACCACACCTGGCTGATTTTTTGTTTTTGTTTTTGTTTTGTAGAGACAGGGTTTCGCCATGTTGCCCAGGCTGGTCTTGAACTCCTGAGCTCAAGTGTTCTGCCTGCTTCAGCCTCCCAAAATGCTGGGAGTACAGACTTGAGCCACTGCACCCCTCCTACAAACATATAACATGTTATATCATATTAAAAGTTTTAAAATATATGTCATTATATGATACATTAAAATATCTTAAAATGTATAGATCATAATGTTTAACTTATTATGATTTTGTATTCAGCATTTGAGAAGAGAATTTCCTGATTTACTGGGAGAATAACCAGTTACATATCACTTTTGGCACCTTTCTTACACTTGGAGAGTGAGGAGAGAAAGCCTACAAATTGGTTATAGCATTTGCATTGTAATATCCATTGCTTCTTATATTTTATTCCTCCATGCATAGTTCATTTTTGCTTTTGCTTAATTAGATCTTTGGTAGTTCTTTCAAGAAGGGTTTATGGGTAAACTCTCCTAAAATATGTACATCTGAAAATGTTATTATTTCACCCTTCTGTGATAATTTAGTTGCGTATAAAATTCTGGATAGATGGTTCATTTCCCTCAGTACTTTGAAGATAGTTTTCTATTATTTTCTGACATCTGTTGTTGCTGATAAAAAGTCTATTCACAGTCAGATTGCTATTTTTTTTGTGTGGAAAAACTGCCTTTCATCTCTGGTCATTTAAAAGATTTTTATTGACATTCTGTAGTTTTCAATATGACATATGAAAAAGAGGAAATATTTAACTGTTTAGGGGGAAAGGGACCCTGGAGAAGAGTTAGTTATGTACACAATGTTGTAATCGGGACTCTGAGTACTTCTTGGAATATTGAGTGAATGAGTTAATGGATAGATGGCTGCAGCTGAAAGAATTGAGAGGGTGGTCTTCCACAATTCAAGGTACTGACAGGCTTTTTGATCATTCTTCAGGTAATGTTTGTTTCTGGTACTTTCTGAAAAGCAGGCAGCTTCATAGTTCACTCAAAACTTACATATGGTGTTAAGGCCATGTTTAGCAGTTTTTTATTTGGATACATGTTCATATGTTTTTATTTCTTATAGTGTGTATCTCATTTTTAAACAATAGATGAGTTCCTAAGAATTATATGAAATTATAATATTTATAAATTGAAACCTCAGTGAAGATATAATGAGTACTGGATGAGGAGATACGAGTTCTAGAACTTTCAGTTCTGCCAAGCAGGTATGATTTGGGGCAAGTTCCTCTATTTCTCTAGGCCTCATTTTTTTCATATGTAAAATGAAGGTACTTGACAAATGATTTCTGAAAGTTTATGACTTATATTTTAAATGAATCAAAGCTATTTAAACTTTAGTTAATGTAACCTTTCATAAAGGAAAAGACCATATTGAAATCATTTGGCAATCATCCCTCAACTGAAATATTTAGTAAAATCATTAGAATATTAGCTTCTTAGAAAACCTTTTACATTTACTCATTTTATTTACTGGAGGCAAAGACTATTTTCTTAACACAGAGTAACCACCTTCATATTACCTAGATTTTATACACAGGAATAAGGAATCACGCAGTCTGGTATGGAAATCTAGTTGTTTTCTAAAACTAATTTCACTAAACTATGCTGATCTCAGTGCCCTTCCCTCACACTATAGGTTTTTAAATTAAGCTTTATTTAATTCTTTTCCTTTAAAAAAAATCCCAAATATGTAGTAGATTGACTCTTAGAAGCTTACATTTATTCCACTCAATTGCTTTAAAGCTCTTTCTCAAACTTGTTAGTTATACCTCCTAGTGCCTTATATATAATAGGCATTCAATAAAGATTTGTTTTTAACTTATTTGAAAATAAGCCAGATTCTACAGAGTAGAATACAGAGTTCAATAATAAAACCTCACCTTTCCTTTGATGCTTCAAAGCTTAAAAAGAAAATAAGAAAATATAATGCTAGCAACTCTGTGGCTGCCAGCCCTGTTTCCAAGGAAACAGAGAGTAGATCATCAAAAACAAAATAAGAATTTTCGACCTGATTACCCTTTTTTCACCAGTTCAGTCTCCATTGCTATATAATGAAAGGCAATATAACGTCAGCCTTGCAATTCAGATTTTTAATTCTGTTTATGCTGTCTCCCACTGTTAAAACCAGCCAAAAAAATTAATCTCTTGGGTTGAATGCATGTTTGCTTGCAGAGAGCTAAACTCCTTCACAAGGATGAAGACTACCTTGTCAATATAAAGCACTATGTATATGTACTGAATAATCTAATATGTATTCATCTCTAAACTGTCAAATGTTTACATTATGGAATCTCAGATTTTATATTTCTTGGGAATAATATAAGAAAGCAGTGGGAATTTATAAGTAAAGGATAAAGACTTCTAAAATGAGGCCAAGCGCAGTGGCTCACACTTGTAATCCCAGCACTTTGGGAGGCCAAGGTGGGCAGATCACCTGAGGTCAGGAGTTTGAGACCAGCTTGGCCAACATGGTAAAACCCTGTCTCTACTAAAAATAAAAAAATTACCTGAGCATGGTGGCAGGTACCTGTAATCCCAGCTACATGGGAGGTTGAGGCAGGAGAATCACTTGAACCCAGGAGGCGAAGGTTGCAGCAGTGAGCCAAGATTGTGCCCTTGCACTCCAGCCTGGGTGACAAGAGCAAGACTCTGTCTCAAAAAAAAAAAAAGACTTCTAAAATGAAATATTTTTTTAAAGAGATAAAAAAAGGGTGGGGGACAGAATGCAAAAAGGATAGGAAAGAGCCAAGCAGAAATAATTGGATTTTCATTCAAAAGAGAAAAATACCACTATAACTTTGTTCTTTGTTCCACATATTTATACCTACTGTGTATAAAATTATGATCCTGAAAAACAACAGCTGCAGATAACAAAATCTTGACTTAGCATTATTATATTACCTAGTAATGTTATATGTTTCATAAGGGCAATATTCCTTTACTGGAAATTTTTAGTTAAAGCCAAAGGATTTTCTTTGGGGTGAAATGCTCAATCAAAATTTATTTTAATGGAAATACAGTTTAATAGGCTTTAGATGACATAATTTTATATAATGAATACAGAAATTCAGGTAATAGCTTTAAGGGGAAAGAATGATTAATTCTTCGGAATTAATTATTTGGAATTCTTTCTTACGTCTATTTTCTGTTTATATATCTATTTGCCCCCAAAGAATTCAAACTTTTCTTTTTTTTTTTTTTTTTTTTTTTGTGACGGAGTCTCGCTCTGTCCCCCAGGCTGGAGTGCAGTGGCGCAACCTCGGCTCACTGCAAGCTTTACCTCCCGGGTTCATGCCATTCTCCTGCCTCAGCCTCCCGAGTAGCTGGGACTACAGGCGCCCACCACCACACCGGCTAATTTTTGTATTTTTAGTAGAGACGGGGTTTCACCGTGTTAGCCAGGATGCTCTCGATTTCCTGACCTCGTGATCCGCCCGCCTCAGCCTCTCAAAGTACTGGGATTACAGGCATGAGCCACCACGCCCGGCCCGAATTCAAACTTTTCAAAGGCATAAGCTGTGCAAGGGTCTTGGTCACTTTTTATACCTAAACTCGGTGGAGGACCTTGTAATTGGAGGTACTTCATAATTATTTTTGAATCCTTTTTTAATAAAGGTTTTAGCTACATTTGGGCCTCTTGCTATGAAATACAAAATCTGTGATATTCAAATATATTTTAATTGTAAATACTAATAGCCAAGGTAGATTATTTACTTTAAACAACTCTTAATACATAAAGTTTTTGAAAAAGACTAGCAGAATAAAATATTACTGTGGAAAATTAGCTTAGCTAATGAAAAGGACCTAATGTTATAAGAGAATACCAATAATGCGGTTATGTTAAAAGCGGATACCAACAACATGTGGAAAAAGCATGTACTTGTCTTGAGAATGGTAAGGAAAAGATAGTGGGTTTGGGTTAAAGCACATATTCATATATTTAAGCAAAGAGTGGAACTTGATGAGACCTATGGAAATATTAGTGAAGCATCTGGAAATGTGTTTTTATCTATAGATAAGGAGGTTGGACTAAATCAAGAGTCAGCAAACTTTCTGTAAAGGGCCAGATAATAAATATTTTTGGCCTTGGGAGCCATAAGGTTTCTGTTGCAGCTAATCAACTCTGCCATTGAGGCATGAAAGGAGCTATAGACAATAGGTAAATGAATGATTATACCTGCAATTCTAATAAAATTTTATTTACAAAAACATGCTGTAGGCCAGATTTGGCCTGTTGGCGATGCTTCGTTGACCCTTGAAGTAAATGATATCTAATTCTGTATTCTACATTCAATAGTCTACATCTGTGAATGTTAGCATTACTCAACGTGGATTTTCTGATTTTCCAAACTCATTAGACATTGGTCAAGAAATGTGACTAATGGTGAAATTAGGAGACAAATTTAAGCATTAAATATAATTCAAATTTTAGTTAAATGTGTGTCAATTTAACTAGAGTTCTGTCTATTTAGTATCACTGTGCATATGTGAAATACGGTGACATTGCTTGATGTAGTGTTATGACTAATTTTATTAATAGATCCATTCTAAATAACTACCTAATATATTTTATGAAGCATACTCAAACACATATGGATATAGAAAATCTCTCTATGGAACTTTAAGGCAATATAAATGCTATTAATTTTTAAGAATCTTAGATTTCCTCTTACAGGGATGCGAACCAAAGTTATAGTCACTGAAATGTTAGCATGTTTATAGAACAGTATCAGAAAACTAAACTTGCACAAAATTCTACTTTTGCCATTCTTACCATATGAGTATATCATCTACAAAATTCTTAGTGTATTTCTTCCCTGGTCCTAAGGCTAGGCCACTGAGGAAAAAGATATGATTTTTTAGAACCTTTCTGTTAAAAACATGGTTAGTCAAGGGTTTCTATAATACTTGAGGGATGAATGCCTTTTTAAGACACAATCTCAGTAAAAATGGGATAATGATGGAAGCAAATTGACACTTGTAAGAAGGATGGTTGTGGGTATCTTGTTTTCATTGATTAGTTAGCTTTTTAATGCCAAATTACTTTTGACTTAGTAAGAAGCAGAGGGAGTTTTCAAGGAATTCAAACTCCAGAATAAACTCCTTCTAACTGATAGCATAACGTAAGGAAGACTGGTTCAGTTTTTACCTCTGACCCACTATTTTTATTATTTGGGAAGTTATTTAATTTTTCTGAGCCTCAGTTTTCTTATCTGCAAGATGGGAAGAATAATTCTATCCTAGGGGTTGTTGAAAAGATTACAGATATCTCTGTGAAGTGCCTGATATGTAATAAGCACTTAAAAAGCTACTATTACTATGAGCTTTATAGCACTTGCCTATTTATAGAAAAGCTAATACTTGCCCCAGTAAAGACTTTCCTGCTACCAAAACAGAAAGAAAAAGGAAAAACTAACAGTTCATTGAACACATGGACTGCTATCTTTCTGTTAAAGAGGCTAGCATGGTGCATTGCCCAAAGTTGACGTTCAGATATATTGACTTAATGAAAGAACGTAGAAAATCTTTAAGGGGAGATGAGTACATGTTATATACAGACAACTGAAAGATAGTGAAAGTTTCTCTTAGGGGTTAGGGAATCCCTCCAAGGAAAACACATTTCAATGAAGGGACAGAGTTTCTGTGGACAGTTGATTGTGAACCTGTTATACCTATGCCCTAAGGCAGCTGTCCGACACATTTCAGTTTGGCGGCTCTTCCTGAACTGTATGACTTTTTTCTCTCTGCTACTGCAAGGCCTGCTGCAAAACCTACTGCTGCTGTTGTACACTTCAGAGCTTCTTTTCTGGGCAGTTGGCTGCTGCTAAAGCTTTGCTTCAAAGCCCCTGAGAAATGAAACACATGGGAAGATTCCAGGCTTACATTGCCAGGTGCTACAGAGACTACATTCTGATGTGGGTACACAGAAGGGTTCCTAGCTCTGCTGTTCTCAAGCCCTCAAGTCAATGAGTCATATTATATAGGCTCCAAGAACTCCCCTTTGGCAGATTTTGCATGACTAATAACCATTTAGATCTTTAAGGAGACACAGAGCCAGAAGAAGTCTATCTGGGAAGAATTAGCCTGATTTTCAATGTATTTTTTCTCCTGTGTCTTGTGGGTGGGTTACATGGACATGGCCTTAGGCAGACAGGTATGTGCAGACACCCACGTCTGCTCAGTCTAGCCCAGCATTCCCTATCCTGGTGCTTCTGACTTGCCCTGATGTTTACCTAGATGGAGTGACCTTCCTTAGCTCCTTCTTTCTCATACTGATGCTGAGATGGGTTCCTTCAAGCAGTTAATGAAAATAATCCAAAAAATATAGGTCAGAAAAGGGTCAGATTCTGCGGACCTCACAGGATGCCAAAGTTTAGTTAGCAACGGCAGAGTGAAGAACAGAAAAAAGTCAGGAACCAAGTCAATAATCAGAGACACCAATTCTGAACAGAAGAGTAGGAGAGATCTAGAGTCTGAGAAACAAAATGAAGATGTTTGCTGGTAGGTTATGCCAGAGAGACAAGAGCAAAAGAACTGAAAATGTGCTTGTAATGAAGTTGGCTATAGGGCATTCCACAGAGGTCAGTTGCCAGCATCTCTTAAGGCTCCAGGTATGATCCTGTGGCCCTGCCTGTTACCCATTCTCATCCATATCTAACTCATCGTCCTAAAAATAGGGAGTCCCCAGGAGTCAATAGTGCTAATATGTTGTATAAAAGTGGGTGACAGCCAGCCGGGTGCGGTGGCTCATGCCTGTAATCCCAGCACTTTGGGAGGCCGAGACGGGCGGATCACGAGGTCAGGAGATCGCGACCATCCTGGCTAACATGGTGAAACCCTGTCTCTACTAAAAAAATACAAAAAATTAGCCGGGCGTGGTGGCAGGCACCTGTAGTCCCAGCTACTGGGGAGGCTGAGGCAGGAGAATGGCTTGAACCCGAGAGGTGGAGCTTGCAGTGAGCCGAGATCATGCCGCTGCACTCCAGCCTGGGCGACAGAGCGAGACTCTGTCTTGAAAAAAAAAAAAAAAGTGGGTGACAGCCCTCAAACAGATATATGTACATCTATGTTCATAGCAGCATTATTCACACTAACCAAAGGTAGAAGTAACCCAAGTGTCCATGGATAGATGAATGGATAAACAAAATGTGTTTTTTTTAGGGGTTAGGGAATCCCTCCAAGGGAAGTATGCATACACACATACATAACCCTCCCAACAAACTCACACACACACACACACACAATGCAATATTATTCAGCCTTACAAAAGAAAGAAATTCGGACACATGCTACAGCATGGATGAACCTTGAGGACATTATACTAAGTGAAAAAAGCCATCATGAGAAGACAAATACTGCATAATTCCACTCATATGAGGTACCTAGAGTAGTCATATTCATAGAGACAGTAAGTAGAATAGTGGTTGCCAAGGGTAGGGGTGGTGGGGGGAGAGTTATTGTTTAATGGATACAGAGTTTCAGCTTTGCAAAATGAAAATATTTGTGCAGATGGATGGTGGTGACAGTTGTACAACAATGAATATGTCACTGAACTGTACAACAAAAAATGGTTAAGATGGTAAATTTTATGTTGTGTATTTTACTACAATATTTTAAGTGGATGGTGGTCTTGGAAGATGATCACTTTTCATAGCAGTGGGTAACGTGTTAATTATACATGAATCCCATCCTCAAAGCATTTTCAGTTTAGTGAGAAATTCGGTGATACTTTCTCTCCAGAAACAGAAAGTATAAAAGATATTTTCATGAATTTTTAGGAATTGCTCTCAAGTGGAAGTGCCTTCTTTTTGACACTACCAAGAAGTCAATGCTTTTTTGCCAAACTGAGCGTTTTCTGAAGAGTAATTGGTAGCCCATCTTACTATGAGAGAGAGCAGGACAGGAAAAGGGAGTAGATTAAGACAGTGTGTCATACAGAGCACAGTGTGTTCAGGAAAAATCCAGAAATAGAAAGAGAAAAAAAGGAGGAAATGGAGAGAGCAAGGAATGAAAAGCAGAAAGCAATATAAAATCAGAGGCAAAAGAAGAAAATGTAGCAATAGCTCTTTGCTGATCTCTGTGAGCCCCCAGCAGCAAGTAGGGCTGTGAAACTTTAAGGTACAGTAATCTGTCAGCAGAAGAGCTCAACGGAGAAGGCATTATGGAACAAAACAGGACTAAAAAGAAACACTGAGGCATGATCCTCAGCCACTTCTGACCTGTGAGCTGTTATACCCCTCTGTAGGAGAAAGAAGGCCTAAACAACAACCACATACTCTGTCTAGAATCGCACTCCCTAAATTTTCGCATGCATCAGAATCACCTAGAGGGCTTGTTAACATAGAGATTAGTGTGCTCATACCTACAGAGTCTTCTTTAGTAGGCCTTGGGTGGATGGGAACTGAACATTTGCATTTCTAGGAAGTTTCCAGTTGATGCTGATGCTAGTGGTTTGGGGACCACACTATGAGAACCATAGCTCTAGACTTACAGAGATATAGGATTTAGTGATTGGATGTTTAAGTTTTCTGTTTTTTCCCCAAACGCCTAAAAAGGAGGCCCAAATCTAAGAACTGAAGTAAGGGACTATATTGAAAATATTTAAATATTTAAATCCAGGTGGACTTTGTCTACCAGTTGTCTCTTAATGCAGTGATTAAGGGTATGAACTCTAGAGTCAGACAGAACTGGGCAACATCACTTTGTAGCAGTATGCCTTTGGGCAAGTTATTTAACCTTTCCCCACCCTATTTTCTTCACATATAAAAATAGAATAATATAATACCAACCCAGTGGGGTAGTTGGGAAGAATAAATGATTGATGCATGTACAAGAAGTAGTACCATGGCACATGGTATATGTAACAGGCATTTCTTTTTGGCAACCCAGCATCCATCTCTACTACTTTTGTACCAGCCCTAATTAACTGTACTATTTTGTACAGCCTTTTGAAATTTGAATCTTAGGAACAAAGCCAAGATAATAACCTGCCATTCTGATCCTCCCAATTTACCATGGAAACCACTTCATCCTGTGACAGGTGATTTATAAGCAAAAGTAAAGGGATATATATTGCCTTTATGGAAATGTTTAATCCTTGAGTATTCCTTCCAGTGGTTACTAGAGAGGTAGAAAGATAACTCCAGGGGTTTCCTGAGTGAATTAATTAGCTTGCAATTGTAATATTATTCAATATCTTGTTTTCATAGCATTGCATAAGAAGTGTTACAAAGGAAGCAAAGAGTTTCTCTCCTTTAATTTGTGATAAAAAGCTGAGGCTAGCTGATAAGATGCAATGCACATTTTTTATTATTTGAAAACTGAATAAAGATAATTTGGGAGAAGAATAATATTCATTTCAATAAAACTGAAATACATGACCAGTTTCAGTTCTCTTCTGTCAAAGGATGTACCTATACTCGTTAAGAAATGATTGAGTTAATCATTTCCCCTAAATAGATCCAAAGGGAATGCTCTGGATCATGTCCTCAAGGCTAATCTGTATGGTGTAACCTCTTAGGAGAATGCAAACCTTGGCCCTCTGTACACCCTGCACACGTCCCTTAACCTCTAAGAAGACAAGCTCTGACATAGTTCCATTACAGAAGTGCACCCCCCAGGGACCCAAAGACACACAAATGGGCTCTGCACCCTTAAGGTTGGAGTTTTTGTTTTTTAAATGATTCCTTTTTTTGGTTGTGCTTTTTAAGTAGCTGCATGTAGCAGACACTTTTAGATGCTACCCATCATCCTCTCCTTTCCTTGTGAACTGAACTTTCTCATCCACATAGTGATGTGCTTTGTAAGAAGCTAGTCCCAGTTTCAGCTCTGTGAATGGAGGGTGGGGGTATTTCATGTCTTCGATTGGCATGTGACAAGGGCTTATGACACAATTCTGGCCATGATTGAAAAGAGGGGAAGTCTAATGGGGACATTTGGGAAACCTTTCCTCACTCTTACAAGGGGCACATAAGAAGGAGGTGGCCTCTTTTTCTGTTGGGTGTGTTTATGTCTGAATGTCAACTAGTTGCATGTCTCTTATAAGGTACAGCTATCTTACAACTAGGAAGGGAACTGAAGGACATTTATTTAGGTTATAAAAATCCTAAGACCTCGATGGTGTCATTGAGCTGCTGAATTCAGTGACCCTAGCTAGAAGCGTCTTCTCTCAGGATTCTGTTAAGTGAGATAACAAAATTTCCCTATTGTATGACTTATTTTAAGTTAAATTTTCCATTACTTGCAGACAACATTATCCTAACAGTCATATCGTATTATACCAATCCTTTGATTAGATGAAGTATTCAGAATTACAAAGAGATATGATAAATCTTTTGAGGGTGATAAATAACTTTATTATCTTGATTGTGGTGATGGTATCATGGGTGTTTAAATATGCTATGACTTATCAAATTATACACTTCATGTGTAGTTTGTTGTCTATCAACTATACAGTATGTCAAAGATGACTTTCTCTAACTACAATGAAATTAAATTAGAAATTAATAATAAAAACTAGGAAAATTCCATTTGGAAATTTAAAAACACTTCTAGAAATTCATGAGTGAAATTAAAAAATGATAAGTTTAGCAATTCTTTAGAATTGAACAATGAAAACCGTGTATAACAAAGGTTATTTGTGCTGCTAAAGTATTACTGAGAAGTAAACTTATTGTCTTATATGCTAAGACAAGAAAATGAGAGCTTGATATTATTAATCCAGGTTAGAAAAACAGAATTAATAATGAGGAAATGGAATGAAATAAAGAAATTATGAAATTGAAAACATACATTTAATAGGAAAGATCAACAAGCAAAAGCTGATTCCTTGAAATGACTAATTAGACAAACCTGAAATAACCAAATAAATAAATAAATAAAACAATTTTCAAGACACTGGACATCAGGGGACAAAGGGCATTAATCCCTATGAGATCTGTGAGATGGAAGACAAATGAAGAGAGCCCCAGTATTGCCCCAACTCATTATCTTCAGAGTTTCCAGGCGGTAGTGCAGGGAGGAGGTAGAGCCCAGCAGTTTCCCTGAGTTGCTAAGAAGTTGCTTTCCCCTGTGAATACAGAACTGAGAGTTCAGTGAGACCAAAGCAGCTAGAGTTTGCATGACAGAATACAGAACGAGAGGGCTGCACAGAGAACCTAAGACATCTGCACGTGAGTGTGAGGAAACTGCCTGAGGCCAGAGACGGGAACATCTGAAGGCATTAAGGGAAACAGCACCTGGGGTTCACAGAGGGCCAAGAATAGTGCCTGCTCCCACCAGCCAGTGTGGAAAACTCTTATAATTCATTAAGTTGAGTATGCTGAAGGGATTGCAGAGGAACATGAAAAAACTTTTGGGGGTGATGGATATGTTCAGTATCTTGATCAAATTGTATACTTTAAATATGTGCAATTTGTTGTTTGCCAACTATATCTTAATAAAGCTGTTGGCTGGGCATGGTGGCTCACACCTGTAATCCCAGCACTTTGGGAGGCTGAGGCGGGCGGATCACGAGGTCAGGTGTTTGAGACCAGCCTGACCAACATGGTGAAACCCTG
Source organism: Homo sapiens (assembly GCF_000001405.40). Lineage (NCBI taxonomy): Eukaryota > Metazoa > Chordata > Mammalia > Primates > Hominidae > Homo > Homo sapiens. Next base: position 196,945,234 of record NC_000002.12, read on the forward strand.
TCTCTACTAAAAATATAAAAATTAGGCAGGCGTGGTGGCACGTGCCTGTAATCCCAGCTACTCAGGAGGCTGAGGCAGGAGAATCGGTTGAACCCGTGAGGTGGAGGTTGCAGTGAACCAAGATCACACCACTGCACTCCAGCCCGGGCGACACAGCGAGACTCCATCTCAAAAAAATAATAAATAAATAAATAAAAAATAAAGGTGTTAATTTTTTTTATTATTATACTTCAAGTTCTGGGGTACATGTGCACAACGTGCAGGTTTGTTACATAGGTATACATGTGCCATGTTGGTTTGCTGCACCCATCAACTCGTCATTTAACATTAGGTATTTTTCCTAATGCTATTCCTCCCCCCAGCCCCCCATCCCACTACAGGCCCTGGTGTGTGATGTTCCCCGCCCTGTGTCCAAGTGTTCTCATTGTTCAACTCCCCCAGTGTTCTCATTGTTCAACTCCCACCTATGAGGGAGAACACGTGGTGTTTGGTTTTCTGTCCTTGTGATAGTTTGCTGAGAATGATGGTTTCCAGCTTCATCCATGTCCCTGAAAAGGACATGAACTCATCCTTTTTTATGGCTGCATAGTATTACATGGTGTGTATGTGCCACATTTTCTTAATCCAGTCTATCATTGATGGACATTTGGGCTGGTTCCAAGTCTTTGCTATTGTGAATAGTGCCGCAATAAACATACATGTGTATGTGTCTTTACAGTAGCATGATTTATAATCCTCTGGGTATATACCCAGTAATGGGATCGCTGGGTCAAATGGTATTTCTAGTTCTAGATCCTTGAGGAATCACCACACTGTGTCCCACAATGGTTGAACTAATTTACACTCCTACCAAAGCATTCCTATTTTTAAAGCAGTTAAAACTAAAAACAAAACAAAACAAAAAAAATTTAAAAAGAAAAATAGCCTCTAGAACACAAATTTACAGTGCATAATATTCCTTCAAATATTTATTAGTTTATATGAACAACTTTATACAATAAATTTGAAAACCTGTGAAATAGATTAATTCCTAGAAAATTTTAATTTACAAAATTGACCTAAGAAGAATGGGGCAGGCCGAATTGTCCTATATCTAATAAAGAAATTAAAGCAGAATTTAAAAACCATTCTAAAAGAAAAACACTGTGCCCTAAAAACTTTTCAGGCACATTTTAGCAAATATTCAAGTGGAATAAATTTTAAAATGCTATATAAAAAGCTAGGAATAAATTCACATTACAATACTCACTATAAACATAAAACACACTAAACTCAGCAATTAAGAGAAAAAAAAGACAACCATAGTGGAAGAGTAACACAATTATCTCCATTGATAGATAAAGCAGACAGAATATCAATAAAGATAAAGATGACTTAAACAGCCTAATTTCAATTCTTACACAAATATTCCCAGAGAAGGGGAAAAAAAGGCTCCTTGGTTCATTTTATGAGGTTAAAATACCTTGATACAAAATTTAGTACAAAACAGGAAAACGTACAGATCAATCTCAATCATAAATATAGAAGCAAAAATCCTAAACAACAATAACAAGCCTATCAATGTATAAAAAAATACTTTATGACTGGTTAGGTTTTTTTCCCAGAACTATAAGATCGATTTAACATTAAAAATGTAAAAATGTTTTTAAGATGTTAAGAAGTATTTAAAAACATAGTACATTAACAGATTAGAAGGAAAAACTATGTGATTATCTCAACAGATGCAGAAATTTTTAAATAAAACTTAACATCCTATTCAGAAAAACTCTCAGCAAACTGTGACTATAAGGAACTTGCTTCATCTGATAAAACTTCTACAAAAAAAAAAACACAGGAGATTGTACATTTAATGGCAAAATGTTGAAAGTATCCCTTTTAAAATGAGGGATAAAATAAGGATGTTCACTACCATGACTTTTTATATTCTCTATTTTATGACAAGGACATTCACTCTCAAGACTATCCAACATTAAACTGGAGATCCTAGCCAGTGTATTAAGATAAGAAAAAGAACTAAAAGGCGTATGAATCCAAAAGGAAAAAAACAAAACTGTCATTTACAGATAATACAATTTCCTATGTGGAAAACCTCAAGAGATCTCCAGATAAACTGTTGGACTTAATGAATTTTATAAGGTTGCTGGATTCAAAAATCAATATATAAAAAATGAATTGCATTTTTAAATAACAAAAACATATTAGAAAAAAAAAATTTTAAGTATTATTTGTAATAGCAACAAGGCAGAGTACCTAGGAATAAATCTGGAAAACAAATGCGTAAGTCCTTATAGGAAAATTTTAAATTTTTATTGAAAGACCTTAAAGAAAATCTAAATAAAAATTGGATGATAATCTATGATGCTCGTGGATAAAAAGACTTAATGTCACAGAAGTGAAAACACAAATGGAATACAAATATATTTTAAACTACTCAATGTTTTTAGTAGTCAGAGAAATGTAACATAAAATCACAATGAAACACCATTAAACCTCTACCATATTAACAGAAATTAAGAACTCAGACAATACCAAATGTTGGAAAAGATGTGTAACAATGGAAACTGTCATGTAGTTCCAGTGGGAATGTAAATTGGTACAGCGGTTTGGTAGTACATGAAAAAGTTGAACATGCACAGACCATAACCCAGTATTTCTACTCCATATAATGGAAGCTCTTGTACATGTACTCAGGAGACACTGTACAAGGATGTTCATAGTAACATTGTTTGTAACTACAAAAAAAAAAAAAAAACAGAAAAAACCTAAATGTTCATCAACAGTAGAATGGCTACATAAAGAATAGTATATTTATACACGGTACCATGGTGAAAATGAATGAATTACTCTTAAATGTATCACCATAGAGAAATCTGAAAAACAACCTTGAGAAAGAAAAGAGAAAGCAAGTTAAATAAGAATATAAATAATTTATGTAAAATATAAAAAACAGGCAAAACTAAATGACATATTGTTTAGTGATACATACATATGCTAATACTATGATAAAAAATAAGGGAACAAGGAACACAAAATTCTGGTTGGGGTTACACCTGTGAGGGCGGAAGGGGTGTGGGCATATAAGGGGTTTCTAAGGCACTGGCTATGCTTTATTTTATAAGCTGAATGGTTGTTCATTTTATTCTTTTTTTTTTTTTTTTTTTTTTTGACACAGGGTCCTGCTCTGTTGCCCAGGTGGTACAATCACAGCTCACTGCAGCCTTGACCTCCTAGGCTCAAGCAATCCTTCCACCTTAGCCTCCAAGTAGCTGGGACTACAGGCACATGCCACCACATCCAGCTAATTTTTGAAATTTTTTGTAGAGGCGGGGTCTCATTATGTTACCCAGGCTGGTCTTAAACTCTTGGGCTCAAGCAATCCACCAGCCTCAGACTCCTAAAGTCCTGGGATTACAGGCATGAGCCACCACACCTGGCCTTGTTTTATCCTTTACACTACTCATTTACACTGTATTTTCTCTTCTGTAGATATGAAATATTTCACAACAAAATATCTTTTGAAAGCAAAAAAACAACAGAGATTGTTAATTATTGAGATACTTTAGCTGATATGATTGAGATAAGAGCTCAGTTCTATAAAAGAATTCACTCCCCAATGAACTGGGTGGCCCCAGTGCTCTTTATTTCTGAATAATTAAAATCTTTGGATTTTTTGAACCTGTGATGAGGGCTTGGGTGCAGGTAGTGAACTTCTGGGCTGATCACAGGGAGCAGGATTGTGAGACAGTAAAGCAGACTGATATAGGGAAGGAGAAAAGTCGATAACTTATGTATTATTTAGGTCATTTCTGTAGACAGTAGGGGCTCAATTCCACCAAAACCTCGGAGAAGCACAAAGAATGTCTCCTGAATTCATGTTGAAGAACAGGAGACTGTGCACTGACTGACTTTAGCCCCGACTGGTCGAGAGTTGCTCCCAGGGGTATTAACTCACTGACACTTCTGGGCTGCGCTTGCACTTGGACTAGGTACAAGGCTTCCAAAGAAACCTAGAGGCAGAAAAGGCATTATGCATACAATGGTACAGGAAATAGATCCTACCAGCATACATGGAACTGTCCACCACAGCTGCAGCTGCAGCTGCAACCAGAGGTAGGCCAAGGGTGCACCAAAGGATCTGCGACAACCAGCATGACAGAGCCAGGCATCACATTTGAAAAGCATACTCACAACGCACAGGTTGCTTGCTTTCCATCTCAAAATTGCTAAGAGAGTAAATTTCAAATGTCTCACCACAAAAAAAAAGTTAAATATTTGAGGTGATGGATATGTTAACTACCTTGATTTAATTATTTCACATTGTATTAATAAATCATAACATCACTTTGGACCTCATAAGTTCATACAATTATAAATTGTCAATTTACAATAAAAAAATTTTAAAAATCATTTGTGCAAATTCACCCCCTTGGAGATAAAAGTGGCAATGAAAAAATGTTTAATTATTCATCAGAACTATCAGAACTTATTTTTCCCACTCTTTTTTTTTTTTTTTTTTTTTTTTTGAGACAGAGTTTCGCTCTTGTCTCCCAGGCTGGAGTGAAATGGCACAATCTTGCCTCACTGCAACCTCTGCCTCCCAGGTTCAAGCAATTCTCCTGCCTCAGCCTCCCCAGTAGCTGGAATTACAGGTGCATGTCACCATGCCCGGCTAATTTTTGTATTTTTAGTACAGTTGGGGTTTCACCATGTTGGCCAGGCTGGTCTCGAACTCCTGACCCCAGATGATCTGCCCACCTTGGCCTCCAAAAGTGCTGGGATTACAGGCATGAGCCACCATGCCCGGCCTCCCACTCATCTTTTAAGATGCTGCTCAGGTTCTACATCTTCCAGAAACCTTCTCTGGCTCCCCCTGGCTAGATTAGATGTCGCATTTCAATGCCTCCATAACTCTTTGTGCACTTCTTTGCCACTGTACTTATCTGATTGCATTTTAACTAGCAATATATTTATCTATCTCTTCCACCAGACTGTTTTAGTCGTCTTGGAATGCTATGTTCTCATTTGGCACATAGGAGTTAACTAAATGTTTGTTAAATGGATGAATGAAGGAGTAGTGAGTGAACAACTGATTAAGGAAATAAGAATGTAACGCAAGCCAGGAAATAGTAGGAGGAGACAAAAATAGGGAGAAATGAAGGAATAAAGCACAGGAAATTCAGTCTGAAATTAGATTTTCCTCATTTTAATATATTTTTCTGAATTACCAATATGCTTTCAATGCATCTTACTTGAATATTTTTTTTCCTGTTTTTTTTTTCAGAGCACCACTGAAGAAAGGCATAGCAGGTGATATCCACTGGGACAAATACATACTACCTCCATTTTTCCTTGAGGTTTGAAGAGATAGGCTTGGGGTAAGACAGGTGGAGATCAACATATCATTTTGATTACTTGTAAAGCAGCTATTGGAAAATGCCACTTATGTCTGGGAAAAATACTACATCCCAGAATTAGACTGACATTCCCACTCAGGTGTGGACCACTGCTGGCGATCTGTGTGAGGTCTGGTCCTATAACACTGGCTTAGAGACAAGGGTGCTTCCTGTGGGTAACTGGTCCCAAGAGGAGGAGAGGAGGAAGCATGGGGCTCCCAAATTCAGCAGGTAGGTCACTCCCTTCCCTAGGGTAGAGTGTGTGGATGCAGAGGGTCAGGAGAGTTATACTAACTGATGTCCCTTCACACAGAAGAAAACCCCAGAAGTAGGGAATAAATATTACTGTGAAAGATACTCATTTTATGATTAAGACAAAACAAGTTACTCCCACCAGGATGTACTTATTTTTACAGAAAGGGGAAGCCAGCATGTAGAGTAATTTTTACAGTAAGCAGGTTCAAGTTCAACAGCAGGAGAAAGAGACCAGAAGTTAAAGAAACAATATATGTTCACTTTCACACTAGAGAAACGATCTAAATCTATAATTTAACACTTTTAACATTTTTTAAATAAAATAAACTTTTTTGGAGGAATAATTATCACATGGTACAAATTTCGAAAGGTAAAAAGTGTGAACAGTGAAAAGTCTCTCTTCTATCCTGACAACTACTTTCAGAAGTTATTTTTCTAATTATATGTCATCAGAGATATGTTTTATTTCATTTGCCTTTTCCTCTTGATTTGAAGAGTTCAAGGTCCTCAATTTACAAATGAATTTTTAGAGTATAATCTGCTTGCAAGTCATTTGGAATTCAGATTGCATCGCAAATTTCTGTTTCGGGTTTCTTAAGGTAGTTCACTAACAGTACCCCTAGGCATTGGAGGACACAGCACTCATGGGTCCTACAGCTCTAGCTTTGTTCTGAACTACTAGATTAGAGGGGGCAATGACTATTGTGCACATAAGTATCTTTAACTTATAGAGACAATCTATTAAAAAGTTGAAAATCTGTTTAATTACATACAATGGTACCTTCTCTCCTCTTGGTTGCAAATGATACAACTTGAAAAGGAAATATTTTTCACAGTCATTTTTTACTTCAAAGAAGTATGAATATTTCTTTTATAGTATGTTTCAAAACTAATTCACCATCATGATATGTGACAAATATTTTGACTGGGAAAACCAGAGTAGGGATATTTGAAAGATTCTTATCCCAGAAATTGAGACAGCCACCCATCAAGTAATTAAGCCAAATATTTTCTTTTCTCACTCACTCAATTTACTGACCAGATACATTAGGGCAAGGAGTATGCTTGGAGAGGAGTCAGACAGTCTTGAGGGATGAAGCAGATGTGGAAATGAGCAAGGTTCATGGAGTGATACAAAGAAGGAAGTAGTAAATTCTACCCGGAGCTGGGGATGAGGGTTGGAGAGAGGAGGGCACTCAAGAGGCCTCAGTGAGTGTGACCCTTGAAAGGAGACCTCCTTCTGTAGTTCCTACAAAAAGCATAGGCACAGAGCAATGAAACAACCTGCTGTGCCAGGGAACTGCAACTAGGCGGGGCTTTTCTGGCATAAGGAATATGGGGTGGAGTGTGGGAAGAGGTGAAGGTCTGGAGGCTTCTGACCTTCCAGGATTCATGTGGATGCCTTACATCTTAGCCCATCCATCACAATCCTCTGGAAAACTAAAATAAATTATTATTCTTTCTTCTATTACTAATTAGTTTTGTTTTAAGCATATCAACTTATTGTTAATCATTCATACAGGAGGTTACAAAAGGAAAAGTCAAAGCTGTTTTTGCCACTTCTATATCTAACCACCTAGTCCTACTCAGCTGTAGAATATGTTACAAAAACTCTCAGAAGTGCTTATAGGTATCAAGCATTATTTCTTCTGTCTGCTTATTATGTATTTATATAAGACTATTGACTTATTTATATTAATTTTGTATGCTACCTGTTTACCAAATTCTCTTATTATTTATATTAATTTCTCCATTTACTTTTGTTTTCTTTTTTCTCTCTTTTGAGACAAGGTCTTGCTCTATCACCCAGGCTGGAGTGCTGTGATGCAATCACTGCTCACTGCAGCCTCAACCTCCAGAGCTCAAGTAATCCTCCCACCTCAGCCTCCTGAGTAGCTCAGACAACAGGCAAGCTAATTTTTAAATTTTTTTGTAGAAACAGGGTCTCCCTATATTGATCTGGCTGGTCTTGAACTCCTGGGCTCAAGTGATCCCACCTCATCTCCCAAAGTGCTAGGATTACAAGAAATGTGGGCCACTGAGCCAGGCCTATTTTTTGTTTCCTAGATATGTAATCACATCATCTGGAAAGAGATAGTTTTTTATTTTCCTTCTGATTCTTGTGTAATTAAATGCTTTCTCCCAGCCAGGGCAACATGGCAAAACCTCATCTACAACAACAACAACAACAAAAATAGTCAGGCTTGATGGTACAACTGATGTCCCAGCTACGTGGGAGGCTGACGTGGGAGGATCACCTGAGCCAGGGCAGTGAGCCATGATTGCACCACTGCTCTCCAGCTTGGGTGACAAAGCAAGAGCTTGTCTCAAAAAAAAAAAAAAAAAAAAAAACTTTCTCATATAATTGTATTGGCTAATCCCTGTTTCCAAGGCTTAATAGTAATGGACATGGTGGTCATCTTTGTCTTCTTACTACTTTTAATAATGTTTTTCCAGCCAGGTGCAGTGGCTCATGCCTGTAATGCCAGCACTTTGGGAGGCCAAGGCAGGTGGATCACCTGAGGTCAGGAGTTTGAGATTAGCCTGGCCAACGTGGCAAAACCCCATCTCTACTAAAAACACAAAAATTAGCTGGGCGTGATGGTGCGTGCCTGTAATCCCAGCTACTCAGGAGGCTGAGACAGGAGAATCACTTGAACCCGGGAGGCAGAGGTTGCAGTGAGCCAAGATCGTTCCCAGCCTGGGCAACAGAGCAAGACTCCATCTCAGAAAAAAAAAAAAAAAAAAAAAAATTTTCCATTAGGTGGGAAGCTGGCTTTGGCTGAAATAGCCATCAATTTCTATTAATTGAGTATTTTTAACATAAATGCATGTTGAATTTTGTTTGCCAAATACCTTTTTGGCATTTATGGCAGCAGCAATCTGATTTTTTTCCTTAGCTTTATTAATATGATTAATTGTATTAATTGATGCTCTACTAAGGAACCACTCTTGTATTCTCGGAATACATTTTATAATAATACTTATATATTATTATTAAATACTGAAGAAGTGTCATTTTCTGGGGTAAATACCTGAGGTTCATTATCTCATGCCAAGGGAATTGAGGACGTGAACACACAAGAAGTGAGTTTAAGAGCAGAATTTTAATAGGCAAAAGAAAGAGAAAAGAGACTAGATCTCTCTCTTGCAGACCCCTAACTGGATCTTCCAGTTTCGTGGTGAAATGCATGAGGTTTCACAGAGGAGCTTGAGGATGTGGTGTCTGATTTACACAGGGCCCGAGAGAGATTGGTTGGACTAGGTGTGACGTTTGCATAGCACATGAGAAAGCTGGCCATACCACCCTAATCTTTTATTATGCAGATGGACTCTCCACATGGCTGGCGCCATGTTGTCTGTTCCTTACTGTACATATCGTTGACAAAGAAAGGGGAAGATGGAGCCTCCATATTGAACATGCTTGGCCCCCAGGTAGCCTTTTTCTTCTATTGGCACAGCTGCTGGTATTTACCTATGCAAGCTTTTAGCTTGCTTATCTATGCTTGCAGCTTGATTTTTCAGGCTGCTTTTTGTTAGGAAAAGAAAGGATTTGGGGGCTGCTTTTTATAAAAAAGAAAACCTTACCGAGGACTTTCTTACTTCACTATCTGCCTAAATAGATTCTTTTTAACTCCTATGTCAATATGCCATTGGTCCTCTTTGCTAATTTTTAAGATTTTTTATGCCTCATAAGTGAGATTAGTTTATGGTTTTCTTAAAAGATTTTTAGAAGTTTTCTTACTTTTCCAGTACTCTCAACTGGATAAAATAGCATTCCAATGATCTCATCTTTTATGGTTTGATAGAATTCCCCTGTGAATCTATCTTTTTAAAATAATGATTTCTCAGTTCTACCCCAGTTCTACAGAATGTGGAGGCCCAGAAATAAAAATATTTTAAAAGTCTTCGCCTGCCACCCCCATCTCAAACCCATCCCTCATCCATAGGGTCTGCATTTTAGAAACACCATAGGATACGGAAATCTATTTGGTGTTTTTAAGCGACTACAAAGTACACTAAAACTGTAGTGTTCAGGATGGATTAGGGAAGGAGACAAGATTGGGCGAGGAAAGAACATATAGAAAGCTGTTTGGAGTAATACAAAGTGAGAAATGGTGATATCACAAAACTAAGCTATAGCAGTAGTGATGGACAGGAGAGACATATGAGAAAGACATTACAATGACAGAAGCAATAGGTATGCCTACCGATTATATGTTGAAGAATAGAGGAAAATAAAGGACAAAGATGACTCTAGTATATGCACAAAGAGGAAACAATCCAAATGTCCATCAACTAGTAAGTAAATAAATGTGGTATAGACATACAATGGAACATTGTGCAGTAACTAAAAGGAAGTACTGATACATGCTACAACATGAATAAATCTTGAATACATTATGCTAAGTGAAAGAACCCAGTCACAAAAGATCACATGTTGTACGATTCCATTCATATAAAATTTTCAGACTAGGCACTCCATAGCTACAGAAAATAGATTTGTGATTGCCTAGGATTGAGGTAGAGGAGTAAAAAACGGGGAGTGACTGCTGATGGATATGGAGTCTCTTTTTGGGTTATGAAAGAAAATAAATCACTCAGCCAAAGGGAAAAGTCAAGCTGAGACTGCATCAGGCAAACCTGCTCCTGTTTTATTCCTAAATTAGATAGCTACAAAGATAAAAAAGCTATTAGGTTGGTGCGAAAGCAGTTGTGGTTTTTCCTATGTTTAAATGGCAAAAACCACAATTACTTTTGCACCAACATAATACATACCTCCCTCACACTTTGCCCACAAGAAAATTCCTTGTGAGACTCAAGATTTTTACCCTAAAACAGTTATGCTGTATTTTACCTTGGCAACGTAAATTGGTAGCTAATCTTCACAGGTGCTGGATAAAGGACTGATGTCACAGTCATTCCCCTGCTCACCTGAGACAAATGCATATCTGATTGCTTCCTCTGCCTTATTGTTTATGTACAAATCACTGAGCCAGACTAAGGCATAAGTGACTATTCTTCTACCCACCTCTCACGTGTAAATTGTGTATTCAGTGAAAGGCTAATCAGAGACTCAAAAGAATGCAACTCTTTGTCTCTTATTTACCTCTGATCCCTCCTGCCTTTCTGGAGTGAACCAATGTACATCTTACACATATTGATTGATCTCTTATATCTCCCTAACGTGTATAAAACCAAGCTGTGCCCTGACCCCCTTGGGCACATGTCATTGTAACTGCCCAGTGGGTTCACCTTGCCTGCTGCCTGGCCAGAGCCGATTTATCAAGACAGGGGAATTGCAATAGAGAAAGGGTAATTCATGCAGAGCCAGCTGTGCAGGGGATCGGAGCTTTATTATTACTCAAATCAGTCTCCCCGGTTAGGTGTCTTTCACTGTCTCAGTCATAATTTTCCAACGGCAGTGTCATCATCAGGACCTCCAGAGGCTTTATCATGGGCACGTCCTTAAACCTGGCAAAATAAACTTTCTAAATTGATTGAGACCTGTCTCAGATACTTTCTGGGTTCACAGGAGTGGTGAAAATGTTCTAAAATTAGATTGTGGTGATAGTTGCCAGTCCTGTGAATATACTAAAAACCACTGAATTGTAAACTTTAAAACAAAGGTGAACGGTATGGTATGTGAATAGTAATGTTACGTGAATTGTGCCTTATTAAAGCTGTTTGAGACAGAGTTTTGCTCTGTCGCCCAGGCTGTAGTACAATGGCGCGATCTCGGCTCCCTGCAACCTCTGCCTCCTGGGTTCAAGCGATTCTCCTGCCTCAGCCTCCTGAGTAGCTGGGATTACAGGTATGTGCCACCATGCCCAGCTAATTTTTGTATTTTTAGTAGAGATGGGGTTTCACCATGTTGGACAGGCTGCTCTTGTACTCCTGACCTCAGGTGATCCACCTGCCTCGGCCTCCCAAAGTGTTGGGATTAAAGGTGTGAGCCACCTCACCTGACCACTTTTTTTTTTTTTTTTTAAAGTAAAGAAAGAAGTTGGAAGGAAAGCTACTGAACTCAGCTTTAGAAAGGCTATAAATAGTAATTGGAACTATGGAAGGGGATAAAGTTACAAAAGATGAAGACAAGCATGGAAAGTTATAGAATCATGGGTACATTCACACTCTAGCACATTATCCTGAAATTCTATATTGAAATAAACTGAGCTCTTAAGTTTTTTAATACAAGCTGAAATTTCCCTTTGCTTTTCACTTTCTTGTTAAAAAGATACTTGATTTCTTTATCACAACCGATATTCAATGGATTGTTAATTTTAACAACTTAATTGTCATTCTCACATAGTAAAAGAATAACAAACTTTGTATATATATATAAATGCAACCCATTGTCTCTTATCTACCTGTGATCTCTCCTACCTTTCTGGAGTGAACCAATGTACATCTTACACATATTTGTCTCTAAATATATATATATATTTATATATAAATATATATATTGATTGACCTCTCATGTCTTTATATATTATATAATATATATTTATATATAAAGACATGAGAGGTCAATCAATATATTTATATATAAAAAATATATATATATTTAGAGACTCTATATATATGTATTTAGAGACAGAGTCTCATTGTTACCCGGGCTGGAGTGATCACAGCTCACTGTAACCTCAAACTCCTGGACTTAAGTGATCTTCCTGCCTCAGCCTGCCAAGTAGCTAGGACTACAGGCGTGCGCCACCATGCTGGCTAATTGTTTAATTTTTTTGTAGAGACCAGCCCAGGCTGGTGTCAAATTCCTTGCCTTGAACAATCCTCTCGCCTTGGCCTCCCAAAGCCCTGGGATTACAGGCCTGAGCCACCCTGCCTGGCCGTATTTTTAAAACCTTTATCTGGAAATGATGTTAAAAGAGTTACTTTCAAACACCAGTGAGAGGAAAACACTTCTCCTCTATGACTGGCTTCTCTCTGAAGGTTTATGAAAGTTTGACCTATTTGTAGGACATGGGGGTAATTGAATAGGGTGTACATTAAGATGAATGAGTTTAAAATTGTGAGGTTAACCCCAGCCTCACAATGAGTCAAACAATGGAGAATAGCTTGTTTCATGGAGCTGAAGCTTTTGTTATTTTTGTTGGTTAAAGATTCAAATTGATTACATGGAGGCTGCAAGCAGATTCTCTAGCAAATTGGCATCCTGGGGAGAGCCAGGTACTTTGAAAATTTCTAATTAGGAGAAGTTAAAGGTTATATAAGCCCAGCTGCCAAACTGACTGCCTGACCTTAAAATCCAAACAGAATCTACCTTCCTTTCCTTCCTTCTTCTCCTTAGCCAAGACCTTACCTAGAAATGAATTTTAAAATGCAAACAGGAACTTCTGTGATAAACCAAGTCTAAGAACTAGAAGGAAGCTTATTAGTTACAGTTGAACAGACTCTAATGGCTATTCAAAGTCTTTAAGCATTCACAGCCTTAAGTAGTCACACATTTGGCTTCAGTTTCAACTAATCCAGCTAGAGGACAAAAACATTCAGTAAATTATACCGTATCCATAGAATTTTTGTTCCTTAAGCATATTTACTGCATGTATTAGTCTGTTCTCACACTGCTATAAAGAACTACCTGAGACTGGGTAATTTATGAAGAAAAGAGGTTTAATTGACTCACAGTTCTGCAGGCTTAACAGGAAGCATGACTAGGAGGCCTCAGGAAACTTACAATCATGTTGGAAGGTAAAGGAGAAGCAAGCATCTTCCTCACATGGTGGCAGGAGAGAGAAGGAGCAAAGGGGGAAGTGCCACACACTTTTAAACCATCAGATCTCGTGAGAACTCACTATCATGAGACCAGCATGGGGGAAATCCACCCCCATGATCCAATCACTTCCCACCAAGTCCCTCTCGTAACACTGGGGATTACAACTCAACATGAGATTTGGGTGTGGACACAGAGCCAAACTTATCACTACATTTTTAGAAACAGGATAATTTAGGTATGGAGTTATAGATCCTATGGAAAAATCTAGTCAAGACCACGATGAATATGACTTAATTTTATAAATGATGTTTATACTCCTGCCAAAAAAAAAAAAGCCAAGTAGATCATTGATTTCTTACAAGTTATTTTACCAATTGTGGTTTAGAAAATATTTCTAATCCAATTGTCACCTATCTTTACCTGTAGAAACAAATGTGGTCACACACTTTACCTGTAGAAACAAATTTAGGTCACACATTGTATAAATTATAATGGGATTCAAATTTTATTTTCTTTAAACAGTAGCTATTTTTCTTCAAAATGGTCCTGGTTATTTCTGGGAGTCCCTGAACATATGCTTTCCTCATATTCACAAACCAATCTATCAGCTTTAATCACTACTAGAATCATCCACCCACTTAATTAATAGGTACTGAGTGCATACTATGTGAGAGGATACAACAGAGTCCTACAGAAATCTCTGTCCTGGCCCTCTTGGAGCATCCCTAGTATTTTTTCTTGTCTGCTCCAGTTCTCATCTGTCAACATGAAGTCCTGGCAAGCAGCTGGAAGAAATTTTTATCACTGCCTTCACTGAGGAAGTCCACTGCGAAACACTTGACCAAGAATGTGCTGAGAATACTGTCTCCCAATGTCTCCAAAGTCCCCATCACATGTGCCAGAACAATACTGGATTCCACAGGGAGGTGGGAAAAAATGGCCCTCTCCAACTCTGTGTCACTCTTTGACATCTGGGCCCCAAAGCAAGTCCTGTTCATGAAAAAAAATATTCTGTAGTTCTAGGGGCTCACAATCCACCCAATGGCCTCAGTGTCATGTTATCGTCTCCATTATCCTCATCACCCCTCTTCCCTGCCCCAAGCTATTACCAAACAAAAGCACCCAGCAATGTCAATGAGAGAAAATGTACAGTGGGTGCTGGTGGTTGTTTTTATACTAGGAGTGTCTGGACGCCAGCTGAAATGGCCTGTGACATTGTGTAGCATAATTCAAAAGTTTGGCCAGCAATCCTGCATACAAAATGCAACCACTTGAAGGTTTTGCCCAGAGCTATGGCAATAAAGTGCATAGCAGCAGTTCAGTGAACTTTCTCCATTCTTCAGCCTGCGCAAAGCACTGGCTGATGTAGCCAGATATTGTTGTCCATGGCTTTAATTATTTAGAAGTAGATATGAATAATAGGGAGCTTGAAGTTGTCTAGAGCTTGGTGTGGTGCTGGCTCAAAATAGCAACTAATTCCTATGTAAGTTTAAAAGAGCTTGGTATGGGTAACCTCTAGAAGATCCCAAGCCAAGTAGAAAATGTGGTCAGGAAAAGGATTCAGCCCTTGAATATTGAGAAATCATGTTGTCACAGAGAACACGTGACAACTTCCATGTGCAAACAAAACATAACAGATAACAGGCCATTCAGAAACTGTTACTGAGGGACTTGCTCTTGGAAGGCTGAGGATAAATTAAAATAAATCCAACCAACACCAAGTCTGACTTGACACGTAGGTGAGGCAGAAAGCTGAAAAAAAAAAAAAAAAAACTTCCAGAATTGGAGTCTTGGATAATTTTAAATGGTCTCATTCAAAAGTTCCTATTCTATAGTAAAAAAGAGTTCAACATAGGGCTATGATATTTCTAAAACAGGACTTGAATGTGGATCAGATGGCTGAAATTTTGATATTTCTAGTATTTTGCTCAGTTTTGTTCTTCCCATCATTTAAATGACCTCAAAGGAAATGTTTACGATCACTAAAGATTTCTAATGCCCAAGAATAGGTCAATTCTCAGCCCAGGGCTTGACAAATTAGCAATTAATTATTGTTTTTATTTTTAAAATATTTATTTAAAAGGCAATGCATATTTGTTTTAGATAATTTTTTTAAATACAGAAGTAAATACATAAGATCAAAAAGGTCTCTTCCAGCCATGTGTGGTGGCTCACGCCTGTAACTCCAGCATTTTGGGAGGCCGAGGTGGGTGGATCACCTAAAGTCAGGAATTCGAGGCCAGCCTGGCCAACATGGCGAAATCCCATCTCTACTAAAAATACAAACATTAGCCAGGCATGGTGGCAGGCACCTAAAATCCCAGTTGCTAGGGAGGCTGAGGTAGGAGAATCACTTGATCCCTGGAGGCGGAGGTTGCAGTGAGCCAAGATTGTGCCATTGCACTCCAGCATAGGTGACAGAATGAGACTTGATCTCAAAAAAAAAAAAAAAAAGTCTCTTCTACTCCTACCCCAATCCCTACTCCCCACAGGTAGCCACCACTACATTTGCAATATATCCTTCTTGTCTTACATCCTGATGCATTTACATCTTCTTTCTAGAATGTGGGTTCATGTTATGTGCAATTTAGCTTTTATCACTAAATAATTTAAATTGGATAGATCCCACTATATTGATTAACATTATTTATCCAATCCCCTTTTGATGGGCATCTGGATTATTTTCAAATTTTGATTATTAGAGATGGTGCTGCAACTAACATCCTTATACATTCATATTTATGCATTATGGAAGCATTCTGGGACATAAACCCCCAGGGGTTGAATTGCTTGGCCAGATGGTATATGCATTTAGAATTTTGATAAATACTCCCAAAATTACCTCCAAAATGTTGGCACCAATTTACACTCCCACCAATGATGACTAAGAGAGCCTGTTTCCCTACACGCTCCTCACACTTTGTATCAAGGCACTGACTAGTTAAATAAAGGAATGTGTCTCTCACTTCAGAAAGACATGGTGATAAAGATCTTGCCTCATTCTCTTATTTTCCTTTATTTTCTCTTTCCTTTTCATAAGTGCCACTTAATCCTAAGGGAAGAAAAAAGAAATACTTGTTTGGTTTTCAGAATGTTCCTCAAAGGTACATGAATTCTGCAAGTTATGAACACCAATCTTATAAACACCCATACCTTACAAATAAACTGCTCATTTATATGTAAAAATTAACTATCCTGAAAGTGGGAAGACAGTCCCTTTTAGATGCTGGAGATGGAAAAATATACTCCTCATATCTCCCTTTGACTAGTCATTGATTCATGCATTCACATATGTATGAGTCCACACATTAGTTCATGCTTGCATCCATGTATACACTTATCTAAGTCAGATAAGTTCTGGGTACCATGCTGATCATTATGGTTGTGGAAGTGAAATACAGTCTCTGCCTTCAAGAAGATCACAGTGTAACTTAGTGGAAAGACAGAACAGGAAACCAACAGTTATAGAGTGAGAAAGTGCTACTTTCAGGTTCATGCAGAGCTCCTGAAGAGCAACAGGGTAGGATTGGCACATATGTGAGAGTGGGCTGCAGACAATGCCAGAAATCTGGTTCTGGGAGGGACCAGGCAACTATCACATCTAACCCAGTTGGGGAGGAGGTGAGTAAAAGACCTCAGGACTGGGAACCCTGAAGGGTACTCTTTGGCTAGAAGTTATATGCAGCAGAAAGTTCCATTTTGTAAGTATTGTTTTGTTTTACTCTTAGTTTTTTAATGAAAATTCCTAAGTGAAGAAAATCTCAACCTTGTCTTTGGATAGGATTTTTATCCCATCTATTAAAACTGCCAGAGATTCAGTGCCTCTGTACCTGTGGGTTGGCAGCTGAACTATTTTACCTTGTTGACATAGAGGAGCCCCATGGAGATGAGGCAATCATGGAAGCTATAAGAAGCCAAGAGGGTGAGAAAAGAGTCAGCTCTAGAATTAACAGTCATCTCATTTCTTGGTATTTATCGTAAGTATGAAATTTATCCTGAGTCAGAGCGGTGGACAAATATTTGTCCTCAAAGATGTTTACTGAAAATGTACATGGGTCAAACTTGGAAACAATCTGAATGTCTGCCCAAAGGAGATAAATACATTATGGTAAGTCCATGAAATGGAATGATATACAGCCATGAAATGGAATAGTCCATGAAATGAAATAATATACAGCCATTAAAATCATATTTTCAAAAATTGGTAAGATAGGAAAATTTTTGTAGTGAAATATTAAGTCAAAAAAGAATGATAGAGTATGAACCTACCTTCATACCGATGATGAATTTTATATATGTGTATCTCTGTATACACATACATATATACATACAGTTTCATTTACATACAAATACTCACAAATATCTATGTATATTTTCTGTCAGGGTAAGGTAATTATGCTACATTAAAAACCTGATAATCTCTGCTGCTTACAACAACAAGGCTTATTTCTCCTTTATACTGCCTGTCCATCTTGAGTCATCAGGGTTGCTGTAATCTTCATAGATACTCAGGAATACATAAAGATGACAGACGCTTCATCTCAAGACAAGCTTCCATGATTGCAGAAATGAAGAACAGAGAACATGGAGACCCACGAGCAGGTTCTTAAAGCTTTGGCCCAGAAGTGACACTCATCAATCCTCCTCATGATTCATTGTTCACAGGAAGTCACATGGCCTCATCTGTGTTCAACAGGACAGGGAAGGGCACCAAGTATTTGTGAGCAATATTACAGTCTACAACATCTATATATCTAAATATTAAGGAGAGGGAGGTAGGGATGAGAAAGAAACTCACTAAAAGAAGTTATTATCACAGGGTGGTGAGCATACAAATAATTTAAATTTTTTCATATACTTCTCAATATTTCTGATTTTTATAAACAAACATGTATTACTTTTACTGCTTGTTTTCTTTATTTCTCTGAGCGATATGTTAATATAGTCTGTAAATAACTGAAACACTCTAGAAGTAAGTATAATGTAAAACAAAATACCCCCTTCGTATCATATCACCCGACTCTAATCCCAACCCCCCAATTCCCACCCCTAGAAGTAATCACTGACTATAGCCTGGTGTATATACTTCCAGATTGTCTTTGTATATGCATTCACAAACATGAATATGAATATACATGAATTTCTCTTAGGAGAGAAAAAATTAAAAACAGCATGAAAATTAATCAATATGCATGCTACTTTAAAAAACTATTTTCTTATAAAGAATGCGTAATTCATCCATACCAGTTCAGTGTTCTTAACAGCTCCCGCCCAACTCATGAACTCATCTGCAAGCAACCCATGCTGTCCACTTCTCTGTGCATTTCCTTTCCTTCTGGGAGTTTTTTCAGCTTTCTGCATCTGTCTTACCTGTTCTCCATTGCTGACTTTTCACTTCGGAGTCTCACTTCACATTGTTACCACCTTGGCTCCCTGACCCTGGCTGGGGGCCATGTTTTCCTGTGGCCCAATAACTTCTAGCCAGCACTGCCTGCTCACAGCCCTGGTGCCAATGTCACCAGCCCAGCTGCTCACCTACCTGGGAAAGGTGTGTGTGATGGGGGTTGTTGGCCTTACATGATAAGACTAGGAGCTATTTGGCACCTAAGCTTACTACACTTAAGGGAAGCTTGAAATAATGACTCATGTGGTGGGGTGTTGGAGTGCATGTGGTTTGAACAAACATATCCAGTATTATGATTTTCATTTGGAAAATAATAAATAAGCCTTCATTTTTGTAAAATTAAAGCTTGGAGACAAATTATAGCAATATCGTTAACAATAGGGGAAACTGGGTATGGGGTAATGGGAATTATCTGTGACTCTTACAATTTTTCTTTGTCTAAAACTATTCTAAAGTTAAAAGTTTATTACTAAAAATCTCTAAAGCTTGCAAAATCTTATTGACTGGTGGGGATACTCAGAAGTCACAGGGATTCCCAATCAGGGGTACAGCCTTTGACACTGTGTGTAGAAAACCCAAATATATAACTTTGTTGGCAACCATTACATGGACTAAAAATTCAGAAATAATCAGAAAAGTAATGTGAACTGGAATATACACTGCATAGAGGGAAATCCTCAGTGTGAACTAGCAAAGGAATGAAATTTAGATTTAGATGATAGGTTTCTATACTTTATTATTTATACCCATTTACTTTCAAAAGAGGTATGAAAATTGCTTACAACAAAACTTCATATTCAATGGAATAGTTAATAATATTGGGAAAAGGCAGAATAGCATTTTTCAACGTATGTTTCATAAAATAGAGATGTTACACGAAAAATAAAGTCTATGTTCAAATAAACTTGAGAAATGTTTAAACCAAATGAAAACAGTATTTCCTCCTTTCAGAATTTTGCTTCCAATGAACATGGTGAATAAACCAGAGAAGGAGGTGTATGCAATCCTCCCTGACTGCAGCATCCTTTCTGCAATGATGAAAATGTTGTATAAGCTGTTAGCCACATTTAGCTATTGAACATTTAAATCGTAGCTAGCGCAACTGCACAACTGATTATTAAATTTTAATGTAAATTTAAATAACCCCAGTGACTACAGTCAACAATAATTTATAGTACATTTTAAAATAACTAAAAGAGTATAATTGGAATGTTTGTAACACAAAGAGATGATAAACGCTCGAGGCGATGGATACTTCATTTACCCTGATGTAATTATTACACATTCAATTGTATGCCTGTATCAAGATATCTCATGTACCCCATAAGTATATACACCTACTATGTACCCATCAAAATTAAAAATTAAAAATAAACAAATACATAACCACATGTGGCTAGTTTAAATTACCCAATATGTTTGGATAGCACAGAAGGAGAGCACCCCAAGGGCCAGACTTTCAAAGAACACACTCTGGGAAGCATTTATATAGAGCAGCTGTTCTCAAACTTTTTGTTCCCAGGATTCTTTGACGCTCTTAAAAAATAACTGAGGATCCCAAAGAGCTTTTGTTCATGTAGGTTATATTTATTAATATTTATGATATTAGAAATTAAAACTGAGACATTTTTAAAAAATCATTAATTCATTTAAAAATACCGTGAGCTGTTTTCCTTGAAGTGACAGGCTCGCTTCATTTATTTTCAGGAAAATACCTGCCAGATACCCTAGTCTGAGTAACCATCCTTCATCTTATCTTTGTGTTTCAAGTGAAAAGGTGTTCCGTGAAAAAGCAGCCAATTCAGCTAGCAGCTCCAGCACTCCAGCAATCACACGGTGCTGGAACCATTGTACTTCAGTATGCAGCACAGGGCTTTGTGTGTGCTTTCATTTCTTCAAGGACTGAGGTTTAATAAAATTGATCATTTTTACTCCATCTTTTTTTTCCCTGCAAGTATGTGACAGTGTAGAATACAATGATAGCCAGTACAGTTCCAGTACACTGACATTTGTGCCAAGGCACCAGCAGATTTATCCACTATAAAACTTGCTTTGGCACCATCAGTGAAAAAGGCAATTCCTCTTAGAATTATAATGAAAATAGATTCTAACTTGTGGACCCTTTCAAAGGGTCTCTAGGACACAAAGGAAGGTGTGCAGACTACCTTTTGAGAAAAGCTAATATAGAAAGAGTGTGGGGGCTGGGGGAGGGGATAAGGACAAGAAGGCAATAAATTCCAGGAACCTGGGCCTTTAATGAGTTTGATAAGAAAACTGGTGAGAGTTCAAACTGTTTATTACACACACTTACCTTAGGAAGACATGGAAACGTTTAAATAGAATCGATCTTTGGAAGTGAGTAGTTGTAGCAAACAAAATGGGGGTACCAGTCTTATCCCCTGAAACGTGGCTAATTATAATAGTTACCCATTTAAGTACAACTTAATAGTATAAATTAATATAAATTGGCTAATATGGTTCCCAGGGCTAATTCTTTACAGATGAAATAAACTGGAAAATGAAATGAGAGAGAATGTCATTTTCCACAGTATTGGTCTATAAAGTGTGGTACTTTAATTTTCTATGGCTCAGAAGCCATTTCAAAATATGATCAAATTCCTTTCCACATTCATTCTTGAGTTTCCACTTCCTGACTTTCTTCCTGTCTTATAATTCAGGAGTTATAACTCCAGGATTTATTTTCCCTCCCACATTAGTGGACTTCAAATCCATTAGGCACCTCTCTTTGTCTCCACAACACACCTGGTTTCTCCTCTTCCTTTCAATGTGATCTTAGAGGCTCACATTTTGAATGATTTTCCTACCCTTATGTCCATCTTATCTCCTTTCGATTTTGTCCAGCAGAAAGTATACTATAATATGTAATGGGAAGTGGCAAGCAAAGGTAATTTAATCAGAGGCTGGTTTTGCCTATCTTTGACTCCCCCTTCACTACACGGCAAAGTTCTCTTGCTACTTAGTTACACAGTTACTTGTTATAGCATCCAGAGATTTTTAATTAAAAAGGCTTTACTTGGGGCGTTACCAATGATAGGAACACAATTTAACAATGAAAGAAATCATTTGTGTTCGTATAACACTTATCCTGAAAGAATTTCAAAGTGCTCTAGAAATATTACCCAGTTCTAATTTCCACAGCCAACACCCTTGCCTTCTGTTTTCTAAGGGAAAGAGGAATTTCCAGTATCTTGTTCCCAGTTGGAAAATAAAGGGTGCGTGCTTCCCAATCACAGACAGGCAAGGCGAATCCGGTTACTCCCTTTCCCTTCCCCAACCGCAGCTCCTGCAGAGTGTAACCCTTTGCGTTCTGTGGCTGGGATAAAGTGCATTCTGATTCATAATTGGTCCCTCAGGGTGCCTGTTTTGCAGCCAACCGATGTTCTTGGATCTTGAATGGTTAACAGCCTGAGTTGCCATTTAAAAAAAGAAAAGAAAAGAAAAAGTGTGCAATTATGTTAATTGTTGCATTTTTCGGTAAAAAAGAAAGTGCAATTATGTTAATTTTCTCAAAATGGGGGATGGGGAATGCTCAAGTAAGGAAAATATTTGCAGAAATATGATACCAATGCAAACCGGTACAAACTAGTTCTTTAAAAAACTAACTATACAAATAATCGTATGCAATAAACAATGTAGGACTCAATTTCATACAATGGCAACAAAAGCTGATCCTACATTAGGAAAGAAACTCAACTGATAGAAATGCTGTCATTAAGAATCTGAAAAACAATTCTCACAGGTTTATGCTATCTTCTCGATATAGTTTGGATATTTGTCCTTGCCCAAATCTCATGCTGAATTGTAATCCCCAATGCTGGAGGTGGGGTGGGAGGTGTCTGGGTCATTGGGGTGGATCCCTCATGGCTTGGCACTCTCTCTCTCTCTCTCTCTCTCTCTCTCACTTGCTCTTGCTCTGGCCATGTGACATGCCTGCTCTCCTTTTGCCTTCCACCATAACTGTAAGCTTCCTGAGGCTTCCCTAGAAGCTGAGCAGAGGCCAGCACCACACTTCCGGTAAAGCCTGCAGAACCATGAGCCAAATAAACCTCTTTTCTTTGTAAATTACCCAGCCTCAGATATTTCTTTATAGCAATGCAAGAACGGCCTAATACACTTCTATATCAAGTCCATAGCAACTTAAAAGATTTATTCCAAGAGGAAAATTAACTGTGAATTATCAGAAGAGACCAAATGTGGAAATGGAATTGGTTGACGGAAAATATTAGATTTCCTCAAGGATGTTACTGAAATTGGCTCCAGGAATGGTTCCACAAAGGGCCATTGGCAGGGAGAGTGTACCAAGGAGTTTATGTCTTACTTCACAGATAAATTTCACAGCATCATCATCATCTTTATTTATTTATTTAACCACAAGTTTGTGACAGTGTATAATACAGTGACTACCAGTATTGTTCCAGGATACTGACATGATTTGTGCCAGTTTTGCCCATTATAATACTTGCCTTGAACAGTCTGGACTGCCCTGCCTAGTGGGAGGAGGAGGATCAGAAAGGAGGATGATGCACAGCCTGACCCAGTGTTTTTAAACAGCTAAACATGCCCCAGTAGAAGACACATTCTGAAGAATTTCCTCTTCTCAGCTCTCTGAACATACCTCATTTATCTGGGACTTGTACATGGACATCATCCTTTGGACTCTCCTGGTCACTGATCTCACAGCTTGTTCTACTCTTAAGCCTTTGCCTTGTCTTTCTCTTGGCTGTCACATTAATAGCTATCATCTTAACTATTGCCACAATTGCATCACTTTTACTATTGTCTTTCCATTTTGAGCTTTCACGCAGGCCCCCCTGTCTATATTCAACCTGTAGGCAGTCCTCTCATCTGCTGGCCTGGCTTCAAGGACCATTAGTGCTTAAATATTCAGCAAAGTGACATCACCTGGAAATGTTGGTTAATACTGATTTTGAAACCTGGGAATTTTCTCAGAAGGAACCAGATACAACTTATTTATACATATGTGCCACTCATACATTCACTTATTGAATCATTCAGGCACTGTGTTAGGTACTGAAGAAATATGTGTGGAGTAGAAAGGGAGGCAACAGATACATGTAACCTAAATAAAACCTAGGACCCACATGGCTTAGTCTCTTTGTGGGAAACCCAGTTTAGTTTCCAAATGCTAATTTAAAATATACTTCAATATTTATTTAGCTTCTCAAAGAATATGAAAGGAGTCTCAATTCAATTTGTCATATTTAGAGACTTTGATTACCGAGAGGTTCTCATGTGCTAATCTTCCCAAACTCTTTCCCACCCTGGTGGCAAGACCCTTTCTCTGAGTTCTCCATTTGTTCATAGATTTGGCTGCTTTCACCAGACCCTTGCATTTTTCTTCTTCATTTTCATTCCTGTTTTTATACCACTTTTTATTCTTCCACTCCAGAAAAAAAAAATCCAGAATTTGACAAACAAACTGTCGTTTGGTATGTGGCAGGAAGGAGGTAGGGGATGAGGAGCATTGGCACAGAACATTTTATCTCTATCACACAGATGTAATCACATAATTACAACAGAAAGTGATATACCAGCTACATTGCTAGTGGCATCTACATTGCTAGTGATATACCATCTACATGGCTAATGGTAGATTTAATCAAATGACAGAATCATGGGCAATTTTAGTTCTGAATTTATGTTGGTTGTTTTTGCAATAAATATTTATTTTAAGACATTGGAATGCATAAATAAGGATTGGGAGGTAAATCAATCATTCTATTTAATGCTACGTTAATAGTGTTCAGAACCAGCTCTAAGCTCCGCAGCTAAGGAGTAATGAAGAAAATCTGGAGGTGCTCCAATAAGAACCATCAAAATATTAAGAATTTAAGAATATATCCTTTTAGGAACAATAAAAGGAACTGAACTTAGCTTAAAGGTTTCTTCAACTGTAAAACATGGAGATTTGACTCAGTAATTTTAAGATCCCCCTAATAGGGACTTCAAAATTTTAAAGTGGAGATAGGGGGACTTTAAAATCAGTCTTGTGTTAACTCTACATTTACTACATTTTTTCAGATAACTTTCCATGATCCTAAATTTGTCATGCTGCGGTTAAAGCCCGTTTACTCTCTTGCTCAGAGGAGAATGGGCACATCTCCTTAACCTCTTCTGTCTGGAAGAAATTCTTCTTATGATGGAAGGACTAAGATGCAGTCAGCCTTCAACCATGGTTATTCCTCAGCATCTTCATATGCTGAGTTCACTGTTTCAGATGCTGTGGGTAGTTGGCAGTTTCTCTGTTGACTAACGGATCTAGTCTCAGAACAAAAAAAATGTTAGAGCTGGAAGGATATGAGAAATTACTGAGTCAAATCTCCGTGTTTTACAGTTGAAGGAAGCTTTAAGCTGTTTGAGTTCAGTTCCTTTTACTCTTCCTAAAACTGTGTATTCTTAAATTCTTAATATTTTGATGGCTCTTATTGGAGCATCTCCAAGTTTTCTTCATTACTCTTTAGCTATGGAGCTTAGAACTGGTTCTACTGAACAGTATTAACATAGCATTAAGTAGAATGATTGACTTACCCACCCCCCCAATCCTTATTTATGCATTCCAGTCTCTTAAAAAAATCTTTATTGCAAAAACAACCAGCATAAATTCAGAACAAAAATTGCCTGAGATTCTGTCACTTGATTAAATCAATATTTCTTTTTGAGACATGGTCTCACTCTGTTGCCCAGGCTGGAGTGCAGTGGTGTGATCAGGGCTCACTGCAGCCTCTACCTCCTGGTCTCAAGTGGTCCTCTCACCTCAGCCTCCTGGGTAGCTGGGACTACAGGCATATGCCACCACACCTGGCTAATTTTTTGTATTCTTTGTAGAGACGGGGTTTTGCCATGTTGCTCACACTTGTCTCAAATGCCTGGGCTCAAGTGATCCTCCCGCCTCGGCCTCCCAAAGTCCTAGGATTACAGGCATAAGCCACCACGACTGGCCAATATTTTAATTTTTTCTATGTTATCTTATAGCCCTTGTCCATAGGCATATTCAATGTTTGCATATTTTTTTTGCATATAAACCAATTTTAATTCTACATTTTATATTTTCACTTAACATTATGTCATGCACATCTTCCCTTTAACTACAACTTTACCATTCCTTATACTTTCTTCCTATAACATTATAGAGTAGGTCCTGACATAACTTTGCTTGTGATCATACAAAATGACACCTATAAACAATATGTGAATTTTTCATTGATATCATTTGAGATTACAACCATAAACATTTAACTGCAACTTGCTTTTTCAAACCATACTTGATATTTCTTAACCACATTTATTATTATTTTTATTATTATTATTTGTTTGAGACGAGTCTCAGTCTCTCACCCAGGCTGGAGTGCAGTGGTGCGATCTCGGCTCACTGCAACCTTCCCCTCCTGGGTTCAAGTGATTCTCGTGCCTTAGTCTCCTGAGTAGCTGGGAGTACCGGCATGTGCCACCATGCCCCACATTAATTATTTTTAACAGCTGCATTTTTTTTCATAGTAGGGATATACTAGAATTACATTAAGATTTTCTTGAGTTTTTTCTACTACCAAAAAATGCAATAAACATTTTGGCATGCGTGTCTCTACTTTTCTAAAGGAGTAATATTTAACTCATACATACCAGAAGAGGATACTGGCTAGCAGTAAAACTCTTAGACCTGGGCCCCCTGCTAGTAAAACTCTTAGACCTGGGCCCCCTGCTAGAAGACAATTGCCCTGGCCCTCCTCCAGTTCAGGCTCTCCCCATGGGGCAAGGAGTCTGTGAGCCAAAGGGGATGCATCCAATTGTAGTCTGTGACCCCCTTTTTGACTAGTTTTATACCCAAGATGATGAAATAGCCTACTCAGAGGTCCTGAGCCCACTTACAGGCTTGCATGGATCTCTATCCCAGCTCTGTCCTCTTGAGGGAAGCCTGCGCCACCACTGCAAACACCTCTAGGCCTCAAGTGTAGCCAAGGAGTGTTTGAGGGTACAGACAGAGCTTGGTCATGCAGGCTGGGGGTTTGTATGACTACATGCAAGACTCCTCTCAGTGAGGGAGGAGGATAGGAGTAGGAAGACAATGAGGGTGAGTCATGAGCCACAGGTTGAAGATGGGAGGCTACCTTCCCAGTGCTACCATGGTCAGAGAAGGGCAATAATTTTATTTTATATTATTTTTTGAGACAGGATCTCGCTTTGTTACCCAGGCTGGAGTATGGTAGTGCAATCTCAGCTCACTGCAACCTCCACCTCCCAGGTTCAAGCAATTCGCATGCCTCAGCCACCTGAGCAGCTGGGACTACAAGCGTGTGCCACCACGCCCGGTTAATTTTTGTATTTTTAGTAGAGAGGATTTCCTTATGTTGGCCAGGCTGGTCTCGAACTCCTGGCCTCATGTGACCCACCCACCTTGTCCTCCCGAAGTGCTGGGATTATAGGTGTTAGCCACCATGCCTGGCCAGGGCAATAATTTTAAATTTGAATAGTTCTTGCAGGTTGTCATGAAGGGATGTTTGTCAAAATATGGTGATAGAACATATTTGATTTAACAGATTTTTAGCTTGAATTTACAGCAAAGTTTAAGTATATAATAGCTGATATGCAAGTCTATATTTGTAGCCTGCCCAGGACTTGAGAATGTTAGGGGCAGGCCTACTAGTCGGTGTCTCTTTTGATTAGGATTTTTTTCTGATTGGTAGGTATCTGCATCATACTAGTTGTTAAATATCTTAAATATCACCTTGCTTATTTCTCTTTCTCCAGCATAGATTCCCTAAAGTATGAGTGCTTGTTGAAAGGGTATGTATAATTCTAATGTTAATGGATATTGAAATCTTACCAGATTTTATCATTCACATTTAGCATCCCTGAAATTGGGATGCATCTTATAATTAAAGAGCAGAAAGCATTGTGTCATAGTTTAATTGGCAGTGTTTTTCTTCCTTAGATAAAATAAAGGTGCATCCTTCAATTGCTATCTTAGATTTGATGAAATAAAGTATTACCCCCATTGGAGCAATTCCTATACCCACTACCACTGTAGGAGAGTTCCTGTTTTTCAGCCAGCACCATTTATTATCACTGTTTTCAATATTTTGGGTGAAAAATAGTATGCCATTATCTTTGATTTGGATTTCCCTGACTATCATTGATGTTGAGATTATAAAATATACTTTTTGAATATTTAGATTTCTTTTTCTGTAAAGTATTAATTTATATCCTTTTCCTATTTTTAAAATTGTGTTTTCTGTGTTTTTCCTATCACTTTATACAATCTCTTAATATATTATAGATATTAAACTTTAAACTATCATTTTTATTAAAAATATTTCCCTTTCTATCATTTGACTTTAACTTTGCTTATGATGATATTACCATCCAAAATTTCACATTTTTATATAATCAAATATATCAATCTTTTAATTTATTACTTCTGCTTACAGTATCTCCCCACGCAAAGGATGCACATGAACCGGAGATTTAAAAAAATCTTTGAACAACATCAAAGGATATTCAGTGAAAATAAGTCTCCTTTTCATCCCTAACCCTGGTTTTCCCAGTTCTTCTCACTAGAGGAAACACTGGTAACAGTTTCCTTATTGCCTATAAGGGAATATTCTCTCTATATGTGTATCCCCCTCTCATGCTTGTTTATATTCACAAATGGCAGCAAACTATACTCACTGTCTATTCTTATTTGTTTACTTAATAACATATCTTTATATACAGACCATATCATTCCTTTTAAAACTTCCATGATTTCCTATTGCATTCTATTGCCATAATTTATTAAACTAGTCTCCACTGAGTTTCATGACGTTAAACATACATCTCTACACTGAGACCCACCATGGTTATTAGACTTTTATGTTATCTGTGAAGCCCTTTCTTAAGTTGACATTGAAATAAGCCTTGATAAACTTTAAAGTATTGAAATCATACAAAGTATATTCTCTTGCCATATGGAATGAAAGTAGAAATCAGTACGAGATGGAAATTTGGGAATTTCACAAATATGTGGAAATTAAACAACATACTCTCATACTCTTTTTTTTTTTTGAGACAGCCTCTTGCTCTGTTGCCCAGGCTAGAGTGCAGTGGCATGATCATGGCTCACTGCAGCCTCTATCTCCGAGGCTTAAGCAATCCTCCCTGCTCAGCCTCCTGAGTAGCTGGGACTACAGGGGTGCACCACCATGCCTGACTAATTTCTGTGTTTTTTGTAGAGACGGGGTTTTGCCATGTTGCCTAGGTTGGTCTTGAACTCCTGAGCTCAAGTGATCTGCCTGCCTCAGCCTCCCAAAGTGCTGGGATTACAGGTATGAGCCACTGAGCCTGGCCAAAACAACATATTCCTTAATGACCAGTGAGTCAAAGAAGAAGTTACAAAGGAAATTGGAAAATATTTTGAGAACAATGAAAATGAAAATGCAATATACCAAAACATCTGGGATGTAACTAAAGCAATGCTAGGAGGAAAATTTATAGCTGTAAACACCTATATTTAAAAAGAATATTTTATATTAAGATTCAATAACCTAACAACCTTAAGAAAATAAAAAAGGAGGACAGGTGCCGTGGCTCATGCCTGTAATCCCAGCACTTTGGTAGGCCAAGGCAGGCAGATCACCTGAGGTCAGGAGTTTGAGAGCAGCCTGGCCAACATGTTGAAACCCTGTCTCTACTAACAATACAAAA
Organism: Homo sapiens; assembly: GCF_000001405.40. Lineage (NCBI taxonomy): Eukaryota > Metazoa > Chordata > Mammalia > Primates > Hominidae > Homo > Homo sapiens. Next base: position 196,974,740 of record NC_000002.12, read on the forward strand.
ATTAGCTGGGCATGGTGACACACACTTGTAAGCCCAGCTACTTGGGAGGCTGAGGCAGGAGAATCTCTTAAATCCAGGAGGCAGAGGTTGCAGTGAGCTGAGGTCATGCCACTGCAATCCAGCCTAGGTGACAGAGTGAGACTCCATCTCAAAAAAAAAAAGAAAAAGAAAACGAAGAGTAAACTATACCCAAAGTAAGCAGAAGAAATAAAATAATAAAGATTAATTACAAATAACAAAAATAAATGAAATAGAGAACAGAAAAACAATAGAGAAAATTAACACAAGTTGGTTCTTTGAAAAATCAGCAAAAGTGACAAACTTCTACCACGACTAAAGAAGAAAAGGAGAAAAGACTCAAATTAGTCAAATCAGAAATGAAAGAGGGGACATTACTACTAACCTTACAGCAACATAAAGGATTAGGGAATACTATGAAAAATTGTATAGTACAACAAATTAGATCATCTGTGTGAATAGACAAATTCTTAGAAAGACACAAATTGCTGAAACTGACTCAAGAAGAAATAGATAATAGATCTCTAACAAGTAAAGAAATTGAGTTAGCAATAAAAACAAACAAAAAAACCCACAAAGAAAATCCCAACACCAGATGACTTCACTGGTAAATTCTATCAACTTTCAAACAGAATCAGAATGATAAAAATCTTTTTCAAAATAGAAGAGGAAGGAACATTTCTGAACTTATTCTTTGAGGCCAGCGTTACCATCACACCAAAACAAGAAAAATACGTCAAAAGGGGCTGGGTGCGGTGGCTCACGCCTGTGATCCCAGCACTTCGGGAGGCCGAGGTAGGTGGATCACGTGAGGCCAGGAGTTCAAAACCAGCCTAGCCAGCACGGTGTCACACTGTTTTTTTTTTTTAAAAAAAATACAAAAATTAGCCAGGTGTGGTGGCACACACCTGTAATCCCAGCTACTCAGGAGGCTAAGACATGACTGCTTGAACCTGGGAGCTGGAGGTTGCAGGGAGCCGAGATTGTGCAACTGCACTCCAGCCTGGGTGACAGAGCTAGTCTCTGTCTCAAAAAAAAAAAAGAAAAAGAAAAAAGAAAGAAAGAAAGAAAGAAAGAAAGAAAGAAGGAAAGAAGGAAAGAAAGAAAAGAGAAAGAAAGACACATCAAGAAAAGAAATTGATATCCCTTATGAATATAGTTACAAAAGTCCTCAACAAAATATTAGCATATAGAATCCAACAACATATAAAAATTATTATACACCATGATCAAGTAGGATTTATCCTATGTATACCAGCTGACTGAACATATAATTGAACCCCTTTTCTTAATAAAAACACTCGAGAAACTAGAAATAGAAAAAATTTCTTCAAACTGATCAGGGACATTTGTGAAAAACCCATGGTAAACAAAATATATTATATATATATTGAGATGGAGTCTCGCTCTGTCGCCCAGGTTGGAGTGCAGTGCAGTGGCGCAATCTTGGCTTACTGTAACCTCCGCCTCCCAGGTTCAAGCAATTCTCCTGCCTCAGCCTCCCGAGTAGCTGGGACTACAGGCACCAGCCACCACGCCTGGCTAATTTTTTGTATTTTTAGTAGAGACTGGGTTTTGCCAAAATTATATTTAATAGTGGGAGACTGGATTCTTTCCCCCTAAGATCAGGAACAGGGTAAGAATGTCACTCACACCACATCTATTCAACATTATAGTGGAGGTTCTAGCCAGGGAAATTAGTCAAAAAAAGTAATAAAAGCTATAAAAGTAATCATCCTATACAGATTGGAAAAGAAGTAAAACTATCCCTATTTGCAGATGACATGTAGAAAATTTTTCTTACATGTAGAAAATTTTAAGGAATCCAGCTGGGTGCAGTGGCTCATGCCTGTAATCCCAGCACTTTGGGAGGCCAAGACAGGTGGATTGCTTGAGCCCAGGAGTTAAGATCAGCCTGCACAACATGACAAAACCCTATCGCCACAAAAAAATACAAAAATTAGCAGGGCGTGGTGGTGCACGCCTGTAGTCCCAGCTACTTGGGTGGCTGAAGCCAGAAGGATCACCTGAGCCCAGGAAGTCGAGGCTAAAGTGAGCCATGATCATGCCACTGCACTCCAGCCTGGACAGCAGAGTGAGATCTTGTCTCAAAAGAAGGAAGGAAGGAAGGAAGGCAGGAAAGAAGAGAGGGAGGGAGGGAGGGCTCTAAGGAATAGTTTTTCCACTGAAAAACTATTAGTGTTCACAAGCTCAGCAAGGTTGCAGGATAAACGATCAATTTTTAAAAAACAATTGTACTTCTATATACTGGCAATGAACAATCTGAAAATAAAATTAAGAAAACAATTCCCTTAACAACAACATCAAACAGAATAAAATATTTAGGAATGAATTTAACAAAATAAGTGCAAAACTTGTATACTGAAAACTAGAAAGCACTGTTGAAAGAAAGACTTAAAATAAATGGAGAGACATCCCATGTTCATGGACCAGAAAACCTAATACTGTTAAAATGGCAATACTTCCCAAATTGATCTACAGATTCTAAGTATAAGAGCTAAATCTATAAAATTCTTAAAAGAAAACATAGGAGTAAATCTTCATGACTTTGAAGTAGACAGTGGTTTTCTAGATATGACACCAAAAATATGACTTCTGTGCCTCAAAGGATACTGTCGAGAAAAGGAAAAAACGACCCATGGAATGGGAGAAAATATTTGCAAATCCTGTATCTGATAAGGGACTTGTATTCAGAATATATAAATAATGCTTATAATTCACCAATAAAAACACAACGTGATTTAAAAATGGGCAAAGGATTTGAACATACATTTGTCCAAAGAAAATATACAAATGTCCAATAAGCACACAGAAAGGTGCTTGACATCATTAGTCAGCAGGAAAGTGCAAGTGAAAACCACAATGAGATATCACTTCACATCTACTAGGATGGCCATAATAAAAATAAATGAGGAATAAGAAGTACTGGCAAGGAGGTAGAGAAATTGGAACTCTTATACATTGCTGATGGGAATGTTTGGCAGCCTCTGCGGAACAGTTTGGCAGGTCCTCAAAATGATAAACATAGAGTTACCATTTCCACTCCTAGATATATACACAATTCCACTCCTAGGTATATACACAAGAAATCAAAACATATGTCCATAAAAAAGTCTGTACACAAATGTTTATAGCAGAGTTATTCATGATCGCTCAAAAGTAAAAAAACAAAAACAAAACCCAAATGTCCACCAACTGATGAATGAATAAACAAAATGTGGTATATCCATATAATTAAATATTATTTGACTATAAAAGGAAATGAAGCACCTCTATATGCTGATACAGTTTGGATGTTTGTTCCCTCCAAATCTCATGTTGCAATATTACTATAATCCCCAATGTTAGAGGGGGGCCTGGTGGGAGGTGTTTGGGTCATGGAGGCAGATCCCTCATAAATGGCTTGGTGCTGTCCTTAAAATAATGAGTGTGTTCTTGCTCTGAGTTCACAGGAGACCTGCTTGTTTAAAAGAGTGTGGCACCTCTCCCCTCTCTCTCCTGCTCCCCCTTCACCTTCCACCATGATTGGAAGCTTCCTGAGGCCCTCACCAGAAGCAGCTGCCAGCACCATGCTTCCTGTACAGCCTGCAGAATCATGAGCCAAAATAAACCACTTTTCTTTATAAATTACCCAATCTCAGGTATTCCTTTATAGCAATGCAAGAAGAGACTAACACATATATTAAGACATGTATGAACCCTGAAAACATTCTGCTTAGAAGCCAGTCACAAAGAGCCACATAGTGTATTATTTCATTTACATGAAATGTCTAGAATTGGCAAATTCATAGAAACAGAAAGTAATTATTGGTTGCCAGGGGATGGGGAGAGAGAGAGAATAGAGAATGACTGTTAATGGGGACAGTTTTTCTTTCTGGGGTGATGAATATATTCTGAAATTAGATAGTAGTGATGGTTACATAACTTTTTAAAATCACTAAAAACCATCAACGTGTATCCTTTAAAAGAGCGAATTTTATGTTATGTCAATTATATCTCAATGGAGCTTTTTTTTTTCTTTTTTAATGGCTGCTGATTTTGAACCATGGGCCATAGTTTACCAACTCTCTGTTGTAACCAATATTTACAGACCCTGAAGAAAGGCCATCCGATATTGTTTTAAAAAAAAAAAAGGCGACAAAAAAGAAAATAATAGTAACATCAAGCATTTTGTTTTCTTTCCAAAATAGATATAGCATAGTCGTAAAGATTATTAATTCTGGAGCCACTTGACTAGATTTGAATCCTAGATCTGGCACTAATTAGCCATGAGTTCTTGAGATAATAATAATATCTACCTTCTAGAGTAGATGTAAGAATGAATAGCATCTGCAGGCGCCAGGCACGGTGGCTCACGCCTGTAATCCCAGCACTTTGGGAGGCCGAGGCGGGCGGATCACGAGGTCAGGAGATTGAGACCATCCTGGCTAACACGGTGAAACCCCGTCTCTACTAAAAATATTTTAAAAAATTAGCCACCTGTAGTCCCAGCTACTCGGGAGGCTGAGGCAGGAGAATGGCGTGAACCCGGGAGGCGGAGCTTGCAGTGAGCCAAGATCGCGCCACTGCACTCCAGCCTAGGCGACAGAGCGAGACTCCGTCTCAAAAAAAAAAAAAAAAAAAAAAAAGAATGAATAGCATCTACTTTCTAGGGTTGTTTTAAGGATGTAAAGCACTCAGAACAGTGCTTGGCACATTGTAAGCACTCAGTGAGCATCAGCTATTTTTACTATTCACCCCAATTAAAAAGCAGCCTGAGTAATTTAATAAGATGACTTTTTTTTTTTTTTTTTTTTTTTTTTAAGACAGAGTTTGGCTCTTGTTGCCCAGGCTGGAGTGCAGTGATGCAATCTCGGCTCACCACAAACTCTGCCTCCCAATTCAAGTGATTCTCCTGCCTCAGCCTCCCGAGTAGCTGGGATTACAGGCATGTGCCACCACACCCGGCTAATTTTGTATTTTTAGTAGAGACAGGGTTTCTCCATGTTGGTCAGGCTGGTCTCGAACTCCCAACCTCAGGTGATCTGCCCACCTAGGCCTCCCAAAGTGCTGGGATTACAGGCATGAGCCACCGTGCCCGGCCAATAAGGTGATTTTTATTTGCAGTTTAAAGGTTTTTAAAGGTTTTTGTCACAACCAGCATCTTAGCAACACTGTCCCCTGCTCCACACCATCCAGGACACTCTCAGATCACCAGGCTGGCGGCAAGGAAAATGATCATTAATATACACTAGAAAATATGTTCTTATCTCTAGGAACTATTGTTAGCACTCTGAAAGGCTTTTCTTTTTCAATATCTGAATGACATTGCAGTAAATTAATTGGTTTTCTCAATCTAATTTCTAGTGTTAGCTGTAACATCACAATGCAAGCACCCAGATGGCACCAACCGAGCCCTTTATCATCATTTTTAGCACTGATGCCAAAAGGAAATGGGCTCAGCAGCCTAATCAAAATTTACATGCTAATGGGTAGACCCTTGTGAATGAAGTTAAGCAGAAAATCAATAAATTACCAGGTAACATTCTCCTAACAAAATTTTTTACAAGTTTTAAGTAATAATAAAACAGTAAGGAGTAAATTTCAGGCCTGAAGAAGAATGTGAAATAAAACATGGAATGGATAAATCATTTCTGAAAAAAAGAAATTCAAAAGGGAATTAGAAACCCGTTAGCTTTCTATTTATTTAGTTTAAAATTGAGATTTTTCAGGAAAAGTTAATGTTTTAAAGCAAATTTAATTTTCACCTAAACAGCAATATAGAATTCCAATAATTTCAGTCTTTTGTCCTCTGCAGAAGGCCCGCTGGGAAGTATTCAATTTTTCATTGTTATCACTAAGACGTTGTCTGAACCACACTCTCCTTTTGTTCATTCTGCAGCTCTTTGCCATCTGTCATGTTTTCTGGAGAGCCTCATAAACACATTTAGGTTAAACCATATGGTCATAAAACCTGTCATTCTGTCATAGCCAAGGTTTGGTTAGTTTTTTAATAGAAATGCACTTGACCATTTTTACTTTGTTAAAAGCTTCATCCTAATCCTGGAACCGAATTTCAGCCTGACAGTAAATCAGCTCTTAGTATCCATCTACTTAAAGTAAAATACCTGAATAATAGATGTTTTGAAGTAGTTAAATGTTCTCATTTATTTTGCTTCAATTCTATGATAAATAGCTTTTCCTATTTGTCATGTTGGCCTCCTCAGATTTTTACTTCTTCACATCCAATGCTTTTTTTTCTTCAGTCATTCTCAACCACCCACTCCCATGGTTATATCCTTTGCTTTGTCATCCTCAAAACTATACCACCTGTGAAATCTTTACTTTGGGCACTCCACATCAAGATCACCAACTCTGGGGCTACAATTCAATAATTCTGTCTTATCCTGACCCCCATTGACTACCACTTTTTCAGTATCCATCACCTCCCTCATGTTTTCACTTTCTTCCTTACCCAGTTTAGAATCCATGATCTACATAATCACATCCATTAAAAGCACCACAGTTCCATAACCCTCTCTCCCTTTGGACTTACCTAGCAAAGCTCTATACCAGGTTAAATTCCACTGTCTTCTTACTCTATGCCTACACCCAAACATCTGATGAAAAAATCCACCAGGATGACTGGTATCATTTTAGATTTATGATTATAAATCTTGAGTGTACTAAATCCTACTCAGTAACCCTCCTCTGTTACTCTAAAATGTTCTCTCCAGGCTGGGCGTGGTGGCCCACACCTATAATCCCAGCAGTGTGGGAGGCTGAGGCAGGTGGATCACCTGAGGTTGGGAGTTCGAGACCAGCCTGGCTAACATGGCAAAACCCCATCTCTACTAAAAATTTTTTTAAAAATCCGCCAAGTGTGGTGGTGTGTGCCTGTAGTCCCAGCTACTTGAGAGGCTGAGGCAGGAGAATCGCTTGACCCTGGAGGTGGAGGTTGCAGTGAGCTGAGATCGCACCATTGTACTCCAGCCTGGGCAACAAGAGTGAAACTCCATCTCAAAATAATAATAATAATAAAATAAATACATAAATGAACTCTATCTTGCCAAATCCATTGGTCAACTTCTCTGCATTTGACTTCCCAGAAGCAATTGAGACAATAGAAATCACTGACACTCCTTCTTCTATGACCCTTTATTTCCCAGGTTTCAGGGACATCTTGGTCTCTTGGTTTTCCTCCTGCCTCTGACCATTATGTCTTGTCTTCGCTGCTAGATCCTCCTCCTCCCCTTCCTAACCTCTAAATGCTGGAGTGTGCACAGTTCAGGGCTCTTCTATCATTTATTCCTGAGGGAATCTCTTCTCATTTGTCAATACTAAAAAAAATTATATATATATATATATATATGCAGAGACAAATCTCTAAGCAAGAGGATTTTATTTGAGAGTAATATACAGAAAGTAGGCTTGCAATAAGGACATGCACACAGAGACCAGGGCAGTTTCCAGTGTGTCCAAAGAACAAAGGAAAGGGCTGGAGTTTTATTGGGAAAGGAGAAAGAAGATGTAAGTTGTTTTCAAAGAAAGTTAATTGGCGATAGCAGAGTGGGCGCTGGTGAGCTCTGATTGGCAGGTGGCAGCAACTGCTAGGTAAAGTTCGCCTTGAAGTCATAGCAGGCTGTTTCCTTGGAGTAAACTTGCGAGACAGTTTTTGGAAGACGTTTGTGACCAGAGTGCTCTTTCCCAACAAAGGCTCCTTGACTCCATTTTCATTGGGTAGGACAGGAATGACTCCAAATCAACTTTCACATGTCTACAATTTCATATGATCCCAGCCCTGGCTTCTTCCCCAAACTCTACTGTTTACTTGACTCAAGCCATCAGCAAATTCAGTCAACTCTACCTTCAAGACATATCCAAAATGTGTCACAGTCTCTTCATTTCCCTTGTTGCCAGACAATCCAAGCCACTATATTTACTTGTCTAGGCTATTGCAGTGGCTACCTAATTGGTCACTAGGGTTTCTCTCTCTTGTCTCTCAACAGCAGCCAGAGTGATCTTTTAAAAATGAAATCACTGGATAAAGAAAATGTGGCACATATACACCATAGAATACTATGCAGCCATAAAAAAGAATGAGTTCATGTCATTTACAGGGACATGGATGAAGCTAGAAGCCATCATTCTCAGCAAACTAACACAGGAACAGAAAATCAAACACCACATGTTCTCACTCATAAGTGGGAGTTGAACAATGGGAACACATGGACACAGGGAGGGGTATATCACACACCAGGGCCTGTTGGTGGGTTGGGGTAAGGGGAGGGAGAGCATTAGGACAAATACCTAATGCATGCGGGGCCTAAAACCTAGATGACGGGTTGATAGGTGCAGCATACCACCATGGCACATGTATACCTATGTAACAATTCTGTATGTTCTGCACATGTACCCCAGAACTTAAAATAAAAATAAAAAATAAAAAATAAAAATGACAGAAAAAAAAAATCAGACCACAGCCATTTTTCTGCTTACATTTCTCCAGTGGCTTTTGTCACATTCAGAAAAATATAGAAACTCCTCCCAGCTCACAAAATTTTATGTCTGGGCTGAGATCGCTGTTAATCTTCTGCCACCCTCCCTTTCCCTTGAGTCTCCAGCCACACTGGCCCCATTTCTGTTCCTAGAACATAACAAACTCATTCCTGCCTTTGGGTATTGGCACTAGCCTTTTCCTCTCCCTAGAATGTTCTCTCCTCTGATCTTTGCATAGCTGGTAATTTCTTGTGGTTAGGATCTGAGTTTAAATGTTAGTAATTCTTAGGAACCCCAACTATAAAAAATATAAATAAAGTTCACGAATTTGCTGGGTACTTTCAACTCAATGCAAACACAGGTAAGCTTTTTGTGCTCTAAAAGTACTGCTTCAGTATTTTTACTTTTGAAAATTATAAAATTCTTCCAGAATGTAATACACAGTACTTCATTAAATTGACATTTAAAAGCAGAAAATAGTATCCTAGAAATTGTGTCCACCAGTGCCTAGAGAACCCTGTGAGGCTGAAGTACTGTGTTGTCAGAGCTTGCCATGTGACGGTGGGCCAAGTGCCCCACCTTTGTGAGCAGGAGTTCCCCCCACTGGGAAAGTAGATACAATCACCTCTTGCTTAAGACAAGAAATATACATGTGTATGGCCACATTTTGGTTTGATAACAAAGGAATTAAAGATGCCTTGATCTGTGCAAATCTTCTCCCCTGGAAAAATACATAACCAGGGCACATGTGCTCAGCATTGCCTTCCAAAGTTCTTTCTCAACCTTGTAAGTTCTCGTTCTGAGGGCATATAAAGTATGTTTATGCAATCCCTTGTGAAAATAGATGAGGCAATATGGCTAGTGTCATAAGCAATACATTGATGAAGAAATGATTCAGAAACAAGAGAAAGGCAAATAGGTGAGCAGTGGGGTAGAGGAGCATTGACATTCTAAGTGGCGCAGTTATTCCCTGGGTTGAGTGGCACATTTGGTCTCCCTGGCGCTTGGAACTATAAATACTCTAGTAGCAGCCCTGCCCACCCCCCAGCCATTGTGCCAACTACAAATGCCCACACATTTCCAATCACTCCCTAGAGTGCCTGAGAATTAATGAATGGCACAGCCATTATCTTGGTGCTTTATATTTTACAGCAAATGTACCTTCAGGATGAAATTTGCTAAAGAGACAATTCATATAGTACTTTTACCCACAATGTTTTTATGTTAATAGCCTTTTAGCTTAATGCTTTTGTGCTTTGCAAACTAATTCTGGAACACATTAAGTGTGTTAAGTGAGGGATACTTATACAGGGATCTAAACCTACCAAATGGAATTAGCGTGAAGGAACCTTTGACAAGCAGTTTGAAGACAAAGTGCCACATCAATGTTCAAAAATATAATTACCACAGTGGAGGCCATTATCACATTTCTCTGCTTATGAGAACACAATTAAAATTAGGGATCTCTACATTTTCCTTGAAAGGGTGAGTTCAGTCAGTCAAGCAAGCAATTTCCTTAGCAATGACTGGGAAGAAGGTGTATTAGTATGATGTTACAGCCTCAAAGGACACCGTGATAGACCAGGGTGGCGAGTAGCTTCCAAAAATGGCTCCTAGTAATTGCTGTTCCTGCTGTTCACACCCTTGGGGAATCCCTTGCCCTTGAGTATAGATTGGACTTAGTAACTTGCTTCTCATGAATAGAATATGAGAAAAATGATGAAATATCACTTCTGAAATTCAGTTGCAAAAATCTGTGACTCTGTCTTGCTCTTTGTCTCCCTGGCTTTTCTCAGCCTGCTCGCCCGCAAGGCAAGCTGCCATGTTGTGAGCTTCCCTATGGGAAGGCCCATCTGGCAAGGAACGGACGGCAGCCAACAGCCATCAAGGAACTGAGGCCCTCAGTGTAACAACCCATGAGAAGAATCCTGCCAACAACCATATGAGTGAACTTAGAAATGGATCGTTCCCAGGCCAACACCATGATTACAGGCTGTGAGAGACCCTGGAACAGAAGACCCAGCTAAACTAGGGCTGACTCATAGAAACTGTGGGTTAGGAAACATTTGTTGTTTTAAGCCACTAAGTTTTGGGGTAATTTGTTACACAGCAATAGATAACTAATATACCCAGTCTACTCTAAACAACAGGAAGCACTCACTTGTGGTGTGACTCCTGTTTTACATTCTTTAAGATTGAAAAGCACCCAGATTTGTATATTTGAATAAGAAGGGAGGCAGGGCTGAGTACAAAACCTCCCTTAACATTTCTGGCAGAAAAAAACAAAACATTATATGGCAAGATGGCATCGAAGAGAGAACATCTAGAGGCAGATGTGGTATCATCAGATCACTATCTTCAAAAATTCAAGTTGTATAACTTCTCTAGGATTCAGTTTCTTCCTGAAAGAGCTGGTGATGTGACTGGGCTGGACTGTAATAACTGCTAACATTCTATACTACTTGATTTGGGGAACTCAGGCAGGCACCACCCCCAAGTCTCTTCGTCAATAGCTGGAAACTCCATCATTAGGAATTTGTTCCTTAGTGCTTCCAGAGACTGTCCCTGAAGTTACTACTCAAGATGAAAAATTTTGGATGGTGAGATAGATGGGGAAGGAAATTCTATGGATACCTTTAAGGATAGTGCAGAGATGGAGGTTCTTGTGTTGTTATAAAGTCCCTGAAGGGTAATGGTGACAATACCAAAGTTAGGCATGGTTGATTTCACAATTTTGAGGACCTAATAAGCTTCCTCTTTTTTGATGTGGACTATATAACTGATCACATTTCTCCTCTTACCTTGGCTGCAAGGAAGCTGAGAGCAAACACAAGTTCAGTCACAGATACTGTTTTAAATTTTATGGTTCCTTTATCTGTTTGTATTCTTTTTCTCTGTTCTCATTTTTCTATTTCTAGTTTATCACGTCTTTTGTCATAACCCAGCTCAAATCCTTTATGGGCCAGCCTGGGCAATATAGTGAGACCCCATCTCTACAAAAAAACAAAATTAGCTAGGCATAGTGGTGCACATCTGTAGTCCCAGCTACTCGGGAGGCTGAGGTAGGAAGATTACTTCAGCCCAGGAGGTCGAGGCTGCAGTGAGCCGAGATCTCACAACTGCCCATCAGCCTGGACAACAGAGCAGAAAAAAACAAAACAAAACAAAACAAAACAAAACCCTTTATGGAAAAAAGTTGGAAGCATAAATACATATAATAAACACAAGCATATATGTTTGAATTTTTTCTCTAATTGTGATAACACAAACATAAATCGTGAATCTGGAGATACACTTTTATCTTGATTATTTTCTAAATTTAAAGTTAATTTGGCTTGAGGGGGTGCAAAGATTTAAATTAGCATAATTTAGAAAAAGCATAAATTGGAAAAATTAAAACACAAATTCCAACAATATTTGTACCGTTTTTATTTGTAAAAATAACCATCTGAATGCATTTCCATAGTATATTACAGTTAAGTACTTCATTACGTTATTAGAGCATTCAGTAGTTGCAAAAGTATTAAACTGTGCTTGAGAAGATTCAGATTGTTTCAAAGTCATTCACTGAACTAAAAGTCATTTTCCCCATTTTTACAGTCATGACATTTACCAGAGTCATTCAACTCCAATTTACATAAGAAAACATTATAGACAAAATCCCACTGAAATCATCAAACAATATTTTATGCTGTTACAAATATGTTATGCAAAATATAACACTGGCACCAGATTTGTATCATCGTGCTTTACAAAGATATATTGCACATGCTAGAGCATAAAATATGTAGACAAAACTACCAAATAAAAGATATTTGCATTGAATTTTTAGATCACATAAGAAACGCATAGAATTACATTTTATACAAACACTCAGATTGTCACTATCTTAAAATGCTTTTCCCCTATAATACTGACCTATGGTTTATAGTTTCGTAAGACGAAAGCATTTTAGCACTGCAAAATCAAACAATTCCTATAGAAAACTTAAGCATTTTCATATTCATTTCAATGCAAGTACAAGGGGAAATAGGAAAAAAGACACTTTATACATTCAAAGAAAAGTTGAAATGAAAACTCACTGGTATCATATTGCTCTGATAACACTCAAATGAAAAAATACAAAACATTCCACAGAACATTTTCAGAATATACAAATATAAAAAGGCACTCTAACTTCATATTACAAGACAATAAAACGGATGAGTTCTTCAACCAACACAACATATAAGCACACCAAGTTGCTCAACAGTACAAAGAATAACTAGTGCAGCAAATCCATTTGATGTTCTTGTTCTAATTTAATAACAAAATGATAAACCAAGCAGTGTTTACTGCCTAAAGTACCAAAACATACTATGGTGCCCTTTTAGTAGTGATAAATAGAAATACCCTGAGCTATTTACTGTAGAATCATAGCAGATTTTAGGCAATTTGGAGATAGTAATGTATTTAGCAAAGACAGGCAGACACTGGCAAATAAGTAAGTGCAATGAAACATGATCCTTGTAGTTGTGGTTAAAATACAGTCTAAAAATAACACAAATAAAAGCACTAAGCAACTAAGACTCAGTTAAAAACACATTTTTTTTTCTTAGAAAGCTATGGTGCAAACATAATTTTATTTCTAAGAGATGTAATTAAAATACAGAAATGATAGTTTTTAAAGTCATTTCTTTAAAAAAATTTTGCCTTGGGGTATGGGAGAAAGAGAAAGAGAGGAAGAGAGAGAGAGAGAGATCAGTTGATGTAATGAACAGTTCATTGTGAGCATGATTTCATTTCGTTCCTTTGTCCTCCTTCTATGAGTAAGAGAGTGGGAAAAGTCAAAACGCAGCTCCATGGAGATAACGTCTCATGGTGAGTCACTGCTTTGCTGAAATGATTCTTGTACTCTCTGCTACACGACAGGAAAAATGTTAACGCTGCTTTGCCATTAAAGCAAGCATTTCATTTCCTGCTTGAAATGCCAACTGAGCAAGATTTCCATTCACTTCTAGAAAAAGACACCGCAGCATATTGTGCTTCTTCAACACTGAACCTCTCTTAATTTTCAGTGTTTTGGTAAAGATAAGGTCATTATTGCTCATTAGCAATTTATCTGCTTTTTAAAAATTCATCTTCTCTAAACAAACGAAAAGGACAGAAGGTGGGAAGCACAACACCAAGAATTCAAAAAAACAATGGTGGTGGTGTGGAAAATTTTCAGTGAAATCAATACCAGTTCAATAAATCCTTTGAACAAGTTCTCATTTGTGAAGAACCCAACAGGAGTTTTAATTAAATCCAGGATATTAAGAGTAAGATTAAAGTTTTATAGCTAGATGAAAAATATAATACAGTTATCTGTCTTTGATCCAGATATGATAGAACATTATTTTTGAAATATCTCACATACACTATAAAATAGCAATTTCCAGGGTGGAAATGGAACTCATTATAAAACGTCAGAGAGTACTGCTCTAATTCGACACATTTCTTTTCTGTCTCTTCCTCAAGTAGAAAATAGCACTTGAGCTGGTGATTTTTATTTCTCCTTTTGGCACATGTGCCCACACACTGCCATCATTTCTCATCAGGTTACTGAGACTATGTGAGCTTTTCAGTGTACTTAGGGTAATTTCTAGATATTTCTTTGTGCTGCCTTTGTGTATATGATCCACTACACATCTGAGTTTTCATCTCGCAGAAGGGCATCCAGACTGCAATGTCTTCTAAGCTCTAAGCTGGCTACAGACTGTGGCTGAGCAGTAGAAGATGCGTAGCCCTCTCTAACCAACGCGGAAGAACCTGAGGGTCATCTGGAAACCTTAGCAGTGGAAATGCTAGGTTTGGCCCTTGGGCTTTTGGCTAGCCCAGGGTCAAGTGTTTTTTTTTTCACTTTTTTTTTGTTATTCTAAATAAGATACATAGCAATTAAAATAGAGAACAAATAATGGATGTTTCCTCACCATTTGTTTCATTTCAAATAAATATAAACACATTTACAGCAAAAGTATATGGACATTTTCTCTAGTTTGGCAAAAAAAAAAAAAAAGGTCAGCACATCATCAGTTACAAATGTTAAGTGGTCAACTAGAAATCTGTGTCCTAAGAAATATAAAATACAACAAAGACTGGTACACAGAAAGATTACATTTAACTCCATAAAAAAGCTACTTCAGTTCTCACTTGCATTTTGAAGGAAAAAAATGTGTATCTTCCATTTTAGACTGAAGCATTTTGGTCCTCATGTGTAGCTGGCTGATGAACTACACACACACACACATATATATATATATACACACGCACACATATATGTGTGCATGTGTATGTGCATAATTTTTAAAGAGTCTCATTCTTCTTTTTGTACAGCGGTTCCAGGTGTGGAACGGGGTCCATTTGACCTAGAAGCTTTGGCAGAGGGAGCAGACACAGTATTCACTATGTTGATTTCATCATCAAGCAACTGGCAATCGGTTTTACATGCTAAATCACCCATTTCTACTTTCTGCTTTCACTTTTTTTGTTCCTTTTTGCAGTCACACTTTTCACTGACTTGGTATGACCTTGACTGAGAAGCTCATTTTACTACTGATGAACAATGCTGATGATTCTGATGTTTTTTAAAAGTTAGTATTTTGATTTAAGAATAAATTAACAAAGGGTAGTTTCATACTATTTTTGCATATTGTGTCAAAGTTTTGGTGCAATATAATTTTCACCTGAAATGTTATTAGATAAATTTGGGTTCAATCACTTAAGTGAAAATTAGTCACAGGCTTGTTATAGGGAACACTGTGTTAAACAAAAAAAGCAAGTTCAATTTTTCAATTCATCTGGCAACTTTAACAGAGATCCTCAGAAAGAAGTTCTGGATATTCAAATGCTTACTATAGAGAGGATATAAATAGTTGGACTCTCTAAAAAGATTATTACAGGCATTATTTCTGAAGATGGACACCTTTACCTTTGGCTTCTAGTGAGGAAGTAAACATCAAAGTGAGAAGAAGTTTGAGGCATTTCCTATCTGCCTCTTCCCTTCCCTCCCAGGGGACATGAATGTCACACTGATATACTTCTGAGAACTCACTGCTAAATACATGAAAAGAAAAATTATTCATAGCGAACAGCTGCCTCTCTGCTGCATTATCCCCAAAGAACAGGAATTAAATACATCTTTTATTCTTTATTTAAAATGAGAGGTAGACTTTCACAGAAGTATCTTAGATTTAAAGAAAATGTGAAACAAAACAAAACTGGGGCCATCTGTGTGACTGTTCCACCCAACAGCCTCACTGCCCTCCCTCGATTAATTCCTTCTCTACTAGCTTCTGGAAGCCCAGGCCCCAAATAATACTTGAATACAACATAAACCTGGAATTCAAGCTTCTTTCCTTTCCTCCAACACAGGTGATCAAAGAAAAGCTTCTACAGTCCAAAGTCAAAACGTTTCCGAATCAGAATCATTTTCATTGTACCCATCCTCCGAGCCTACGTTGTTACTGCACAGGCTAACCATGCTACCCAGATTGGAGAGGGTCGTCCTGCTCAAATTGTCTTTTTTTAAACAAACGAAGTTGACAGCCATCATTGTACTGGAAGGAGAAAAAGGCATCATGGTAGCCAAAATGAGGGCCAGGCAGTCAGCCACGTCTTTGTTAGGAGCGCAAGCCAGGGCCGGGGTATGACCTGGGCGTAAATGCAGACAAGGCAGTGGTTAGTCCTGGGGAGCCTAGAGGAGGCACGAGCATTCCACAGTACATCTCGGATGATCTCACAGGCGGAGATGTATGTTGAGTTAGAAATCATGCCAGGTAAAACGAGGAGTTACTTCTCACAAGTCATGCTAGGGGTGAGGCTAGAGGGGGAGGGAGGGGGAGACATTTTATGGAGGGCTTTTTATTTTTGTTTTCAGCTCATATGACTATGACAAGCACAATATCATCCAAAGTTAGGCAGGATTCCAGCCTTCATTTAGTGAACACAAACACAAGGGGGTGGGTGTGGGACACAATTCCACAATAAACAGCAACAGGACAATCAGGAGGATGTTTCCGCCTGAGAGCACACACACACCATGAGCCTCAGGCCTGGGCCTGAGAAGGACTCTCATTCTGAGAACAATGACTTTCCATTGTTAGGTAATTGTGTGTCCAATTAGAAAAGATATTGAAAATTAGATGACTGCAAAAGTGAGTAATGAAGTTTTGTCACTTTATATATGCTTCATAGAAAATAGACACCAATAACTGGTTTTAGAAAAATGGAATCATTTCAGTAGATCAGAGACAGGAAAGCACAGGTTGTTTGTGATTAAAAATGTACAATCATTTAGGAGAAATTTAACAAATTTTTTTTTTGACAGAGTTTCACTCTGTCACCCAGGCTGGATTGTAGTGGCATGGGGCCTTGATTTTACTACAGCCTTGTCTTCCGGGCTCAAGCAATCCTCCCACCTCAGCCTCCCGAGTAGCTGGGACTATAGGTGTGTGCCACTACTACCGGCTGATTTTTTCTTTTTTTGGTTTTTTTTTTTTGAGTCAAGGTCTTGCTATGTTTCCCAGGCTGTTCTCAAACTCCTGGGCTCAAGCGATCCTCCCACCTTGGCTTCCCAAAGTCCTGGGATTAAAGGCGTGAGCCATCACACCTGGCCTAACAGAATATTTAAAAATGGCCACTCACCAATCAAAGTCTCAAATCTAAAATGTAATGGATGTGAGAAAATTACTATGCTTGTCATAATTAGAACCATGTTATTCTCATTTAGACTCAATGGATCCAATCCAGATAAGAAAACTGTCTTAACTCATAATATAGGTTCCTTGGGGAGGTAGATTAAGTCTTTGACTTGATTATTTCCTTATCCAACCTTTATCCTACTGGCCTGAAAAGGGTTAGCTGCCTTCTCAGCTGGCCAAAGTTTCCACTACACAGTGAGTAGGGCACTTGCTCAGTAATTCAGAGGAATGGCTCAATGAAACTTAACGTTTTGTTGTTTTGTTTATCATCACTCGACCTGCTCTCCCCACCCTGCCCTTTAGGACATCATTCCTTTTTCTGGTATGAAAACAAATAAGAATGAACAGGTAGTTTAACATTCCATTTCACGAAAGTCAGTGATGAGTAAAGGAATTATGGTTGTACTGCTATATAAAATTGCCCCAAACGTTCCCAGGCCTTTGGGATGCAGGTGCGCACCAACCCAGGGCTCTTGTTCCTAAGGTCACTATCAGCTGAACAAACCTTCAATGCAGCAGATTTACACCAGGAAAAGCAAAACTAATTTATTCTATTCTCTTTGACCATTTTGGAGAAAAACTGTGGGCCTCTGCAGGCCAACCCTAAGTCTACAGTAGTGTTAAGAGGGTGAGGGAAGGTGAGGCGGGAAAACCAAGGAAATGGAGTAATAGGGAACTTTCTGCACTTCCTAGATGAGTCAGGTGGGGGACACAGCAGGGTACATGCTAGGATACATGGGGCTGCAAAATCAAAACTAATAAGAGTTAGCTAATGATAATCAGTATGGCTGCTTACTTCTGAGAAATAGGCATGAGCTGCTAATTCCAATACCTGTAATAAGCAGTTAATTGAGTTACATTAATACATTATAATACTTTAATTAAATGCCACATTTTAAAAATTACATAATTCATAAACATCCAGAAGTTCCTTTTTTGCTCCCCAAGGTTAATAGGCATTGTGCTTAAAATGGCAGTTTAGTACAATTCTAGTAGCCATTCCTTTCAAAATTTCTTAGGAAGCAGAGTAGAAAGCTTCTGTTAAGAATTAGTTCATTAGGAAAGGAACATTAATACAGATCAGGGGAAGCTTCAAGCCTAGACGTTAATTAAGAAATTTTACTCTTGTTCCTCACATTTCCATACTGGGAATATGAGTTCTGATCTGTACTTAAAGAAAAAAAAAGTTTGATCTCAGAATGAACTTAAATACAATCAAAGATCCAGGTTTTTATTTGAGCCCTTGAGCATGCATTAATGACATGTGTAGTCCCTAACTCTTCAGCATTTGCAGTTAAAATTTTGAGTGTCAACTTGAAACTCTTAGTGTGTCTAAGATATTTTAACCACTGTGCTGAGGAGTTAGAGACCAGCTGCTGGCATTACATGCAAAATGGACAGCACTGGGTGGCCTACAGGTAGACTATGTGATTTACAAAAAGACAGACAGGACAAGTTATCCTTGCTTGATTTCTCACACACAGGACTTCCAAGGGGGACAGAATTCTTAAGTGCCTTTTATACTAGCTCCTATCTTTCTCATTTCCTCTGGCTTCAACTAGCTTATGGAAGGTACCTGCAGTCGCTGTTGACTTTTTCCACTTACCATTTTCATCTACAGCAAGTACACAGGCCCCTTTGGCCAGCAACTCCTCAACTACCACCTTTAAGCCATTGCGCGCAGCGACGTGGAGGGGTCTAAAAAACACAAGACCGAGCATCAGTTGTGATACATATTTGGGTGAGAATGTGGAATTTTTGTTAGCCCATGTCACTAAAAGGAAGAAGTACTTAGACTCTACAAATAGTACATGGATGTTTTTACTTAAGAAAAAAAAATGCTGACCAGATCTTTTCCAGGTGCTAATGGTCCAACTGTTGTTGTATGTTTGGCCCAGATCTTGCTGCAGATATTACAAATATTCTGCATCTCAAACAATCTCAATGACAGTAAATACGAAGACAGAGGAAGAACTCAAGCTTTGTTGTGTTTTGCAGAAGGCCCTTTACTGCTTGATTTCTAACACAGCATTTGAATCACTGTTTCACACAGTTCAACAATATGACTGGCATTAATATCAGTCATATATATGTATAATTTCAAACTTCCTTGTTACTACTAAATGCACACAGATGTTTTACTGAATTTATAATACCTTAAAGAATTATGTCAAACTCAGTATATTGTGCTATATACTGCTTAAGAATCTTTTTCTTTTTTTTTGAGACAGGGTCTCACTCTGTCACCCAGGCTGGAGTGCAGTGGCACGATCACAGCTCACTGCAGCCTTGACCTTCTGCTGGGCTCAAGTGATTCTCCTGCCTCAGTCTCCTGTGTAGCTGGGACTACAGGTGCAAACCACTGTGGCTGGCTAATTTTTTTATTTTTTGTAGAGAAGGGGTTTCATCATGTTGGCCAGGCTGGTCTCAAACTCCCGGGCTCAAGTGATCTACTTGCCTCAGCCTCCCAAAGTGCCGGGATTATAGGCATGAGCCACGACACCCAGCCAACAGTCTTCTTCTTCTTCTTCTTCTTTTCTTTTTTTTTTGTGGGGGGACAGTCTCGCTCTTGTTGCCCAGGCTGGAGTGGTGCAGTGGCACGATCTCAGCTCACAGCAACCTCCACCTCCCAGGTTCAAGTGATTCTCCTGCCTCAGCCTCCCAAGTAGCTGAGGTTACAGGCACCCACCATCATGCCCAGCTAATTTTGTTGTTGTTGTATTTTTAGTAGAGACGGGGTTTCACCATGTTGGCCAGGCGGGTCATGAACTCCTGGCCTCAAGTAATCCAACTGCCTCGGCCTCCCAAAGTGCTGGGATTAAAGGCATGAGCCACCACGCCCGGCTTAAGAATCTTAAATGAAAAAAATTCCTTTGCCTTTAAAACAAATGCATAAATAATTTCCTAAAGCGGAAAATGAAACAGCTTTTAGATCTTTCACACCAAGGGTTACACTGAATTATATTAAAATATAATCAAGACAAATAGCTTAGAAACTCTTCAAATGTATTCTGGGAAACTGATTTGCAAAACTGTCATTTTCCAGTCAGAATACATAATGCTAATACATAATACAAATAGTTTCCCCAAATATGTCAGTCCATAAAATTTTTCTAACAGCCCACTAAATTTATAATATTACCCCAGAAATATCAGCAAAGAAAAAGAGAGACTTCACAAAATTAAATGAAGACATATCAAAAGAAGGATTCTAACTAAAACTGCCCAGCTTGGTCAGCACTTGTAGGTATGTGACTGTCACCTTCATGCAGGGGAAGCCAGGACTGCATCTTTCACCACTGTGCTCCCCAGAGCTAGTCTGGCACACAGCAGGCTCTTAATACTTATTGAATAAATGACTATGACCCTGGGTTCAAGTCCAACTTTAGTAGTTACACTTACGTCTGCAGTGCATTATTTTTTTCATTAATAAGGCTCTCGTCTTGTATCTTGTCAAGTATTAACAAGGCACATTTTTCATGACCCTAATAAAGAAAAAGAATGATAAGAAATGCAAGATAGAGACACAGAAAAGTTACTGAGAAATTTCTTCATTATGATTTAAATTGAAAATGAATGTCGTCTGCCTAAGAACATTCTATAGGGCTATTTTCTGAGTAATTTTTTTTCTTCTCAACAACAAATGGGCTCCAGACACTCTAAGAGTCCTAATAAGGTCTATTAGAACTTGGTTAACATAAGTCTGATCTAAAATATTAATACTGCTAAGATAAATTTTAAAATTAATCCCCAGAGAGGTAAAGCAGATGCTAGTTCAGCTAGGTCAGCTGGTAACTAGGGAATAGAAATAGGAATACTGTCTGAATCCTATAACATTTAGCATACATCAAAAGTCCCACCTCCTATTTCAAGACGTCAGTTACTACTTCAATTATCCATTTATCCTTGGAATTCCCATTACATCTATTATCTATATCATTCATCATCATTAATTGCCTTATATTGTGAAGAAACCCTATTTCAGGAAAACTCATTGTTTTCTTCTTCAATCAGTGGAAGATATCTCTGTACCTTATGAAGATAGATGGTTAATAATTTTTGAAAATCAACTGATGAGTCAGAGACTCTTACAATTTCAGGCCTGGTACCCTTTTAAGGGGTTATGGCTTCCTAAGCCCTTGCTAATCAACATGTGGCGTGCAGACCAGTCACATTAGTATTACTGGGAGTTAGAACTGCTGAATCTCAAGCTCTGCCCCAGACCTAATATATCAGAATCTGTTTTTTTCACAGAACTCCCAGGTGATTCGTTTGCATGATAAAGTTTGAAAAGCATTGCACTTATATTCACCAAAATACTATACCTTGAAATAAACTTCATAAGGCTGAGCACTTTTTGTGGTTCCCATGGGCTTCCCAGAGCATGAAGTGAGAAAATGTAAGCAATGAAAGGAATGGCTGAGACTACTGGTACCATATAGGTAACACTGATAATATTTTAACTACATTGAAATAAATCACCGCCATGGGTGCCAACTGGCTTCATACTATAATGCCTTGTATGGGAGACCCTTAAATATAATTTTAGAAATGTCCATGGAGGTTTCATTCTGAGGCACTGCTGTTGGAAGGTAAACTGTTGTGACCTCGTAAGAGGGCAAGTTGGTCTAAAAATATTTATATCTGGCTGGGTGCAGTGGCTCATGCCTGTAATCCTAGCACTTTGGGATGCCAAGGCGGGCGGATCACGAGGTCAGGAGTTCGAGACCAGCCTAGCCAGCATGGTGAAACTCCATCTCTCCTAAAAAATACAAAAATTAGCCGGGCATGGTGGCGCATGCCTGTAGTCCCAGCTACTCGGGTGGCTGAGGCAGGAGAATCACTTGAACTTGGGAGGCGGAGGTTGCAGTGGGCCAAGATTGCGCCACTGCACTCCAGCCTGGGCAACAAGTAAGACTCTGCCTCAAAAAAAAAAAAAAAAAAAAAAATTATATCCTTAGACTCAATAATTCCACACTTAGGAATTTATCTTAAAGTAATGAGTAAGGATGTTTATAAAAGATTCCTCTGCAATAAGCATTATTTATACAGGTTGAGCATCCCAAATTCGAAAATCTGAAATAAAAAATGCTACAAAATCCAAAACTTTTTGAATATTGACATAACACTCAGATTTTTGGATTTGGGATAATCAACATGTATAATACAAATATTCCAAAATCCAAAAAATCCTAAATCTGAAACACTTCTAGTTCCAGGAATTTCAGGTAAGAGATACTGAACTTGTACTAACATATAACTGAAAACAAGTTATTTGTCTAATAATAGGAGATGGGTTGAATAAAAGATGGCCCATTCCTAAGCTGAAATACTACATATCTTCTAAAATACCATAAAACATGATGTTTAAAAGATATTAATATTATACGATTCAGCAACATAACGAAGTTTTGTAAAATCATATATATGATATAAAAGATAAATTATATATATATATAATTTTATATAATTTATCTTTTTTTTTTTTTTGAGATGGAGTTTCACTCTTGTTGTCCAGGCTGGAGTGCAATGGAGTGATCTCAGCTCACTGCAACCTCTGCCTCCCGGGTTCAAACGATTCTCCTGGCTCAGCCTCCTGAATAGCTGGGATTACAGGCATGCGCCACCATGCCCGGGTAATTTTGTATTTTTAGTAGAGACAGGGTTTCTCCATTATGGTCAGGCTGGTCTCGAACTCCCGACCTCAGGTAATCCACCTGCCTCGGCCTCCCAAAGTGTTGGGATTATAGGTATGAGCCACTGCTCCCGGCCTAAAATTTATCTTTTATGGAAGAAGGAATCTTGAGCAACATGTGAACACACCACTATTTGAAAAAAAAAATCACATTTTTTGCATTGAACTGTACACCAGAAAAAAGGGGGAAGGGTAGAAATACACATATATCTATTTATTTGCTTCACAGTAGAGTATTTTTTGGCTGTGTTACTACAATGTCTTCAAATGGAACAAAATGAAAACAAGTAAAACTGCTTATACTTTACAAGCCACATAACTAAGGTCCTCACTTTTATGTGGTACCAAAATGTGGTACAACAACCAGAGAGACAGATACGATGGCAGCATCAAGACAGACAGACTACAGCAAGAATGCAAGTGGCAAATGCCATGAAAAGCATGTCCTCAGTATTTGTGTTGATGAAGATATGCTTCTTCAACACGAATGCATTGTTGGGTCTGTCCTTTCCTTCTCATCCTTCCACTTTCAGTTGACAAGACCCTGGGAAAATGTACATCTTAATTAAGAGCCATGCTACACAGTTCCGAGGTAGAATTTCAGTGTTATTATTACTGTTATTATTATAACGTGAAGTAATAATATTTTAAATTCATTTACATACTTTACTACAAGCCAAATGTAAGGGTGTATTCAAGTCCTTATCCTTTACAGTCAGATCAGCCTGGGCACTGTTCACCAAAATATCTGTAGAAAAAGCCCAAAAGAGGGTTACTTAGATGAGATGCTAATTACATGCATTTTGAAGAAGTTACTACAAACACAATAACATATTTAAATTAGTACAGTTCACATAATCATATTTAATGTATTTAAAGAAAAAAGGGAGTAATTTATTCTCATATCTGTGCTATCCAAATCCAAGGTTAATAGGCACTAATTTTAACTGCTTTTACAGTTCATTATTCCC
Source organism: Homo sapiens (assembly GCF_000001405.40). Lineage (NCBI taxonomy): Eukaryota > Metazoa > Chordata > Mammalia > Primates > Hominidae > Homo > Homo sapiens. The sequence continues at coordinate 196,998,643 of NC_000002.12, forward strand.
AGTTAAAATGATTCTGTTGTTACACTTGGTTTCTAAATGTTGATAATTTCATTGCAGAAGGGTTAGCTCTTTGACAAGGTCCACCAAGAATCAAAAAACAGGGAACTGAAAGACGCTTGAGCAGGTAGAATCAGGTGACTTAAGTAAAACTGCTAATGGCCCTTTTCCACGTGTATATACTATGAGAACAACTGATTTCTTGATTTGACATTATTTTGGTTTTTGCATGGGCATAAGGGCAAAGTCCATACAACAAGCACATACCCACAGCGCCTGCCTGCCCATTCTCAGCAGCCATCATCAGTGCTGTTTTCCCTGAATTATCTACTGCGTTCACTGGAGCACTGTGTCTCAGAAGAAGCTGCAAGCACTCCACATGATCAGCAAATGCTGCCGCATGAAGGGGTGTCCTAAAGATTTAAAACAAGTATCACTTTAGTTTCCTTTAAACTTTATTCTCGCTAGTTACTGCCCAAGAAACATGCACAAGGTGTTGTCTTAAGGATTTAAAACTTCTCAGTTTATAGACATAGTGATCAGGTCCCCTCCCTCTAAAGGTCATCCAGGATAGACACTGAAATATCACCTATGGGACTGGAACCCCCTAGATTTGGGAGGGGGGTGTGTGTTGGCCCTGATAATGAAATTAGTGTCTTTACTGACTCTTTAATCTTAAGTTCCAGTGAGTCTACTTTTATCTTTGAGATAGATACTTTAAAAATTAATGCTTAAGTCTGTAGATAATTGGCAGATTAAATAAAAATTTTAAAAACCCGTCACATCATCTATTTTGGTTGCTTAATTTCTTTTAGAGGATAATTTGGCATTATTTATCAAAATTTAAAAATATCAACCCTTTAACCAAGAAATCCACTTCTAGGTATTTATCTCTCAGATACACTTGGTCATGTGTACAGACACTTATTTATTTATTTATTTATTTATTTATTTATTTATTTATTTATTTTTGAGATAGAGTCTCACTCTGTTGCCCAGGCTGGAGTGCAGTGGCACAATCTCGGCTCACTGCAACCTCTGCCTCATGGGTTCACGCCATTCTCCTGCCTCAGCCTCCTGAGTAGCTGGGACTACAGGCGCCTGCCACCACACCCGGCTAATTTTTTATATTTTTAGTAGAGATGGGGTTTCACCATGTTAGCTAGGACGGTCTCTATCTCCTGGCCTCATGATCCACCCGCCTCGGCCTCCCAAAGTGCTGGGATTACAGGCGTGAGCCACTGTACCCTGCCCAGACACACATATGAGAATGTTCACCACACCACACTTTGAAACAGCAAAATATTGGAAACAATCTAAATGTTCTTCAATAGAGGGCAGGATGAGCAAATTATAGCATATCCATTCAATGAAATAATATGTAGCTTCAAAAAGAATATGGTAAATCTGTATGTTTTGGTATGGAAGGATCTCCAAGATATACTAAAAGCAGAGCATTGTTACAGAATGCTACCATGTGCAAAAAAGAATATATGGATATATACATATATGTGTATATATGTTTGTAGATATGCATAAAAATATTTAGGAGAAAATAAAATTTGTAAATAACAGTGTATAGTAGCTTTCTCTGTGGAAGAGGCTAGGGATTCTAGGCTTAGAGGGAAATTTATTTTAATTATACACCCTCTGTAATATTAAAAACCATGCTTATCCATTATTCTTTCAATTAAAAACATAGATGTTTGGCTACTCTGCAACTGCAAAGCAGAGGGTAAGATTCATCAAGAAAAAAGCATGCTGTTTTAGATTACTTACCTGCCTTTGTCATCTCTACAACTGACGATACTGGAATCTATGGCCCCAAGCAGCAATGATGCACAATTCCCATGATCATTGATTCTAAAATGAAAATGGGTTTTAATGTAACAATCTCACTCTTTTAAATTATATCACCTCCTAACCCATCTTCCTATGTACTGTATATTTGACAATCTGAAGCATTTAAAAAATCGAACGTAAATATTTGTGGTATATGTTTCAATGGCATACATTTTGTAACCCCTAGCATTACTTCAGAACCTCTATATCCAGGTAGAAGTTTATTGCACTTATGCAAGGCACCATGTTAGGCGTTTTGGAGACATCAAAGTGGAATAGACATGCTTCCTTCAGATTTAAAATCTTTCTGACCTTTGGGAGGCTGAGGCAGGTGGATCATGAGGTCAGGAGTTCAAGACCAGCCTGGCCAATATGGTGAAACCCAGTCCCTACTAAAACTACAAAAATTAGCCAGGCGTGGTGGCGCGCACCTGTAGTCCCAGCTGCTTGGGAAGCTGAGGCAGGAGAATTGCTTGAACCCGGGAGCCAGAGGTTGCAGTGAGCCGAGATTGTGCCACTGCTCTCCAGCCTAGGCGACAGAGCGAGACTCCGTCTCAAAAAACAAAATATAAACAAAATAAAATCTTTCTGACTCTTTTTTACTTATACTTTCTTTATTGATCTACTTTATGCCTCCAATATCTTTCCAATCAAATGACTCAGTTTCATATAAAGGCCAGAGACAATGTAAAGACAAAGAATCCTCAGGTCTTGGGCCCCCAGGCTAACTATGGAAGCCCAGTTGAAAACAGACTCCCAGGCTGACTATGGAAGTCTGACTTAAAGTCACTGTATCCTCTGAACTATGATTCACTATTGAGACTGGAGCAAAAATTAAATTTATCAGACAAGAGCTTACAACATATGAAAGATGAAGAATTTCAATATATGAAAAGTTGTCCCAGTGTGAAATGCCTTTCTAACCATCTGTAGGCATACTGTTGTCAACGCTGACTTATTTTTAGAATTTGGCAGACAAATGTGAGTTATACCTGAAGAGTTCTTCACATGGGTAATGCACCTCTCACTCTACCCCTTCACGAGATTTCCCGAGGGTGGCATCTTTGCCACTTTGGAACTGTGGCACTCCACAAAAATCTCCGGGAAAATCATTAATATTTTGCTATCAGATCTACTTGTCTTTAGCAGCAAAAATGGAATATTTCAGTCTTATCTGTAATCTAAAAGACTTTTTTCCCTACAAAGCAACTTTTCTATGTGTAGTTAAAATCATTAAAGCAACATCATTAACTCTCAGCGTTTCTACTTACATTGCACAGTGCAGTGGAGTAAAGGGATTACCGATAAATTTGCGAAAACATTTTTGCTCCAAAAGTACCTCTATACAGTTTTCATTACCTGCAAGAAATAAAAATAATTTAGGGAGTTTCCAAGAAAGAAATTTTGTTCAACCCAATCTGCTTTTTCATTAAGTATTGAGTTTTTGGTTTATGAATTTTCCTGAATTGGCTGAACATTCATTCTCCATGAAATAATATTAACAAAATGCCAAAATGTTATTAACATGTTCACAGGTGTTCTGAGACTTAATGAACAAATAAAACAATGAAGGTCATATGGTCTGGTGAAGAGAGACAGAGAAGATGACTCATTTGCAAGCAGAATATATTCTGTTTTATTCTCAGCTCTTGAAAGATAGATGCCTCACACAGGCATGCTTCAATTTGTCCACATTTATAAGAGGAAATGTACCTTTCACCCATACAAATACTTCCACTTACATTATGCATTCTAGTGGAGAGGCGAAACTGTGATTAGGAGAAAACAGTATTTGAGATAATGCATGTGAAAATTGACTATAAAATACTATATGTGTTTTAACTGCCCCCAAGAACAGTTCTTGGCACATCATGGGCATTCAGTAAGCACTATTCAAATAAGTAGATGAATGAATATGTGAAATTATTTTCAACAAAATGGTAGGTAGTTTCCAAATCAACTGAATTCAAGTTAAGTAAGGTCCTAGCTGTCAGCTTACTTGTTATGTGATCTGAGGCAATTTACTTGGGATCTCTGAGCCTCAGTTTCTCACATATTCAAAACTGGACTAGGAATACCTGCCCTACCTATGTCACAGGATGGTGAGAACTTTACTCAATAAAGGGCCTCAGTGTGGTTTGTGACGTTCTATACAATTGTAAGACAGATCTTGCTGCCTGGTATTGTCTCCCAGGAAGAAGGGTGATGGTTCCCCAGCCTGACTAAGCATTCCCTCATTACAGACCTGGTTAAAACAAAAAACAAAAAACAACGACAAAGTCTCTGTGGTTCTCAATTCTAATGTGGGAAGGCATTGCCATTTTGCTTTGCAACACAGATTGTCCTGAAACCTCTTCTTGGTTGAACTCAGTGCTAAGTTAGTGAAAGTTCCCTTATGATCTACCTCAGAATGATGTAGATGGGACAATTTGAAATATTAAAATACAAATCAAACTTTTCTTATATCTAAAAAGAGAATAGGCAATATTGCTTTTAGACAGATTAAAAAGCTTATGAAGTAATAAATATAAAAAACTGGCAGTGGCTGGGCATGGTGGCTCATGCCTGTAATCCCAGCATTTTGGGAGGTCGAGGCGGGCGAATTACTTGAGGTCAGGAGTTCAAGACCAGCCTGGCCAACATGGCGAAACCCCATCTCTCCTAAAAATACCAAAAAAAAAAAAAGATGTGTGGTGGTGCCTGTCTGTAGTTCCAGCTACTCGGGAGGCTGAGGCAGGAGAATCGCTTGAACCCAGGAGGCAAAGGTTGTGGTGAGCCGAAATCACGCCACAAGCCTGGGTGACAGAGTAAGACTCCATACACCCCTAGAAAAAAAAAAGCCAGCAGCTCTAGGAAAGTTGTATGATTTAGCCTTCCAACTAACTACATGGAACCGTCATTGAAATAGTCCCAGACACCTCAAGTCTTCCAAAGGATCTAGCTTAGGGTAGCATCCACACATAGCATTCCTTAAGTGGGGACTATATGAATCCCAATTTAAGAGTCTGTACAGGTAGGACTGGAGATGACTGAGCTCCTTTCAATATTTCAAAGTGCCTAGTAAAAAGGAGTCTGGGAAGATGGGAGCTTGAAACTCAGTCCTGGACAAAGGCTGCACTGAAAGGGTGAACGGCTTAGGAGGAGACTGCTCCTCCTCCCCTGCCTGTACCTGGAGAGGCTAGGAACACAGACACCTCTCACCCTGAGCCCTGAAGAGAGGATCTGGTCTGTGTCAGGTTTGCGGCCCGCCATTATAATCAGCACTCTCACTGCATCCTTCTCCTCTTGTAGGTTCTCCAGTGCCAGAGAGCTCCCACAGCTTGACCCAGATGGGGGTCACCCATTAGTAGGTTAAAAAAAAAAATCACAATCCTCCAATGGCAGGAAGGGAACAAAACCAAGTTGAGGAAATAGAAAATTTGGCTCTTACTGAGCAGAATGAATGAAAAAAGAGGACCGTAGTGAAAACACAGTAAGAGGTCTTAAATTGATATAATTAGAACACACACACACACACACAAACGCCTTTTGTGGAACTATTAATGGTTTCTAAATTAAAATTTTAATTGACTAATTGAAAATGTAAAAAGAAAATTATAGAAGCAAAGTAAAAAATACATGGGAAAATATCCATATAATCTTAGGGGTAGGAGACCTTTTGAAGAGAGACTGGAAACCTGGAAACCATACAAAATCTGATAGGATCTTGGTTTTGTTCATTGACATATTTCAAGTATCTAAACAGTAGCTGCCATTGTAGTTATTCAATACATATTTGTTGAAAATATAATAGAAATGTATCTCTGTAACTGATTCAAGTACATAAAAGCTCAAAATCTCTAAGTGGAAAAAAACATCCTAAACAAGGAACAAAAATATTCATATTTCTAAGACATTCATATCATTAAACATTCATTCATATCACATTCTTATCACCAAGACAAGGTGCTCCCACAAGCATACGAGAAAAGATAAATAGCTCAATAGGAAAAAAGTGAACAGTGGATGGAAAAAGTAATTTCTAGAAGAAGAAATACAAATAGCCAGGGTACTATTAGATAGGGAAATGCAAATTGAAACAAGAAGATACCTTTTGCCTCTCAAATCGACAAAAATTTAAAAAGGTGTTATTCTGGGTTGGCAAGCATGAGGAAAAACACTAACTTTTATACAAATGTTTGGTGAAATAATAAATTTTGATATCCTTTTTGCAAAATAATATGGTATAATTTATTAAAATTAAAAAATACACAAACCCCCTTACTCAATAATTTTATTTCTGGAAACTTATCTGAGAGAATTTATGGTACCATAATATGGACATGCACATTGCTGCATTGCTTGTAATAGGAAAAAAGAAATCTGAATGTCAATCCACAGAAACCTGGTTGAATAAATAATAAGTTCTGGTATACATATTGCTATGAAATAATATACAACCATTATAAGATCAATCCATATTGATACATATTGACTTGTAAGAATATCTGCAATACAATTTAAACACCAACAAAAAATTATAGAATGGCTGCTATTTGTTCTATAATTCCAGTTTCAAAAAATATACACATTAATTTATAATTATTTATATTTTCAAAGGAAAAATTATGAAAGATGCACACAAAATTACATTAGAAAGTAGGTTTAGAAATGGAAACAATTTTACTTCAGATATTTCTGTACTTTGGAATTGGTATAATTAGGATGCATTTTTAAATTAAGTGAAATACAAATTTAAAAATCTCCCAAATAATAAGTACAACAAAATAAATAAGGAATATGAAACACAACAAACACCAAAAGATGAACCATGCATCTACTAGTAATCAATTGTGACAGGTTATTAAATTATATACATATATTTGGTATTAGTTTTATTATTTTAATCCCTTGTGGGATCCTGGTTATATTATATAGATCAGAAACCCTGAATAAAATTGGTCATTTAAGCTTATCGGTTCTGATTACGGTTAAGTGTTAATGATTAACTAAAAGGGGAAAGTGAACTTTTACTCAGTTAAGGCATCACAGCAGCTGTGGAGGGGTGAGAACTATTAAAAAAACAAACAAAATACACAAAAAAGATATCTTGGATGCAGAAAGATTAGAAACCATGGTTTGCAGAATTACATAAGGCTCTCACCTCCACTGAGCTCACAGTGGTCCTGGGGTAGGAAGTCTAGTGGAATCAGTCAAATGATAAGCAACTCACCATTGTAACAAGCCCAGTGCAGCGGCGTGTAGCCTTGGTTATCTTTGAAACAACAGTCCTCCTCAGAAAGAGCCATTTGGAGCAGCTCGCTCAGCCACGTGGCGTGGCCACGAGCAGCTGCATAGTGCAAGGGCGTCCTCCCTCTGGAATCTTTACAGAGAATTGACACTTCTTGTTCCAGCAGCATTTGCACACATTCCTCGTGTCCTGTCATAATCTGATGCATTGTAATTAAAAACACAAAACAAACCTCAGAAGACTAAGGAAGCAAAGCAGTTGGCTAAGTGAGGCTGGGCTTAGAGCAAGTGGACATATGCCTGGGTCTTTAAGGAAGGCAGACTCTGTCCTATTTCAAGGGCAGAAGGCAGGACAACCTCAGCAAAATTCATAACAGAAAAATCTGTGAACATCAGCATTTTCGAAATATCTCTTGCCTCTCCTGACAACTGTGAAAGATATCATGATGCGGCCGGGCGTGGTGGCTCACGCCTGTAATCCCAGCACTTTGGGAGGCCGAGGCAGGAGGATCACTAGGTCAGGAGATCGAGACCATCCTGGCTAACATGGTGAAACCCCATCTCTACTAAAAAAAATACGAAAAATTAGCCTGGCATGGTCGTGGGTCCCTGTAGTCCCAGCTACTTGGGAGGCTGAGGCAGGAGAATGGCGTGAACCTGGGAGGCAGAGCTTGCAGTGAGCCCACATTGCGCCACTGCACTACGGCCTGGGCGACAGAGCAAGACTCCATCTCAAAAAGAAAGAAAGAAAGATATCATGATGCAGCAGTAAACATGAGTTTTAGAATCAGGAAGATCTAAGTGAAATCTTGGCACCCCTGTGACAGGTCAGTTCGCCTCTCCATCCCTCACTCTATTCACCTATATATAAGAATAGTAATAACAACTTCAGAGGACGTTGTGAGGACTGAGATAACAGATGCAAAGGCTCTCAGCTTGTTGTACAGCACACAGGAAGCAACTGAGAAATAAAAACTATGACTGTGACAATGATCACATAGCGTTCCTCTTCTCTTCATTTATCAGTGTACTTGGTACCAGCCCAAAATAGCAATTTTATGATTTCTGCTTGTGTTTACTTAGTTTATTTGGCATGCTTTAAAAAACAGTTCAGAGGGTGCAAGTGGCTAATGCCTGTAATCCCAGCACTTTGTGAGGTGGAGGCAGGAGGATCACTTGAGCCCAGCAGTTTGAGACCTGCCTGGGCAACATGGCAAAACCCCATCTCAACAGAAAATACAAAAATTAGCTGGGCATGCTGGCATGCACCTGTGGTCCCAGTTACTGGGGGGAGTTGAGGTGGGAGGATCATTGAGCCTGGGAGGTGGAGGTTGCAGTGAGCTGAGATTGTGCCACTACACTCCAGCCTGGGTGATAAGAGTGAGATTAAAAAAAAAAAACCAAACACTTCAACAGATGTGTGCAAATAATTGCCCACAGGATACATATTTTGGCATTATTTGTAAGGACAAACAATTAGAAATTGCATAACTACTGAAAACCAGGTAATCATTGAAATAAACTATGACACTTGAACACAATGAGGCATTAAAAATCATGATGCAGAAAAAAATGAAATGAAAAAAGATCCTTGATATACTAAGAGAAAAAAGCAGAATCCAAATGATATCTTCAGTATTCTCTTTTTAAAATCTAAAACAAATCTATATATAGAAAAAAGATTGGAGATAATATACATCAAATAGTGGTTATCTCCAGGAGGTATGATTACTGGTGATTGTGATTTTCTTCTCTGGGCTTTAAAAAAAAATATTCTGCAAATTTTCTATGATATACTTGTATTTTGTAGTCAGAAAGCAGAACCAATTTCACCAGCAGTAGGTGTTCATGCATCTATTATCACAATCTAACATGAAATCTTAAGAGCAAAACCTTCCATTATTTTGCCTTTGCCAAGGATTTTGTAATTTCTTTTGGACTGAATAAGGTTAATTGGTTGTATTAGGAAACAATTTTTGCTAAACATTTTTTGCTAAAAATCCAATCAAAGTAGGCCCTTTGTAATTGTTTGCTAAAAAAGAAAACAAGCTCATTAAAAAAATTGCTTGACTAGAGCTGAGAAAGATGTACATACCCCTCTGTGTAAAGCTGTGCATCCTAGGATGTCAACAGTGTCTACGTTGGCTTCCTTTTCAAGTAACAATGAAACAGCGTCAATATGTCCATATGCTACTGCAAGCATCAGTGGTGTTCTAGGCAGAGAGATAAAGCAGGCTTTTAAAAAGGAGATTTAAAAAAATATTCATCACTACCAGTAGGAAGACATTCTCTTTCTCCCATTCTCTTCCCCTCTCCTTTTGACAATTTCTTAATATTTTCTAAGTGTCCCCAGTTTGCTATACAATATGCAGAACAAGCTATCTGCCTCTGCTCTAATGGCCACATGGAATGTTGTTAGTGGAATGATCCCTAGGGATGAGGCAGGGGAAGCTTCCTTTTCAAAATATTCATGTTAATCCCATCATTTTCAGATCCATGTAGCATTTACTAGATATCAAGGGCGGGGAGTATGTGTATGCAGAAGCCCCTCTTGCTTCCATCAGAGCAGCTCTACTTTGTAGTATTCTATGTTGGACTTCTGCTAAAGATTTCATTTACACAAAGCTTCTTTCCCTAAAGAAAAGTCTGTCAAGTCTCCGGGAAAGAATGAAGTGTTGTGATGCAAGAGGGAGGTGAGATTCTGACTATCACACTGATTCACATGCCTGGGGCTAGTCACTGCTGACTTTTGCTCTGCATTTCCTATTTGTAAGAGAAGATTAGGTGGGGAATATGCCAACAGAAGGAAATTACTTTGAAAAAGCAAAGTTGAGGAAGAAAAGGCATCTGAAGGATTTTAATAATAGAGATAACCTCATGAGGTCTGTCCTATTTATTAATTAGAAAATGGCAATGGTGTAGCAGCTTCAGAAGAAGGTAAAAATGGGCGGAAAGAGGGAACAAAGGAGAGAATATAAATAAGAGCCGGGAAACATGGCCACAGCCCTTAAAAAGGTGATCCTTTCATCAAGACATGTGCACACCCACTCCTTCATGCTTTTCTTGGATATACGCACTGTGACTTAAAGCCACCTCATTGTGTATTGGTCCTGGTCCAAATATATTCCTCCAATTTCTCGGTTCCGCAGTCAGCCTTGTAATGATTTAAGAAACCAACCAGGTAGCTGCTGTGATTGAAATGTCAACCCAAGGCCACGTGTGAGCGCACTTACTGTCCTTTGGCATCTTTCACATCGACCGCCTCCGGGTTGTCTGCAATTTCTAGCAACAGCCGTAAACACAGTGTGTGACCATTAATTACTGAAAAAGAAAACAGTGGACAGTCTTTTAACAGAACAACACTACACATATCTCTTCCAAATGACTTTTTCTTTTTTTTGAGATGGAGTCTTGCTCTGTCGCCAGGCTGGAGTGCAGTGGGGCGATGTCATCTCATTGCAATCTCCACCTCCCAGGTTCAAGCTATTCTCCTGCCTCAGCCTCCTGAGTAGCTGGGATTACAGGCATGCACCACCATGCCTGGCTAATTTTTGCATTTTTAGTAGAGACAGGGTCTCACCATCTTGGCCAGGCTGGTCTCGAATTCCTAGCCCCAGGTGATCCGCCAGCCTCGGCCTCCCAAAGTGCTGGGATTACAGGCATGAGCCACCAAGTGACCTTCTGAGACAGAATCTCACTCTGTCGTCCAGGCTGGAGTGCAATGATATGATCTTGGCTCACTGCAACCTCCGCCTCCCGAGTTCAAGTGATTATTCTGCCTCCCGAGTAGCTGGGATTATAGGCATGCACCACCACACCCGCTAATTTTTGCATTTTTAGTAGAGATGGGGTTTCACCATGTTGCCTAGGCTGGTCTTGAACTTCTGGGCTCAAGCAATCTGACTGCCTTGGCCTCCCAAAGTGCTGGGATTACAGGCATGAGCCACCGTGCCTGGCCCCAAGTGACATTTATTTGGACTTCAAATCAGTGGTTTTCCATTGTTGCCGCTGGATCCCCCTCGGCTTCCAGCTCAAGGTAGTTTCCAGGCAGAGTGCCTCTGTGTTAATCTGTCTTCCCCCTTCTTCCTAGCAGGGTGCATTGATCCCCACCTTCCTTTTCTAGTTCCTGTGTTGAGGGTTTTTTCTTACACTTGGGGTCCTTTCTTATCTCCTGTCATGGGACTAATAATCTCTCCCCACTAGTCAGCTCCCCTTTTTGTTCCTCTGAGTCACCCAATTCCATATAATCATACTGTATCTACCCTGCCTCCAACCCCTTTAAAAAGAAGGAAGAAGGGAGAGAAGGGAGTGGAAGTGTGAGGGGAGCAGGAGCAGGATGGAGGAGGAGGAGGAAGGCGAGGAAGGAAGGAGAGAAGTGGAGGGGAGAGGGGAGACGGTCAGAAGGGAAGGGAGTAGGGACCTGGGGCCGCCTCTTCTCCCAGGTCGTTTTACATTCTGAGGTAGATATTCAGAAGAGGTATTCCTGCAATAGCTCTGACTGATGGGTGGTGGCAGAAAACAAAACCTCACGCCGGCTGGGTGTGCACGCTCCATCCGCTCACTGTTGAGTGACGGTCCCTCAGCCCCACGGTCACCGAGCCACAGGCGGCGCTTTCTCTGACTTCCCAGGCATCCTCGTGCCTGGCCGAGGTGTGACTGGGCTCCCTGGGAGCCCTTTCCTAGGCCAGACTGGGCCTCCCCCTGCCCCTCCTCGCCCAGCGGACCGAGTGGGGGCCAATGTGGGCAGGAAATGCGGCCCCCATGCGGGGCAGGCCTGGACCGGCTGGGGCGGGAGCACTGGATGCACTCCTGTGCACACCAATTCCAGGCAGCTTTAGAAGGCTGTAGTGGTCCCACAGGGGCTGGGAAGCAAACCTGTGATGATAACCTCAGGGTAAGCTGCTTTCTGCCAGGCTATTGAACGCAAACCAAAGCCTTATGATAGGCATGACTTCCCACTCAGGGAGTAAGATGAGAGCAACCGTGGTTAAAATTCCAAATGTGACCTTCTCTCCTCTCTAACAATGAGAAGGCCACAAAGTACATTGTATTTGCCACATTATGGATGTGGAGAGAGAAGGGAATAGACGCCGCTATGTGAGGTTGATAAAGGCTCTCCTAAGAGCTGCATTTTACAGACCTTTTATTTGCTTGCCAGCCACGAGAGAATGCTAATTTAACAATGACACATTTTTTCAGGGACAATACATACATACTGGAATTAGCTTGCATTCATCAACAGCACTCAAATGAACTACAGGAATAATGTGCACATTTTGTAGACCATTGCATTCAGCTAATTCTCAGCAACATTCCATTTATGTATCTCGGGAGGAAATTCTGTGGATTGGAGTACAGGTAATATGTCGTTGCTGCTGCTGTTATGTTTTTTGTTCTTACAATTACACTAAATCTGCTACCATTGGTGAAGTAGGCAAGAAGTTTAATGTATGGCTAAAAGGAAATGACTGGCAAAGGACTGACAGCTGAATACTGCAGATGGCAGGTTCATGAACATGGAAAAACAGCATATTTTGACTGGTTCCTCTTTCTGTAGCAACTTAATACTCTAAATAGTCATAATCATAATAGTTCAAGTGACATTTGATATTTGGCTAAACATAAGAAGAAAAAAATTATCTAACTTCATATAACTCACCCAATGTGTTAGATAGCAAAACAGTTTCTACAGTTGTGCTTTTGTTTTGTTTTGTTTTGTTTTTTGGTACAGTAGCTTTTTGAACTTAGCTAATAGCCCTCAGGTATTTTTTTTTTTTTTTGAGGTAGAGTCTAGCTCTGTTGCCCAGGCTGGAGTGCAGTGGCGTGAACTCGGCTCACTGCAACCTCTGCCTCCTGGGTTCAAGCGATTCTCCTGCTTCAGCCTCCCGAGTAGCTGGGACTACAGATGCACACTACCATGCCCAGCTAAGTTTTGTATTTTTAGAAGAGATGGGGTTTCACCTTGTTGGCCAGGCTGGTCTCGAACTCCTGACCTCAGGTGATCTGCCCTCCTCGGCCTTCCAAAGTGCTGGGATTACAGGCATGAACCACTGCGCCCAGCCCCTCAGGTAAATCTAAGTTCCCCTGAAGTTGGTAGCCAAACTTAAATTCTCTTTGGCTTCCTACACACTACATTTCTTTTTCCCCAAATTGCCTTCTAGCAAAAAGATGCTAACATCTTTAGCTCTGCTGCCAAGTTCAGCTTTGTCTCAGACCAGCTCAGCCTCTTCCTATGAGTGACAACCATTTTTCACACGACTCAAAGACTACAAACTGTCACTCCAACTATCTGTGCCAAAACCTCTCATACTCGTCCTGGCTCTTGCTCCTCATAGTGCTCTGAGGATTTGAAACTCAAAATATTGGCCTCTCAAAAAAGTTGAAAAAGATTTTGGGTAAGCAGATCCTCAAAGCACACGCTAAAGCTTCTGCACAGTAGACATTTTGTGAACAGTCCAGTGACAGTGTCTTTTTAGTGAATGACAGGAGGAAAATCCAAGCTGACTGAGTCTTCTTGACCACTAGGGGGCTTCACTGGACCACAACCCATATCACACTGGCAAATGAGTGAAAATGATTGTTCTTCATTGTTTACCTGTTTATAAGGGCGATTTTCCACAATCAAAGTAGGCCCTTTGTAATTGTCAGGAATTATATAATAACAAAAATAGGATGCTTCTCTTAAAAATAGCAACTAATCTTTTAAAAAGGAGGACAAAATTTGAATTTTATAATAATAACAAGAATGGCTGGGGAGAAAAAAGACTAAATGTGATGAGAAATGAGAATTTATAATTCAACCACACCAACTATTACTAACCTTATGGCTAACGTTTTTTTTTTTTCCAGCAACAATCATTTCCAAGTAAGTAGGCAACAATTAGGTTTTTTCAACCTCTGTATTGTTTTTCTTCAGTGGCTTGGAAATTCAGGGACATAGATGGAAATAGTTTTTTACAAGGTCTATCATTCTGGGAAAATTTTCCCAAGTAACAAGAATCATAAAGTCTTTTGAAAAAGTATCTTCACTTATTTGCTTCCTCAATACACCCATTTCACCAAGTAAGACAGTTATTTATCGTTACAAAATGTTATCTACTACCCTAATCAAAGGCTGATATCACTGGATTTCCTGAGCCAAAGATATCTATGCCTTAGCTGAGCTAGAGACTCTTCCATATTACCCTTATGTCTGTGTATATATCTAGAAGTGTCTTGACACAGGTTTTCATGGGCATGGAAGAAAAATCCCAGAAAAGGCAAATGACTTTCTTTTTGATATATACATGTACTTTTAAAGCGTCTTGATTTTTACATCGATGTGTAAAAAAGCTAAGAAACATCATTTAGGCTGGCAGAATGATGTACTGATTGCTGCCTTATGATTCCTTATGCGAAATAGCCCTGAATACATTAATATGAATATGAAATAGCCATAAAACCTGCTATTGGTTTTATGCTTTCAAATACTGTTTGATTTTGATGTATTTTGTTCTATGTAACTTGTTCTGAAGATTGCATTACACCTTGCCCTTTGTTCAGAATGTTTTGTGGTAGCTTTTAGCCAAAAGTTCTGAACTCTCTTTTGAGTTAACAAGGCCAGAGCACCTGGCCAGAGAACACCAATCACCTCCAAGAGGATAGCAGGCCAAAAGCATTTTGGAAGTGTGGAAGTGCATCTGATGTGGAAAGAAAATTGATATTTAAAAAACTGGGATGAAAGAAGATGCTGCTTTCCTTCTATTAAAACTTACGAACAAGCCACAAAACTAGGGTAATCAGGCCCTTGACAAGACCTACCTGAGGCATGAAGTGGGGTTCTTTTGGTTACATTGTCTTTCACAAAGATGGATGCGCCCTGATTGATAAGCGCTTCCACACATTCTGTGTGTCCTTTAAAGGCAGCCAGATCCAGAGCAGTGCGGCCTTTCTCATCCCTGATGTCCAGGTCCACCAACGACTGCAGAAGGACTTCCAAGGCTTGATGGTGCCCATTGTAGGCCTGCAAAGAAGAAACCAATGGCTCCCATGCTTGCTCGCTCACCTCAAATCCCGCCACAGTCCACAGGAGGGGCTGGGCTTCCTGGGCCATGGATAGAGACCACTCCCAAGAGCACGTCAGAAAAACACTTGGAATATTTATTAAAACTCAGGCAAGCTGGAGAGTTAGACTGAAACACTACAATGCACAAACCTCACAGTTCCATATGAGTTTCGTGTTCTTTCTCTTTTGTCACATAATTTGCTCCAAAGACACTGAATGTATTAATGTATTCTTATATTTATATCTACTGATCTAATCATCTAATATAAACTAACAGCTGAATGAATTACCATATTCTTTTATCTGTCAGTTCAGTCCTAAACATATTGGCATAATCAGAATTTTTTTCCAGGAGTCTTTTCTGATAACAAACCTGGGGGAAAAATTACTAAAAACATTGTGGACTTTGAGATACAACAGAGGCATGTAGATGTTCTGTTATAGGCCAATTCTATACTAATTTCTAACTGTGTGACCTTAGGTGAGTTTCTTAATTTCACTTAGAGTTTGTTTCTTCATGTATAAGATGAGAGCAATCAAAGCTGCCTCCTAGGGTTGCTGTGAAGATGAAATTGCATAGGCTTTGCAAAATATCTTGCATGTAGCTAGTGCCTCTTTTCTCCTTTATTTCTTCCCCTGATTACAATGAAAAACATTTCATTATAGAAACAATTATGGAAATACACTCCATGTAGCAGCACTAAGTTCAGACCTTTTATGAGGTCCTAAGCTATGTTAAGATTAAGAGGCTTGTCAGACACGGTGGCTCACACCTATAATCCCAGCACTTTGGGAGGCCGAGACGGGTGGATCACTTGAGGTCAGGCATTCGAGACCAGTCTGGCCAAAATAGTGAAACCTCGTCCCTACTAAAAATACAAAAATTAGCAGGCATGGTGGCGGTGCCTGTAATCCCAGCTACTCGGGAGGCTGAGGCAGGAGAATTGCTTGAACCCAAGGCGGAGGTTGCAGTGAGCTATTATCACGACTCTGCACTCCAGCTTGAGTGACAGAGCAAGACTCTGTCTCCAAAAAAAAAAACAACAAAAAATGATGCTTTGTACCATCAAAAAACAAAACTAAAAGTCTGAAAGATAATTTTTATTGAGTCTATAAGTTAAAAAATGTATTAGCTGCCCCCCACCCCACCTCTCCACACACAGGCAAAGGACACTGAAAATAAGAGAAGGGAGCTCAGGTTATATGGGGTGAAATGGGTATGGGGGACATGGTCAAGAGCAGTTGAGAAAATTGTTTATTGGTGGCCTGACTCTGAAACTACAGATGATACTTTAAGAGAACATTTTGAGAAATGGGGCACATTCACAGGTTGTGTGGTAATAAAAGACCCCCGAACAAAATGTTCCAGGGGCTTTGGTTTTGTGACCTACTCTTGTGTTGAAGAGGTAGATGCTTGACCACATAGCATTGATGAGCATGTAGAGGAACCAGAGAGCTGTTTCTAGGGAAGATTCTGCAAAGCCTGCTGCCCATCTAACAGCGAAGAAAATATTTGTTGGTGGTATTAAAGAAGATATAGAGGAATAGAATTTGAGAGACCATTTTAAAAGGTATGGCAAGATTACAACCACAGAAGTTATGGAAGACAGGCAGATTGGAAAAAAAGAGAGGATTTGCTTTTGTAACTTTTGATGATCATGCTACAGTTGATAAAACTGTCATTCAGAAACACCACAATATTAATAGGCATAACTTGGAAGTGAAAGAGACCCATTCTATACAAGAGATGCAGTCTGCTGGATTGCAGAGAGGTCGTGGAGGTGGATCTGGCAATTTTATGGGTGGTAGAGGAAACTTTGGAGATGGAGGAAGTAATTTTGGCTGTGGTAGAAACTTTGGTGGAAGAAGAGGCTATGGTGGTGAAGGTGGTGGCAGCAGAGGTAGTTATGGAGGAGGTGATGGTGGGTGTAATGGATTTGGAGGTGATGGTGGCACCTATGATGGTGGTCCTGGTTCTAGTGGTAGAGGGGGCTATGGTGGTGGTGGACCAGGATATAGAAACCAAGGGGGTAGATATGGTGGTGGGGGATATGGTGGTTACAATGAAGGAGGAAACTTTGGTGGTGGTACCTGTGGTGGTGGTGGGAACAATAATGATTCTGGAAATTATAGTGGGCGACAGCAATCAAATTTTGGATCCATGAAAGGGGGTAGTTTTGGTGGAAGAAGCTCAGACAGTCCCTATGGTGGTGGTTGGGTCTGGTGGTGGAAGTGGTGGATATGGTAGCAGAAGTTTCTAAAAACAGCAGAAAAGGGCTAGAGTTCTTAGCAGGAGAGAGCGATGAGTTGTCAGGAGAGCTGCAGGTTACTTTGAGACAATTGTCCCAAATGCATTAGAGGAATGGTAAAAATCTGCCACAGGAATGATCATCCATAGTCAGAAAAGTTACCGCAGCTTAAGCAGGAAATCCTTCTTGTGCAGGACTGTCACAGCCACCGTTTGCAAAACGTCCAGCTATTAATTAATGCAATGTAATGCCATTTAGATGTACATTCCTGAGGTATTTTATCTGTCGTAGCTTTATCTTTTTCTTTTTCTTTTCATTACGTCAGGTATATTGTCTTGTAAATTGGGGTAGTGGTATGAGGATTAAAAAATTAAGGCATTTTTAACTTTCAATATTTGTGTAATTCCATTTTTCTACATTTTAATACAGAAACTAACAAAATGCAGTTTTGAAGGTGTTTCCTTGTGAGTTAACAATAAAGAAGATCACTATTAATTACTATTTTGTATGAATTTTATTAAAGTTAACTGTAAAGAAACAACTGCTGACTTACAGTTTAAAGGGAATCTATTCTCCCCATTTCCAAACCATGATCTGAATGGGCACTGACAAGTGGAGAGAATGGATATCTGTATGTTTGCAATGTGTGTTTTAGATAAATAGGACTGGAAATTAGCATATTTGTGAATTTAATAGCATTAAGATTACCTTCAAATGAAAAACAAAAACTCAGAATTCACAAAAAAAAGAAAAGAAAAGCCTGATTCCAGTGTCTTCAGCAACCAAGTCTCCTCTTATGTCACTCGCACTTTTTATTTTTTTACTGCAGCTATTACTCAAGATACAATTTGTTTGAAAAAAGGCTCAGCACAGACAAAAGACTAATTTCCTTAATATATAAAGAACTCTTGGAAACCATTTTAAAAACTAGGAAAATACGCAAAAGGCATGAAAAGGCAACTCACAGAAAAAGAAATAAAAAAGGTCAATAAATATGAGAATATGTGAAGAAATAAGTAAAATTTTAAAGTATGATTTTTCACCTACCAGATTGGCAATGATTAAAGTTTGGTCATGCCCAGTATTAGATAAGACACTGAAAAAAGCAATCATACACTCTGTTGGTGAGAGTATAGATTGGTGTGACATTTGTCGAGGGTGGTTTAACAAAATCTATCAAACTTTTTAAAAAGAGAAAAGAAGTTGCAAACAGTACTTAAAGCATGATCTCATTTATATACAAAGCAAATATATCTCATATATATAGGCTTCTATATTCATAGAAGATTTGTAGAAAGATACAAAAGAAGCTATCAATGGTACTTACTCTAGAACTAGGAAGTAGAGTAATAAATGCATGGACTTATTTTACCTTATCTTTTAAAATATGGTTTGAATGTTTCTTCCTGAGTGTGTGTTAACAATGACAATAACAAAAACTACATTGAAAAGGAGACAGAGGAATTAAGAGTACAGATACATTAAATATTTTTTTCTCATTACATTATGTTTGTGAATGATTTTGATTATGTTACATATTAAACCTATATATCATTTATAATAGGTAGTATAACAACTCATGCTGATGAATCCCAAAAGTATATCCCAGTCCCACTTCTCCCTTGACTTCTCAACTTGTATGTCCAGCTGCCTATTGATGTTCCCACTTGAATGTGTAATAGGCATCTCAAACTGAAATCTCCCTCCCAAAACTTGCTCCATCTGCAGCCTTTACCATCTCAGTAAATGGCAACTTTATTCTTCTAGTTGTTCAGGCCCCAAACCTTACAGTTGTCTTTGTCTTCCCTCCTGTTAAACCCAGGGCTATTGCCCTGAACAAGGAAGGGCTCTGGATAATAGAGCCAGTGGGTGTTGAAAAATAGCCCTTCCCCTCCTTGCTGCCCTAGTACAGGGAAGTGTCTGCTGAAAGCAAGGGACACATTTGCTAACTCACATGGAGATGTCATTAGGGTCTCAGGTATCTGGCAGGAATCTGGCCTAATTCTCACAAAGTGCTGTATCAATGCCACTTTCAGGGCTCATCATTTCTATTCTTTCTTTAAAATACGTCCAGAATCTGTCTTCTTCTCACCGCATCACCAACCTGTTTTGCCAGGATTACAGCAAAAGCTTCCCTTCCTATCCTTGTCCCACTGCAATCTGTTATTAATGCAACCATTGGGTGAAATCTTTTAAACTCGAGTTGGGTCACATCATTCCTTGCTTAAAACTAGCCTATGACGTCTTCCCTCACTGATACCAATATCCAAAACTTTCCATGACCAATCAGGCCCCCAGAATCTGGCCTTCCTCTACCCTCAGTTTCAGCATGTCCCCTCACTCACTCTGTTCCAGCTGCACCAGCCTCCCTCTATAGTTAAATAGCTGCATGTCCCCCTCTGGGCCACTGCATCTGTACTTTCTGCTCCCTCTGTCTGGAAAGCTCTCCCAGTAATTCTGCTCAAATATCACCTTATCAGGGGGGCTTCCCAGAGCAGCCCATGTAACATATAAAATAGGCTCTGCCCTCCACCTCACACATACTCCCAGATACTCTCCACCCCACTAATCCTGCTTTCTTCTGCTTCATAGCACAAAACTGATATCAATGGATATCTGTTATGTATCTATTGATTTGCTTATTGTTTGTGATTGAAGGGACTTAATGTGGGTTGTTCCTGCTGTATTCTAGAATCATGCCTGGCACACAGTAGACACTCAATACTTACTTGATGAATAAATGAATGAATATAATGACTACTATATTTATTACTATTTTTGGTAGAAATATGTTTTTTAAACAGCAATTATTTTTTGAGGGTTTTTTATGTGCTGGGCACTATTTCAAACATTTTAGCATAAATCCCAAACATCTTTTCTTATAGATGAAAAAACCAAAACAAGCAATGTTAATTAACTTGTCCAAGATCACTTAGTTAGTAAGTGACAAAATCAGGATTCTGAACCCAGAATCTGTCACTACTAAATCTCACGCTTTTAGGTGCCATCTTACAATTTTCCCCAGTAATTCCATTTAGTTGACTTCCAGACAAAATTCTCTTGTCTCTATGTGGAATAGAGACAAAATAATGGTGACAGAATTGAATAACAAATATTGAATCAGAAACCTAAACCCTTTCTATAGAAGACTCAACACAGAAATGCAGTGGCTTGAGCGGAGCTATGAAGCGAGAAGGTACACTTCTGGGACTAACCTTTAGACTCTTGCTCTTCTACTACACACAATGCCTGGCTTGAGACAGGAGAATGCATTTCTAAAATAAATTGCTAATAGATATGTCTAACTTTCTGATCTGTGCTTGTTATGCAAACCATAGCTGCACAGGATAGTAAGTCTCTATTCTAACCTAAACTCTGAAGCAATAGCTAACTTTTATGGAGCACTTGCTGTATGTCAGGCAGTATTGGGCATGCATTGCCTCACTGAATTCTCACAACAACCTATGCTCTGCTCCTGTTATTCCCATTTTGCCCAGGATGACACAGAAGGGCAGAGATGATAACCAGCTCTCCCATGGTTACACAGCCTAATGTGGAGGAGCTGGGTTTCAAAGGTGGACCAGGCTGACTCCCAGAGCCCAAGCTGTGAGGCTTTTCACTAGTGAATATGGAAAGGGCGCAACATGACCATAAGTTATATGTTCCCGTAACCTTTTATTATAGGAAATTCCAAACATAAACAAATAATAGAGGATGGTATAATGAATTGCCGTATACCTTTCACGCAGTTTGAGTCATGAACAGCTCAGGGAATAGGCGATTTCTTTTTTTTTCTTTCTTTTTTTTTTTTGAGCTGGAGTCTCATTCCGTCGCCCAGGCTGGAGTGCAGTGGTGCCATCTTGGCTCACTGCAGCCTCCACCTCCCGGGTTCAAGTAATTCTCCTGCCTCAGCCTCCCCAGTAGATGAGATTACAGGTGCACGCCACCATGCCCAGCTAATTTTTGTATTTTTATTTTTATTTTGTATTTTTAGTAGAGATGGGGTTTCACCATGTTGGCCAGGCTGGTCTCAAACTCCTGGACTCAAGTGATCCACCTGCCTTGCCCTCCCAAAGTGCTGAGATTACAGGCGTGAGCCACCACATCCGGCCACACAAGTGATTTTAAGCCAACTCAGGAGCACTTCATGTAAAACTTGAGATAAAAGGAGTGCCTACATCAGTGTGTACATCAGGCTATGACACTTGACTCCAGGCTTAGTCTGTCGCTTAAACTTGGACTTAACTTGCTTAAGTTAAAGAGACCTAATACTAAAATCAAATGGAGTGAACCATGCTGGCAATTAGGAAAGCTTTAAAATTTCAACCCATACTTTCTTCTATACCAGGCACTTGAAAACCCTCTTAAAGACAG
This sequence comes from Homo sapiens, assembly GCF_000001405.40. Lineage (NCBI taxonomy): Eukaryota > Metazoa > Chordata > Mammalia > Primates > Hominidae > Homo > Homo sapiens. The sequence continues at coordinate 197,020,378 of NC_000002.12, forward strand.
AATGGTTGAGAGGCCAGATTTATCTATAGCAGGGGTGTCCAATCTTTTGGCTTCCCTGGGCCACGTTGGAAGAATTGTTTTGGGCAACACATAAAATACACTAACACTAATGATAGCCGATGAGCTTAAATAAAAAAAATTGCAAAAGGAATCTCATCATGTTTTAAGAAAGTTTACAAATTTATGTTGGGCCACAATCAAAGCCATCCTGGGCACATGCAACCCTTCAGCCAGGGGTTGGACAAGCATAATCTATAAAATTCGCTTTGTTTCTTTATCTAGTTTGTAGCTCCTGAATTTTACTATGCATAAAGTAAAGCCTTCACTAGAAGTATTAAACATTTTAAATTGTTTTAAGCAACACCTTTAAAAAGCCTTATTAGGTAACAATTATTTCTTTTTTTTTATAATTATATATGGAGTTTTTTATTATTATTATACTTTAAGTTCTAGGGTACATGTGCACAATGTGCAGGTTTGTTACATATGTAAATATGTGCCATGTTGGTGTGCTGCACCCATTAACTCTTCATTTACATTAGGTATTTCTCTCAATGTTATCCCTCCTCCCTCCCCCCATCCCACGACAGGCCCAGTGTGTGATGTTCCCTGCCCTGTGTCCAAGTGTTTTCATTGTTCAGTTTTCACCTATGAGTGAGAACATGCAGTGTTTGGTTTTCTGTCCTTGTGATAGTTTGCTCAGAATGATGGTTTTCATCTTCATCCATGTCACTACAAAGGACATGAACTCATCCTTTTTTATGGCTGCATAGTAGTCCACGGTGTATATGTGCCACATTTGCTTAATCCAGCCTATCATTGATGGACATTTGGGTTGGTTCCAAGTCTTTGCTATTGTAAATAGTGCCACAATAAACATACATGTGCATGTGTCTTTCTAGTAGCATGATTTATAATCCTTTGGGATTTACAATCCCAGTAATGGGATGGCTGGGTCAAATGGTATTTCTAGTTCTAGATCCTTGAGGAATTGCCACAGTGCCTTCCACAATGGTTGAACTAGTTTACACTCCCACCAGCAGTGTAAAAGCGTTCCTATTTCTCCACATCCTCTCCAGCACCTGCTGTTTCCTGACTTTTTAATGATCGCCATTCTAACTGGTGTGAGATGGTATCTCATTGCGGTTTTGATTTGCATTTCTCTGATGACCAGGGATGATGAGCATTTTTCATGTGTCTATTGGGTACATAAATGTCTTCTTTTGAAAAGTGTCTGTTCATATCCTTTGCCCACTTTTAGATGGGGTTTTTTGATTTTTAAACTAATTTCTCTCAGGAACTGACCAAACAACCAAACCAAATGTTAAGTAAGTTTACAGAATATGTGAGCTGCACAATGAGAAAAATTTCTCTAACTGCCGTATAAAACACTATGTCTAGCAACTACGAAAGACAACTTTTTATAAACAATTATCTCTTAAACGTGATTAATTTCTCCAGACCTTTTAAGATAGGAACTAAGGACAATGAGGGGAAAGAATTGGGATCTCAACAGAATCCATGAGAACAATGGATCTGTCTGGAAATCTTGACAGCTAGAGCCTTTCATTTGCATAACATTGTTTCTTAATTTAATCTTTTCAAGAGGATGAAATGCTTATGAAATTCACTGGGCCAATAACCCTGGAGATTTGAATCATTCAGCCAGGAAATAGTAACTCAAGGCAGGTCAGGTTTCTTGTAGCAGTCAAGGTTTGGGGGCATCTGGTTCCATTACACTGCTAGATGGCTTCCACCTAAGAAATTATGTGCCTTGGGTTTTATCAAGTTAATTGCTACTGAGGCCCCTAGAGAGGGTGATGGGCATACCTTTTGGGTCCTTAAAGCAAATAATTTGTATTTAGAGAGAAAGAATAAAATGACTTTAGAAGGAATCCACCGTAATCACCCTGGTCAAAGTCATGGTCATCATCTCTTGCCTGGTTTGCTTTGCTTCTGCTTTCGTTCCCTTGCAATTTTGACTCAACATAGAAACTAAAGTGATCCTTTTAAAACAAAAGTCACATCATATCAATCTGTTTCCTCAAGACCCTCCTAATAGTTTCCTATTTTGTTCAGAGTAAAAGTCCCCATGAGATCTGTGGTGGCCCCCCAAACTCCTGGCTCCCTCCACAACATGTGAGGCATTGCCCCCAGCTACTCTCCTCACCACTCTGCTCCAGCCACAGTGGCCCCTTTCCTGTTCTGTGGACAGTTCATGAGTTCCCCCAGGGACTTTGCACTTCTGCCCAAAACACTCCTTCATCAGATGTCAACATGCATAGCTCTTAAGGTCTCTGTACAAATATGAGATTCTATGCTACGTAAAATAGCACCCTGGCCAGGTGCAGCAGCTCATGCCTGCAATTACAGCTACTCAGGAGGTTAAGACAGGAGGATCACTTGAGCCCGGGAGTTTGAGACCAGCCTGGGCAACACAGTGAGACCCCACCTCTTAAATAAATAAATAAGCACCCTGTCTGCCATCTCAATACTTTCTATCTCCCTGATCCCATTTCATTTTCTCTGTAGCACCTGCAGCACTTATTGCCATCTGTCATTTGAGATATTTCCTCGCCTGTTTGTCTCCCCTAGACTGGATACTCTGCAAGGGCAGAGGTGGGGTTTTGTTCACTGCAATATCTCCAGCTACTCAAACAGTGCTTGGCACTATTCACAGTCAGTGTATGTTGGATGAAAGGATGATGTTAATAATGATGTTATATGATGTTAGTAATGATGACGATGAAGCTAGCTCATGGCACATATGTGTGCCAGGCACTGTTCTAATTGTGTTACATCCATTAACTCATGCCATCTCCACAATGGCCCTACGTTGAGGTACTGCTATTCTCATATCATGGGTAGGGACACTGAGACATAAGAGGTGAGGTATTTGGGTTAATATCACACAATAAACAATTCAATAAATTAACAAGTTGGAAAGGGTCTTTGAGATGCTTAACTAACAGATTCCCTTTAACTTACAGGTGGGGAAACCATGCACAGGTGAGTTGCTAATGAAAAGAATGGCAGCTAGGACCTCCACTTGATGTACCTTTCCTGGGTCTCTGTCAGCTGCAGAACTACCAAAGCCCACCTCTTTTAAATGATATCACCACCCTATCTTTACGCAGCCAGCAACCCATAGAGTTTAGCAGAGTACACAATAAGCATTCAACAAATACACTGTGGAAAAAAAAAAGAAGAACGAGAGATGATCAAGTCTTTGGAAGCCAAGAAACTCTTCTCAGATTAGTAGCAGGCTTGGCAATGCAGTCAAACCCACTTTCTTGGGGCCTGAGAATTGTATCTGAGATAACCCTCCACATAAGACTCTCTAGGGGCAGTTAGTGCTATGTTTGTGAGTGCTCAGCTTTGGGGTAACTTCCCCAGGCACAGCAGATGGTTGGGCAGGGATTCTAGCAAGCAACCTGTACTAAGGGCCAACTGGCATGAAGATTTATATGTATAAATATCCCACTATTCATCCACATTTTCCACAGTAAGTCCATCTCCGGGAACACAGACTGATGCACACTTTACCCTGATTTCACTGGACTCAAAATGCATGTGTGTATGAGCGTGTAGTGGGTGTGTTGGTGGGTGTCAGAGGACGTGTGAGTGGGTGTCAGCAGGTGTGCTGTGAGTATGTGGGGAGACAGGCAGTGAAAGGAAAGCTCCACACATATGGTCAGTTCTGGATACTCCCAATCCTTGTGTGATGGCCTTGTCTCCGCTCTCTTGCCTGAACACCTCTGCATGTCAATTAATAAAACACTCCTCTCTTCTCTCCAAAATTTCCAGGTCAATTTTTCATCAGAATGACACTGAAGGAGTGCTTATGTACACATAGTATTAAGTGAAAAGTCATAAACACAGTTAAACAAAGAAACCCAGCCCCTTCCCATTCTTCCTGGTGTCCTGCCCCTGGGTTTTACTAAGCAAAGAAGCATCCAAACACCATCTTTGTGGCCTTGAACCAAGTGCTCACAATTCAGCAGCACCAAGGGCACGTGAGTGCCTCGGGAAGGTGAGCTGGCTGTTGCTGGGTGTGGCTGCCAGTCAGCAGGGTTCCTAGGGAGCAGCTGCTGATGGCCAACTCTTAGCAACTCACAATCTGAGACAGAGTGGTGGGTGCACTTCCCACCTTGGTCACTCCCATGAAGAGTTTGGGGATCATCACTCTGAGCTGTTGCATTTGCCTTCAATTACTGGGATGTGGAGAGGAAGCGTTACTGGTGATAAAATAACTCTTCTTCCCTCACCTCCCAGATCTCACCCAGTACAAGAATCAGAGCCTCAGACTTCGTTGAAGACCCTGATTTCAAGTCCAGGCAGAAGGTCGCAGCTGCAGCTCTGCATGTGCTCATCTTGCTCTCATCAGTTTGTGCTGAAACATCCTGCCAGTTTTTAACTGTGGTATTCAATTAGCCATAGGTTTTCCACTTGTATATTGTTATCGCTAATCAAATCTCTTAAACTGAAATGTATCCTTTGAATTTTAAAGACGGTTAAACTCTACAAGAATAAAGGTTAAGGGCTTTGGGTGCATTATCTCTTTTCATTTGCCCTCATTTCGCAGATGGGGAAACTGAGGCTCAAGACAGGGTAAGTCATGTGTCTAAGATCACCAGCAGATGAAGCTGGGAATGAAGGCGAGGCAGTCTGTCTCCACAGCCTGTGCCTTTTACCACGGACTACTTTCACTACCACTCATCACTGTGTTACTACATTTACATTTTAAGAGCAATCTAGTTTTAGGAATGCTTAGGTTGTTTTTGTAACAGGTGAAGCTGCTCATGGCATCTCACTTACAGCTAAGTGGAGTGGACTCTTAGTAGCACCAGAATCTGATTCTTCAAATCCACTGTTTGTTCTTTCCAAAAGCTGTGGAGACAAAAAGCAAACAATAGTACGTGAGTCCAAATTTTGCAAAATGTTGGTGTAAATGAGAAAAGAGGTTTCAGAAACTTGAGAAGTTATGCAATTTATCAGTAATATAAAAATATGATATAACATATCTAAAACAAATATGCTAACAGAATATTTAAACTTCTAGATCACCTCAGCACTTGAATCCAGAAAAATAATTCATCTTACATCCATTTTCACCTGGCAAACAGATAATAACGAAAAAAATAAGACCCAGTATTGATTCTACTATCAAACACACATTTACTGCAGATAGTGTGGATAGTGTTGAAAAAGACAAGACTCCTGCTCTCATGAAGCTTACATTTTGGAAAAACGAAGCATAGATAAATAAATATAAAAATAAGAAAACATTTGGAAATGATCTGTGCTGTAATGAGAATAAAATACGGGGATGTGATATGGAGTGACTGACAGGCTGCTTTACAGCAGATGGCCAGGCAAGGCCTTCTCCAAGGAAGTGACATTTCAAGTGAATCCTAAATAAGAAGAATTAAACCAGATAAAGGTGTGGCAGGAGAGTATTCAGGAAGAGGAAATAGTCAATGATATGCATCAAGAGAGGACAAACATGGTAAGATCAAGGAATGGAAAGACCAATGTGACTAGGGCATCGTGTTAGTGAGGGTGGCAGGAAAATGACATTCTCGTAGACCCTTGGTGGAAGAACAAATTGTTAAAACCTTTCTGGTTCCCTAGCAAGTAGACTCAGAGAAGGGGGAGATAAAAAGAAACAAAAAAAAAAAAAACACCTTTCTGGGCAATTTGTGCATATCTTTTGAATCTAGGGATTCAATCCTAATAAATAGATGAGTGCACAATAGTGCATATTGTAAGGAAATGCATTCATACAATAAATACTCAGTGAATGATTACCATGTGCCCTGACACTGTTCCCTGCACTGATAATTCCATAATAGACCAAGTATCAAAAATCTGTTTTCCTATTGCAGAGGTGGACCTACTATAAAAGAAAGAAGTTTCATAGTTTATTAGAAAGTGCAAGGTGCTATGGTAGAGAAGGAAGGTTCAAAGAACTCGAGGGGAGATTAGTTTGTAACTTTATGTAGGGTGATTAGGGAAAGCCTCACTGAGCAGGTGATGGCCCAGTAAAGTCTCCAGGGAGATGAGGGAGCCTTGTGAATATCTTGGAGAAGAGCATTCTAAGCAGAGGGGCCAACAGCTGCCAAGACCCTTACAGACAGGTGTGCTTAATAACATCAGGAGGCTGGAGCCAAGTGAGCGAGGGTGAGAATGGCAGGACAGAAATCAGAGAGATGGTGGCTGTGGGGGTGGGCATGTCAAAGAAAGCCGTGTAGGCTGTTGTCAGAATTTTGACTTTTATCCCAAGTGAGGTGGAAATTCAGTGGAGTGTTTTGAGCAGAGGAGTTACATGATCTGTTAGGCTCTAAGGAGACAAAGGTGGGAGCACAGAGACAATTTAGGAGCTGGGGCAATAGTCCAAGAGAAAAATAACAGTGGCTTGGACCAGCAAGAAGCAGTGGAGATGAGAGAAACAGTTGGATTGTGGATATTTTTGGAGGTAAAATCAACAGGATATGCTGATGGGCTGAATATGAATGTAAGAGAAAGAGAGAGGCCAAGGATGACGCCCAGTTTTTGTCCTAAGCAAACGGAAACATGAAGGTACCATGACCTGAGATGAAGAAGGCTGTGAGTGGGATATATATAGTGGAAACAAGCAGAAGTTCAGTTTTGGACATGTGAAATTTGAGATGTTTATAAAGCATCTAAAAGTACATCTGGGCCAGGTGCGGTGGCTCATGTCTGTAATCCCAGCACTTTGGGAGACCGAAGTGGGAAGATCACTTGAGCTCAGGAGTTCAAGACCAGGCTGGGCAAGATGGCGAAACCCCATCTTTACCAAAAAATACAAAAATTAACCAAGTGTGGTGGTGCACACCTGTAGTCCCAGATACTTAGGAGGCTGAGGTGGGAGGACGGCTTTAGCCCGGGAGGTGGAGGTGGCCGTGAGCTGAGATTGTACCACTGCATTCCAGCCTGGGCAACAGAGCCAGACTCTGTCTCAAGAAAAAAAGACATATTATCCAGGAAGTTGCTGGATACATGGTTTTGGAGCTCAGGGTATTTAAAGCCATAAGATTGGATGAGATGAACAGAGTACACAAAGAAGAGACGGGGTCCCAGGACTGATGCCTGGGGCACCCACCACTAAAAGCTGGAGAGATGAGGAGGAACCAGCAGGAAGACTCAGACTGAGCAGGTGAGCTAGAAGGAAAACAAGGAGAACATGAGGTTCTGGAACCAAGTGAAGAAGGAGTTTTATGAAGAGAATGAGCAGTCATGTCAAGTGTCATGACAGATCAAGGAAAATAATGCCTGAGAATTTTTTTTTTTTTTTTTTTTTTAAGAGACAGGGTCTCACTCTGTCACCCAGGCTGGAGTGCAGTGATGTGATTTCAGCCTACAGCAGCCTCAACCTCCCAGGCTTAACGGATTCTCCCACTCTTCCCAAGTAACTGGGACTACAGGCACGTGCCACCATGCCTGGCTAACTTTTAAAAAAAATTTTTTTGGTAGAGACAGGATCTCACTACGTTTCCCAGGCTGGTCTCAAACTCTTGGGCTCAAGCAATACTGCCAGCTTGGCCTCCCAAACCGCTGAGATTACACAGGCATGAGCCACCGTGCCCAGCCAGGTCTGAGAATTGATCACTGAGTTTAGCAACATGAGGCCTGAGAACTGACCACTGTGTTTAGCAAAATGGAGGAAGCTATTAGTGACTCTGATAAAAGCCATTTATTAAGACATTGTTTATGTGAAAAAATAGAAAAAATAATAACTAGCAATAGTATAGGTTAAATATAGTGGTATATATTACACTTTCAGATAAATTGTTCCCCTTTATCTTACTTTGAAGCTCTTTATTTTTATTTTTTAAAATAGAGACAGGGTCTCACTCTGCCACCCTGACTGAAGTGTGGTGGTGTGAACATAGCTCACTGCAGCCTTGAACTCCTGGGCTCAAGTGATCCTCCCACCTCAGCCTCCAGAGTAGCTGGGACTACAGGCACAAGTCACCACGCCTGGCTCTTGAAGCTTTTCTTTGTATAGTGACACATCCAAAAGGAATGCAAATCCTGTATCCAAAGCCTCGATATGTGCTATGATGGTCGTCAACATCCAACTCCAGCTTCCTGATTGGTGGGCTTGGGCTGCCCTACATTACAGAGGCTGGACAACTAAACACCACATTTCCTAGACTCCCTTGAGCTACAGCTCCAGAGGTGATTTCAGCTCTTCCAGTTAGACGCATGAACTTTTCTTTTTCTTCACTGCCTCTTTGATAAGGTCTTTATTAAAAATAAGGTGTCCAAAATGATTTGATCTTTATGGAATAAACTCATTTAAAAGCTTATGCAGCAGGATTATTTTCCTCTGTGGTAGCTTTCTTTTCTGCTGGTTTCTTTTAAGCTGCTGTTTTCTCGGTAGTGCTGCCTTTTTTCCCACCAGAGGTTTCCTCTGCTTCTTAACACCAACTGTCATTTTTTTCCTCTCTTTCCTACCACAGGCGTCTTCCTACAACCCCTTCTCATGTGATTTAGTCTCTAGTGCTAGTGCTGCTGCTGCTACCTTATCCCCCAGAGTTTGTGATTATTTTTCTTTTTTTTTTTAGGATATTTTTATTATTATTATTATCATACTTTAAGTTCTAGGGTACATGTGCACAACGTGCAGGTTTCTTACATATGTATACATGTGCCATGTTGGTGTGCTGCACCCATTAACTCGTCATTTACATTAGGTATATCTCCTAATGCTATCCCTACCCCTTCCCCCCACCCCACAACAGGCCCTGGTGTGTGATGTTCCCCTTCCCATGTCCAAGTGTTCTCATTGTTCAATTCCCACCTATGAGTGGGAACATGCGGCATTTGGTTTTCTGTCCTTCTGACAGTTTGAGCTTGTGATTCTTGGCCTGGCAAAGAATGGTGTCCTGACACATGGTGTTTGCATATGGGTTTAGCTTCAACATGAGTTTCAGATTTTTCATGGCTTCTTTGGGACTCTGCAATGAATCTGCTTGCCTGCTGCTTGAAGGGCTCTTTGGAGCTCTAGGCTTTTCAAGATTTTGCTAAGGTCTGTGTTGCTTATCTTATGCATGGGAAGATTTTCTAGAGGGAAGCAGCTTTATGCCTAGTGCCATATAATTCATCTAACTTCCAGAAAGCACTTTCAGTCCAATGCAGAAACATCCCACATGCCCACCAAGAGCAAGTTTCAAACTGTTCAGTTTTCTTACATTAAATGCAGAGTCACTCCAGGGATGTTTCTGAAGGCCTTCATGGTACCATTATCCTCATTACAGGCAATGCAGGGTATCCTGTGTCAGATACGATGATGGTTTCTCATTTTGTCCTTGCCAGTTCTTATTTGCTGAGAGGCATAGATCTTTTTGATATCACTCCAGGTTTTAAGTTTCTTATGCAGCAAAACAGCCTCCTGGGTCTTCTTGTAGCCTTCAACTTTACCTTCAACCACCGAAGGAAGTTCAGGAACTTCCTCAATACAATGACCTTTAGACATGACCAGCATTGGTAAGGCTGAGGCAGCTGGGGCAGAGCAAGTGGCATATCATTTTTGGGTTGTGTTCATTCTACAGTGCCAATGGCACCAGGTTTTTGTTGGTGCAAACAAGCAGTCTTCACCACCCATATTTCCAAAGGCATCCTAGCCAGAACGATGAGTCCCATCACCTCAGACTCTGGGTATTGGAGCCACAGCTCAACCAGTACCCTAAAACTTCTCATCCTACCATGGCATGTGTTCATCCACTGATTGCAGTAGACTCCAAAAAGGGAGAGTTATCTGGCAAAAACGTCATTTTGCCTGCTGTGTTCAAGCCTGCCTTTCAACTAGATATTGTGAACTTTGTTCACACCAACTTGTATAAAAAAACAAAGAGCCCTATGCTGCCTGTGAATTAGCAGGTCATGAGAACAGTGCCTTTAGAAGACGGAAGTGAGGCAGAGAAAATCTGTGATTTCCAATGGTGAGCACAGTCATGAAGACTGTCTTTTAGCTTCCAGTGTAGAGGCCATGAGTTTAGTGAGGATAGAGAAGCAAGACACAGGGATGCAGGACATTCATTTTTTTGGCCGTGTGGATCAAGCCAAAAAGTGGTGTGACTCTTGAGGCAATATTAGTGGGGGTGACAAGACTGTCCCCGAACATCAGCTAGGGTGATGCGTCTATGGAATCAGTCATTCCAGTGGCTGCTTTCTGATTCCTTATCTTCCTGATCATGGGGCAGAGGCAGCCCCCTGACAGTCCAGTTCATCAGTTCAGGCTTATTTCTGGAGGCCCACCTAAAGGCCACTCTTTTAGATCTTCCAATAATCTTGTAAACACTGATTTTTAAAAATAAAACTTTTTTTTTTTGCTTAAAAGAGCTAGAGTGGTTTCTGAATCCTGCAAATGAAGCCTGACTGATTCAAAGAGCAATACAAGTGCTTTTGTTGTTGGTGGTGGTGTTGTTTTTTACTTATTATTTTTATTTTTGTAGAGATGCGGTCTCACTATGTTGCCCAGGCTGGTCTCAAACTCTAGGCTCAAGCAGTCCTCCTACCTCAACCTCCCAAAGTGCTAGGACTACAAGTGTGAGCCACCATACCTAGCCCATAATATTAATACAAGTTTGTATAGATGTTTTCCTAATGGGGATGGAGAAGAGGAAATTATAGTACCCACAACACTGGAAAGCAAAACTTTCTAAAAATCTACTTTACCTCTTTTTCTCCCTGTAAATCCAAAGCTTGTCAAGCGGAAAACACATTTTAAAACCATAAGTGTTGAATGACACTATTTTCTTTTTTTTTTTTTATAAAGCAGTATTGACATGACTATATATACAGGAAAACAAAAAGCCTAGACATAGAAATACATACCTTACAAAGTTTAACACAATAACCTAAAAGTGATGTTATAGAAGATTTTTATTTTCTTCTTTATATTTCCAGTGAATGTGTATTGTTTTGTTTGTGTGTGTGTTTTGTCTTAAGAGACAGGGTCTTGCTACATTACCTAGGCTGGAGTGCAGAGCACAGGTACAATGATAGCACAGTAGAGCCCCAAACTTCTGGGCTAAAGCAATCCTCTTGCCTCACCCTCCTGAGTAGCTGAGACTATGGGGCATACCACCATGCCCAGCTATGTATTGTTTTGTAATCAGAAAAACACTAAAGCGATTTCTATTTGGAAAAAAGCTATAACCTTTCATCTAATTTAATAATGTCCACAGACTCTCAGATAGATTCAGAACTCCTTTCTAGTCAATACATGTGGAACAAAATGCTATGATGTTAGGATTTTTTGGTAAATCAAATAATGGTGTAAAAATTACCACCTAAAAGCATGTAATTTCAAATTTGCAAATAATACAATACTATAATTATATTGGTAGTATGAGACACTTTGTGTTTGTTTCTTATTAGTGTGAAAACAGAATCTGGAACTTAAATAATCTAGTATCTGTTAGAAAAATGAGAGTAAATGTAATTTTAACTTCAAAGCAAATAACTTCAAAACCAATCTCTGTTACATACTTGAAATAAAAGTAGCCCTAACTGCTTGATAAGGCTAGAAAACAGCTGTTCTTTGCTTTGTTTTGCAACATTATCACCTGCAAGACTTCCTGGAATTGACAGTGTGTACCAACCCCAAATCCTGTCCTAGAATAAACTTTTAGTCAAAGGAACACAGAATCATTTCCCCCACTATCACAGATATGACAAACAGGGACTAGAAGACAATATACTATTACATTTTTGAGAGTGTTCCAGGACAATAGTTATAAACCAGGTCATTATCAGAAGAGACATGATCATGATCAGATTCTTGAGTTTTATAAAATCCACTCTGGCTGCCGTGTGGAAAATGAACTACAATGGTGCTGGGGGTGGGCACTGCTACCCTAGAAGCAGGAGGCATATTAGGATATTTCAACTGCGGGATTTCTAAACTGTGAATTAATAAGTCAGTGAGAACTCATAGTGGCCTGAACTACAGAAGAGGTTATAGAAATGGAAGTGTCACTTTTTTTTTTTTTTTTGAGATGAAGTCTCGCTCTGTTGCCCAGGCTGGAGTGCAGTGGTGCAATCTCAGCTCACTGCAACTTCCGCCTCCCGGGTTCATGTGATTCTCCTGCCTCAGCCTCCTGAGTAGCTGGGACTACAGGCACCCGCCACCACGCCTGGCTAGTTTTTTGTATTTTTAGTAGAGATGGGGTTTCACCATGTTAGCCAGGATAGTCTCGATCTCCTGACCTTCTGATCCACCCACCTTGGCATCCCAAAATGTTGGGATTACAGGCGTGAGCCATGGCACCCAGCTGGAAGTGTCACTCTTTTATTCATTAATTTCAATAATTATTCATTGATCCCCATGCCAGGCACTGAGATTACAACTCTAATATGGCCCCTAAATAGAGCTTAGAGACACAGAGCTTATAGTTTAGAAGGTGGAATGAACACAGATCATTAACTGAACATTGGAGGTGGGGAAAGAGGAGAGTCAAGGATGACTCTGAATTGTCTAGCTTTAGTAATGGAGTGAATGGTGATGCCTTCTTCATAAGAAACAAAGAGAAGAAGCAAGATCAAAGTAGAGAGAGATGCGTTGAGTCTCAGTTTTAATGCTGCTGGGACATTCAAGGGGAGGTGTCTAGTGGACGGCTGGATATAAGGTGGTAGGCTTTAGAAGAGAGATCTGGGATAGAGTTATGGATTTGGGAATCATCATCAATAGCTGATGCATGAAGCCCCCACAGTGAATGAGGCCACTGAGAGTGAATGTCTAATGGGAGATGGGAAAAGGCCTAAGATATAAACCTCAGGAACCTCAATTTTAAGGGTTTGGAAGAGGAAAAGAGTCTGCAGAGAGGATTAAAGAGTAGACAGAGAGGCTGAAGGAAAACTAGGAGAGTGAAATGGTGATGATGATGATGGTGGTGGTGGTGATGGTAATGATTACCATGATGATGAAGGTGATGGTGGTGGTGATAAATAATGATGAAGATTTTCACTGATAAAAGCCGAAAGTTAGTAAGCATTTGCTACGAGTCAAGCACTCTCCTAGGGGCCTTACATGAATCATCTCAATAAATCCTTGAGTAATCCATTAAGTAACTTGCTCAGATTCACACAGCCAGTAAAGGACAGACTAGGGAATTGAACCTATATCTAACCTAAAACCCATGTTCTTTACACAGCAATGCCTTCCAATCAACTGATAAGCTGAACTTTCCCCTGATATTTCACAAACAGCACAGGGATGGGGGCAGGAAACAAAGAGAATTATGTGTTGTTGTTGCTTTTTTTTTTTTTAAGTATTTGGGTCTGTTTATGTCTCTAACAATTTTCTTTAATCTTTGAGATTTTCTTCTTTGTTTTCTAAGGAGTGGTTAGTACTCATCTTAGTTATGCAGCAATCACTGGAGATGTTGACTGGAATCTAGCTGCTCTAAGTAGTCCCCTTCCTTTAGTGATTCTTCTTTGTTAATTAAGAAGACAATGTAAAAAAGTGGAGAGAAAAGCAATTTGCAAGTCATTTAAAACTGGCATTTACAATTTGAATTAACTTTTCTCTCTAATTTAAGATTTGGTCCTAAACATTGAATCCAAGGGATGATGCAGATATTCAGCATGGCTCAGATACTCTAGTCTCATAAATGTCTCAGGGGAGGCATATGAGGGCTAGAGAGAGAGAGAGAGAGAGAGAGAGAGAGAGAGAGCTCATACTATGCCTTGCTATACAAACTCGTAATTCAGCTTGTGGTCTGTATTATTGGAAAACAACATTGCTCTACAGAGATCAACCTCAACCTATCTTGTCAAAATCCAGAAACAGAATGGCTCTTTTAAAACACAGTTATAGCTAAGAATACATGGCCAAAGAACCAGCATTATAAAAAGCAATGAGTTCTGCACATAGAGCTTGTAGTTATACATCAGAGAGTACAATTTTATGCCCAATATAACAAAACTAGTCATAACTTTCTTGTAAGAATACTCCCATTTAATACATCTTCATGGTTACCGACATTTACACAATCCATGCATTCACATGCTAGTTCTCATGCTCAACTACATTCATAAATCCAACGTGCATATCTAGTATGTCACCATGGACTTCTATTGGCACAATAAACTTTGCACTCATTCCAAGGACTGACTTGGTCCTCTGCCTAAAAAAAAAAAAATCTATTAAAATGTCTGCCTTAATAATAAGGCCTTCATCCGGACTACCTAATCTTATTTTTTAAGCCCAAATTACTTCTTTTCTCAACTGATTAATCATTCACGAAGGTTCTACGTAGAGTCCAGCACTGCTTGACCCCACTTCTTCTCCATAGCCTCCACCAACCACCATGTGTTTGCCAGGATTCTGTTTGGGTGAAAAATAATCAGATTTGAGGTTGAAATATCAACCTCAAACTCCTACTGAGAAGTGAAGATAGGTGCCTGAAGAGAATATGGAGAGAAAGAAGGCAGTACAACAGTGCAAGCCAACTTTTCAGCTGCCTTATTTGTAAGTCATGAACTCTCTGGTTCACTTGGGGGAATGGCTGAGATGCACAATGGAGTTTTTGGTCCAAGAATATTATTGTATTTGAAATTACAATAATTCATAGGACAGTTTCTCAATCTGGAGGCATTTCCACAGGATTGGAGGACTCACATGAACAGCATTTCAATGCTTTGGATTTAAAAGCAGCAAAGGCAATAGAAGGTTAAATTTAAGCCTCTTCTACAAAGTGAATCTGTGATAAGAAAATCAAGAACAAACAGGAGCTCAATGGTAAGCCAACTGGCTGCTGAGTTAACAAAACAGTAATCTTATCATCCAAATTTGTGAGGGAACACATAAATATAACACTTGAGCTGGGAAGCCAAGCTTTATAAATAGTATAGATTATGACAGACTACATGAAAACATGGCAGGGAAAAATCCAGGGGCCCCGAGAGACCTCAAGCTAATCTACACCAGTTTTAAAATTTAAGAAAATAGAAAGTGAGTATGACTCAGGCTGCCAAAAGAGAAAAGTATAGCTGGTGTGTCTGAGGTAAGCCTCTTTCATGTTGCTTCTAAACTACACACTGGTTTACACAAATTAGAAGGGATGGGAGAAGCTAGAAAACCAATCAGAAAATATCCCTGGGGATCACATCAAGGAGGTTCTCTGAGAAGAGGTTAAAAATGGATTTCTTTATCTTTTAGCAGTGAAGACTGAGAGGACATTTATGGATCTTCAAGTCTATGAAGGGGTGGAAGCAGGCCAGGGCCCCTGGAAAGTTGGTGCCTGTGTCACAAAGTCTCTCTCCCATTCTGCTTGTCTATGCTGAAGAATGAAAAGCTATTCAGGCAACCTCAGGGCCACTTCTGTGTCAACTGTGCAGCCAGTACTCGTCAAGCTATGACCTGGCCTCGGCTCAGCCCAGAACGGGGGGCTGAGTCTGCAGAAGTTCCAGACCACCCAGGCCGTGTCAATCTCCTCCCTTCAGAGGATCCCAGGGGACTGGTTTGAGGTTGGGAGATCCCATAGGCCTTTTGGTCTCAGAACTGATATGATGTGCCAAACCACGCTGGACCCCAGTGGACCCCCAGTCTTTCTGCATATCCACAAAGAACCTCAGGCTCAGCCCCAAATCAACTCTCATTCCAAGGTGGCATATCTGTAGCAGCAGTGACCATCTCTTTCTCATGATTCCACTCACATCCTTCACAGCTATTAGAAGAATCTGTGTTCCCAGAAATTGTTATTAACAACAATTACCAGAAACTCGGTAGTTTGTATGAATGTATGTATGAATCAAACCTAATTTAGTTTCTGTCTCCCCCGACTCCAATTCCATAAGCAAGGAGACATTACCTTTCTATAGTTGCGTAAGTCAAGGTCTATGCAACTTTATTTATTTATTTAGAGACAGAGTCTCACTCTGTCACCCAGACTGGAGTGCAGTGGCATGATCTCAGCTCACTGCAACCTCCACCTCCCAGGTTCAAGTGATTCTCCTGCCTCACCCTCCCGAGTAGCTGAGATTACAAGCGCCCACCATCATGCCCAGCTAATTTTTGTATTTTTAGTAGAGATGGGATTTTACCATGTTGGCCAGGCTGGTCTCGAACTCCTGACCTCAAATGATCCACCTCAGCCTCCCAAAGTGCTGGGATTATAGGCGGTCTATGCAACTTTTAAAGGCAATAACACAAATTAAGGAGGGTGCTACTGAAAGCTTAGCTACATTAAGTTTCCGTTTCTTCTTGGGAGCAGATTTTGATGACTCTGATTATCTCCACCCTCCAGTGTGTATTCAGTTCCTGATGATTTCCTTGCCAATTAAAAGGCAGAAGAGCCTGTAGTATGTGTAAGGAAAGGCTAATGAAATCCACTGTGAAAATAGATCCGAATGCAACATGCAAAATGCATGGTATTTCAAACTACCTTGCAAGAGCCCTAAAAATGTTCATATACTTTTGACCTAGTAAACCTACTTCAGAGACTCTATCCTGATAAAGTTTTAAGCCCAAAGCCATTTAATAGTGAAACATTATGAACAACCTAAATTGTAGAAGAGCTAAGTTATGGTTGAGCTAATAATTGAATATTATTTAGTGATTAAAAATGTTTATCAAGAGTTTTTAATGACATTGGGAAAGGATTATGTCATGATATGTTATGAAAAAAATCAGCATACAGAATTACACCTTCAATGTTACTTAACAGATGTAAAAAATAAAATATATGGATAAGGAAACCTGAAGGAAATACACCAAAACGTTCATATGAGCGGAGGTAGTGAAACTACGGGTGTTTTGATTTCTTGTTTCTACTTTTTTGCATATTCTAAACTTCCTACAACAAATAAACATTACTAGAGAATAAGATAAATTTCTATTGAAAAGTGAAATGGTTGAATCAGATGATTTCCAAGGTCCCTTTAGCTATATTCTGCACCATATCCAATAATAATGTAAGGGGTTGATGTTTTTATGACTAGTATAGCTTTATTAAAACAATAACACATTCTGGCCAGTATTACTGTTGGTTGAGTATATTACTTCATGGCCATTAAACTGCAAATTCCTTAGGGGCAGGGACTACCCATACTATGTAGTAGGCATTCAATAAATGTTTATAGAACTGAATTTAAATCTGGTAAGTGAATGAGACAGCATTAGTGGAATTAATTATTGGATGATAACACATTTGCTTGCTTGCTTTGACACTGCAGAATTACCAAAATCATTGCTGGTTATTTTATATTTTGGATAGATTTTCCCTTTATAAAAACAATCTGAAGCTGGATGCAGTGGCTTATGCCTGTAATCTCAGCACTTTGAGAGGCCAACGTGGGAGGATCACTTGAGCCCACGAGTTTGAGACCAGCCTTGGCAACATAGTGAGAACCTGTCTCTACAAACAATGACAAAAAACAATTAGCCAAATATAGTGGTCGTGCCTATAGTCCCAGCTACTCAGGAGGCTGAGGTGGGAGGGTCGCTTGAGCCCAGGAGGTTGAGGCTGTAGTGGGCCATGATCACACCACTGTACTCCAGCCTGGGCAACAGGGTAAGACCTTGTCTTAAAAAAAAATGGAAAGAATAGTCATTGCTACATTTTAAAAACCAGGGGTTGGAGGTTGGGAGGAGGGATGAGTAGGCAGAGCACAGAAGACAGAGCAGTGAACACACTCTGAATGACAGTATGATGATGAACAAATACCTGGCATTATACATTTTTCCAAACCCACAGAATGTATAACACCAAGAGTGGACCTTGAGGTAAACTCTGGGACTTTGGGTGATTTTGATGTGTCACTGTAGGTCCATCACTTGTAACAAATGTACCCTCTGGTGGAGGATGATGATAATGGAGGAGGCTGTGCATGGGGCGGGAGGGGAGCAAGGAGTATATGGGAAATTTCTGAGCCTTCTTCTATCCAATTTGCTGTAAATCTAAAACTGCGCTTAGAAAAATAAAAGTCTTATAATAACAAAAACACCAACCAACCAATCAATCAGCAAAACAAGCAAACAAATAAACAAACCTGACCTTTCATAGAACATAGTCTTATAACTGAAAAATGGTCTAGGGTTAGTATGACTTTCTAAACCACAGTGTCAGTTTACTGCTACAAGGTGATGAAATCACTTATCATGAGGTGACCCTTGGGTTGTCTACATTTCAGGGGTCATAAGGAAGTAAAGAAGATTCATCAAAATTAAGTTTTTATATTTAATTGATGGACCAATACTATAAAAAGGTGAGACACCAGTAAAAGAATTCCAAACATGTTTTCTGGTTGTAGAATACCTAAACCAGTCCAGAAAATGCCAGATCATGTGTTTTTGAAATAATAAGACAGTGTGATTCCTTTCATCTTGCTGTAGGTGTTCCAGATGAGAAATAGTGTTAAGATTAACTCATACAAAATAAAGCCACTATTATTAGGGATAAGGCATCGTGGTTGCTAAAAACATAAGGAGTCATCCAAGGCTGAAAGAAACCAAAAGTGATTGCAGAAGCGAAAAGGGTTTTAACTTACTTGAAAGTAATGCAAAGAATTGCTGCAGAAGCCATTCCAAATGTGAAAAAAAAATAATCAAAGTGTTCCCATATTATTTTGGAGGTCCCACAGCAGCTTTGGGTTAAAATGATTTAAGTAGTGGGAGAATTCCCAAATTCAATTTTTCCCAAGCAAAATAAAAATATAAAATTACTCTATCTGGGTTAAGCAGAATCATACTTCACCTTAATAAAGAAATATTCTATCTGGTGCCAATACTTTCCTATAACTGAATTTAGTTTCATTCTTTTGTGTGGGTAGTGAACCAAAAGAGGGGAGGAATGTTTACATCTTGGAGACAGGATAGAGAAGAGAGATAGCTGGAAAAGGTGCCAGAGAAAATCTCTGAGGGAACAGCCACCAGCAAATTCCAGAAGCACCAACTTCAGATACAAAGTGAATGCCCTGGCTGCTGATGCCAGCAAAATATGCCTTGGATGCATTCTTAATATCTCTCCTTGGGATATGATTATGAGTGCTGCAAGTTCATTTGGATCTGGCAGTAATCGTTGCAAGGAAATGTCAGTACAATGAGATACTTCGGCTACTCCCTTGATATTCATATTAAGGGAATGGCCTAGACCATACCTATTTAACTTCTAATTTTGCAGAGTATTTCAAAGGTTAAGTCACCCTTCTATATTAGCAGTAAGTTGGATATATTGTGTTCTATCAGTGGAAGAGGCATCTGATTTTCTTTCATGCTCTTTTTGGATTCCTGCATTACATGTGTGTGGTGGTGATTGTGTGTGTGTGCGTGTGTGTGTGTGTGTGTGTGTGTGTGTGTGTGTGTGTGTGTGTGAAGGGGCAGGGGAGAGGAGGACAAAAATGAAAGGTCTATGTTAATCAGCCCTTATCATATCACTCATGGGTAGCATAAGTTTAGGATGCAAGAGAGTAAGAAGGGTAAATAGGTTATTGATAGATTCCCTATTGTTAAGATAAATGATCCTAAACTTGTAAAAATAGGCAAAGAGGATAATTTCATGTCCTTTCAAAAGCATCATTTAACAGGCCCACCCAGGCCAGGCGCAGTGGCTCATGCCTATAATCCCAGCACTTTGGGAGGCCGAGGCGGGCAGATCACGAAGTCAGGAGTTTGAGGCCAGCCTGGCCAATATGGTGAAACCCCATCTCTACTAAAAATACAACTAAAAATACAGAAATTAGCCAGGTGTGGTGGTGTGCACCTATAGTCTCAGCTACTCAGGAGGCTGAGGCAGGAGAATCACTTGAACCCAGGAGGTAGAGGTTGCATTGAGCTGAGATCACGTCACTGACTCCAGCCTGGGCAACAGAGCGAGGCGAGACACCATCTCAACAAAAAAACAAAACAAAACAAAAAAACAGGCCCACCCAAAAATTAATTTTTTTAGTATAATGTTAATTAAGGGCAATTTCTCTGTGAAAATTACACGTTAACTTTCAGATTTGTTTCCAGTGGAGGTAAGCCTTTTTTTTTTTTTTTTTTGAGACAGACTGTCACTCTGTCACCCAGGCTGGAGTGCAGTGGCGCCATCTCAGCTCACTGCAACTTCCGCTTCCCGGGCTCAAGTGATTATCCTGCCTCAGCCTCCCGAGCAGCTGGGACTACAGGCATGCACCACCACACCTGGATAATTTTTGTATTTTTAGTAGAGATGGGGTTTCACCATGTTGGCCAAGCTGGTCTCGAACTCCTGACCTCAAGTGATCTGCCCTCCTTGGCCTCCCAAGGTGCTGGAATTATAGGCATGAGCCACTGTGCCCGGCCTGTTTCCAGCAGGGATAAAAGTTTTGCTGTCTGGTAGGAAAAAATAAAATAAAATAAAATAAAAGCCTCCAGAGGTCATAGCTTATTGCCCTGTAGGACATGAACCAGTTTTGTATCTAAACTAGTAATCTCATTCTACTATTACTATATTAAAGTGCCTACACATGCTCTGTTCCTCAGATGCTCCTTGGAAAGCTTTAGCATCTTACTGGTTCCCTCATTACTTAATGAGATTTTTCAAAAATTGTTTAACACATTTCACTCTTCTCTTATTATGACAGTCATGTTTTTAATTTTTTGAAAAGTAAACTTTGACACCACTCATCAGCTTTAATGCTAACAGAAGCCTTCAAAAGTCTTACTATCCTTTGGAAATGCCTATAAAAGTCTCCTCCCCTCAGTACTGTTCCACAACTAACTCTTTTCATAAAAACATTGAGAGAATTTAAGAAGGTGCCTTTCCCTTCTTCCAAAGGCACTTGTTGGACAAGAGACAGAGTAGACAGAGCTATGATGTCCCAAGAGCAGAAAATCCATCCCACTGGATTTCCAATGAACTCTTCTTAGGCTCCGAGACTGAGAAATCATAGGCTCCTCTCACCTCTTCAAGGGTCTACTTTATCCAAAAGGTCATGGTAACGGCCAAGGATTTTCATATGGGCTACCCTCTCCTGGTTCCCATTGGTTTGTCCCTGCAGTAGCCAGTAACACAGGCTCCCGCTTCCTGGGCATCTGTCTCTCTCTCTCTCTGGGCATACCCTATAGGCCTTGGCTCAAGCATCAACTATGGTCTTCAAGCCACCTCAAGACTGTATGGCCAGCACTTGCTCATTTTTCTCACTGGAACCAACAGGAGTTGCCTAATGCCAGCAATTGCCTCTCTTCTCTCCCCATTCTAAGAGAAAAGGTCAGCCTTTAGAGTGTTGAATTCATTCAGCACACTTCAGTAGGAATTCACAATGCATCTTCCTGTCTCTTTTTCTGGCCTCCTTCCTGCTTAGAATTTTTAGCAGAACTACAGGGAACCTCACTCCAGCAGGATACCTATAGATCTCAGATCTCAGATCACCTGCAGCCCAACAGGCAGACCCCTCTCTCCTTCTCCATCTTACCTCTCTTCAAAAATAAATCTCACCACAGAAGAAAATGAAATACACAATAAAGAACAGATTATTTACAACAGAAAGCAAGAGCACATGAATCTAATCTAAGCTAAACATGATAATTCAAAGAATTGTTTTCTCCAAAGTTCATACAATTTCATTTCATTAAATCAGGTTTTCATTTAGGTAAGATATCTATTGTACCACAGCTATTTAATGGGTACATTAATGAAAAAAAAACATAAGAAAAATATGTTTTAGATTTTAAGAAGACAAAAGCCTATATAAAAATCATAATATAACTTTATCTTCTTTTAATGTAATAAAACTATGATACCCCCAAGCCTGATTTTGTGTGTGTGTCAATTTAAAAAATGGTTCCTACTTTGAGTCTTTCCACTGCGGGGTCCACCTTAGCCACACACTATCCTCCTGATAATTATGCCTCTTTTTATTTGAAGGGGTTCCTGGTAGCCAGCTTGCAGGCCTGCATTTGGCAAATCTAGCCTTCTTGGATTCACTTTCTGTGAGCTTTTAGACCATATCCCAGTCCTACTCCTGTTACCTTGTCCTTTGGCTATTATTGAATAGGAAATATCTACCATTTCCTTCACAAGTGGCCAACATTGTTAGGAGAAAAGGAAGAATACTGTCCATAAGACTCAATTCCTATTGCTTCCAATTGTATCTTCTCATTCCACATCTGCCCCCTCCACTACTAAAAAAAAAAAAAAAAAAAATCCAAATTTCTTTCCTCCAGGCCTCCATATTTAAAGAACTACCTGTCTCTCGGGGAAGACAGGCATTCTGCTTCCTACCCTCTCTCCCCCAATGTCAAATATAAATCACTGTCACAAATCCAGAAAGCCCAGGAATAACATATGAATTTTAAGAAGTCTTAAAATCAGGTCCTAAACTGTTTATTTTTATTTATTTATTTTTTAGTTTTACAACCTCAGCTGAGAACTGACTAAACCTTTTCAGGCATCCAGCAATTCTGAAAGTGAATCATGTTCAGCCAGTGAGGCATTTTCAGTAAATGCAAGGCATTTTCAGTAAAGGCAAGAATGAGGCATTTTCGGTAAACAGTGTCCATCATATAAAACTCACTGCAGTTTATGAATTTGGGCCACCAGGATGCAAATGCAGCCGTTTCACTCCCTGGATTCAGAGGCTTTTGCACCAATGTGGGTGTGTCTATGGCTCCTTTTCCATCTGTTGTTTGTGTTTTGTTTCTAGCTGTTAATTAGCTTGTTGAACAGCAGGTGTGAGAGAAAGGGATATTTAATTTAGTAATATGTACCACAAACGTCCTCACGATTCTCACCCTAACCAGTTTCACTGTTTGCTGATAGCTTCAATAAACGGGTTTAAGAAGAGAGGTGAAACTGTTGACTAAAATTAAGTTTTTGTAGTACCTGGACTTATCCTACTACCTCAATCCCTAGTAATGAAAGAAAACCTAAAATGTAGTGTAATTCTATATCATTCAGAAGAGCAATTTAATATAATAGAAATCTATACTTGTAAAGTTCCTTTCTTATTGTTCCCCATTATCTATTAGAATGACTTTGCTCTAGTTTTGACAAGGCTTTTTAAAAATTTTTTGTAGAGATGGGGGTCTCACTATGTTGCCCAGGATGGTCTCAAACTCCTGCCCTAAAGTGATCCTCCCACCTCAGCCTCCCAAAGCACTGAGATGACAAGCATGAGCCACCCTGACGAGGCTTTATTTTGAAAGTCATGTTAAAAAATACTTTCTTACACCCTAAAAATTATGGAAAATTAAATATTGACAAAGTTTTGTTTTTAATTTTTAAAAATGTGGGGCATCAAATATGTTAAGCATGCAGATGAAAGGCAGGTGAAAAAAAATTCAGTGTTCCATTTAAAAAACAGGTAGTGATGCTATTAGCTTGACACGGGGGAGACTAAACTACCTTTATTTGCTGGACAACAGCATGGTTGTCAAAACTGGACCCTGGTTTTTTTTTTCCCTTTCAGGACACATACTGTATCATGGGTTCTTTAATTTAGTGTATGGATTAGGTAGGGACATATTTGAAAGCACTAATTCACTCTTGATTGCCAAATTCATAAAGTGAACTGCTTAAGGTTAGATAAGAATGATCTATTTATAAAATCTAGTGCCAAAAATTAAAGTAATTATACTAGAAGTGTGATTTTTATTTCTGATCTTTTTAAAGTCAAGGGATCAGTGATCAAACAATTAAAATGAAGAGTCCATATCTTAAAATAACAAATTCAATTTGTAGGATATTTTCTTTTTTGTTTACTTACTGTATTTCTTGGAATTTTATTTATTAAGCAATAAAAATGGAAGTGAACACAACTGCATAAAAATTTTGGAATACTTCTCTGTATGTTATCATAGTCAAAAGATGTTTTTCAGAATTTGTCTTATGATGCCAAATTATTCCAAAATTTCCTAAATGGTTGATAAACAGAGTAAGAACTGGATTATACATCAGCTCCTGCAGTTTCCAACTGCACATTCCAGTTTTAAAGTATAACCATAATGTATGCTTTCCTCAGAAGGGTGCCTGGCATTTATTTATGATGGTCAATTTTTTTTGTTGTTGTTGAGATGGAGTCTCATTCTGTTGCCCAGGCTGGAGTACAGCGGCGCGATCTCGGCTCACTGCAACCTCTGCTTCCTGGGTTCAAGCAATTCCTGCCTCAGCCTCCTGAGCTGGGATTACAGGTGCCTACCACACATACAGCTAATTTTTGTATCTTTAGTAGAGACAGGGTTTCACCATGTTGGCCAGGCTGGTCTCAAACTCCTGACCTCAGGTGATGCCCGCCTCGGCCTTCCAAAATGCTGGGATTACAGGTGTGAGCCACCGCACCCAGACTATGATGGTCAGTTTTTAAGTATATGCCTGAAAAGTGACATGATCTCGATGAATGCCCTTTTAATTCTAACAACACACCAAGCACAAACTGAGATCTCACTTGGTCCTAAAATAATAAAGCAAGCCCTCTATTTGTAAATAGTTTATACACACAAATTCCTAGCAATTCCATAAAAGAGCTATAAAAAGGAAGTTTTATGCCTAAGCAAAAAAAAAAATTAGTAGAGCTTAATTTCCGCATTTATTCATTGTAACAGCTTTGAAAAAAGTTTCCAAGTTTGTGCTCAGAGAGGGTGCTGAATTTGGAAAGAATAACTAGAATTATTAAAATTAAATATTAACGGTGGATTTTATTAAAATGCCAAAGAATTATCAAAGGTTCTGGTGGTTTCTATAATTGCACAGTTTAAACCATAAGCTGGATTTCTTTCTTCTTTTTTTTTTTTCCTTTTCTATTTTGGTAAGAGGGAAGCAGTTGGGCTATACAAGCTTGTCCTATGATACTTTCATGGCTGTCTTGTCTTTGCTGAACAGACAGGAGCTCTTCTTTTTATCCTTTCTACCTGAGCTGATAATTCTGTCTCCATTTTACTTCCCTTCCTCAACTGCAATAAGGAAGTTGTATTGTTACAACTTCCCTACAATAATGAGGTCAGGTTGCCATGGTCTCAACTGCTCTGAAGGCATTTTATTTTTAACAGGACCAACCACTAACAGTAGAGACTTAAAGTCCTCTGCCTTAACTCTGAGATACAATCCCACCTGTAGTGTCATTTTATTTCCACCTGTGTTATTCATTCATAGCCTAAAAGCTCCTAAATTTCCACCCCTGTTATTCATTCATAGCCTAAAAGCTCCTAAATTTCCACCCCTGTTATTCACTCATAGCCTAAAAGCTCCTAAATTACCAGGAAGAAAGCAAGAGAGTCTGAAAGCTCAGGTCCCTGTTACTCCTCCTCTGTCTAAAGACAGGCTTGGAATCTCACTCTTCTAAACACCACTGGTCACTCTGATAAGCTTAACTTTCCTTTAAAATGAACTTTTAAGTGCTGACAAATGTTTTCTTTTCCATTGACTTTTTATATAACTTCTAAATAACATGTACTCAAGAAGGCATGCATTATTTAACAAGGTACCTGACTCTAGACCAGTATCTGACCCAGAGAAGATACTCAATAAATTTGTTTTGATGCATAAATTTGAAAAAAAATGAAAGAATTGTAAACTGTCTTTAAAATACAGACAAGAAAAGAAAAAGGAAATAACATGGCCCATAACCCATAATGGCAGCAGCCAGAGATAACCAACCGACATTTCAGTATGTACTCTACTAGTCATATAACATCCTAGAAACATACGTAAATCATGATGCATGCATTATTTTTGTGTGTGCTTAATATGTAGTGAATATTTTTCCCATCTACTAAATATTCTTTTGCAATGTCATTTTATGGCCACATAGCATTCCAATAAATCAGTGCAATAGTGTGCTGGTAATTTAACTTTCTTCCCTATTCTTGACCTTTTAGGTTGTCCCCTTTTTGGTATTATTATTATTATTGGTACTGTCAGCTATAAACATTTGTGTGGCTGAATCTTTATGAATATTCACGATGATTTCCTGATGCTAAATTCCAAGAAGCAGAATATTAAGGCTTTTGATTCGTAATCGGCAAAATCTTTCTAGTAATTTAAATCAAATATTAATCTTTCTAGTAATTTAAATCAAATTTTAGGGTAGCTTTAGGTGTGGTGCACGCAGAAATGCTTTACTGGGTCTTAGTTTGTCATTTCCAGTATTATTCACTCCTATCTCTGAATTTACACCTTTGAGGCTCATTGAAGCAGTCATTCTCCCAGGAGCCTGTTGTTACAGAACCCTCAGAGAGCAAGAAACTCTTTCATTAAAAAGAGCTCCATAAGCTTGCAGTGAGATGAGATCGTGCCACTGCACTCCAGCCTGGGCGACAGAGCGAGACTGGCAAAAAAAAAAAAAGCTCCATAGTTATTTGCACCTGTTCTTTCATGACCAGCTGGAGTAGTATACATGTCTCTCAATTCTTTTTCTAATAGCAAGCATATTTTAAAAAGTAAATCTTGTTTTCTTAAGACTTTGTAAATCTTTACTGTACTCATCCTTAATAGGTAAAGTAAAATATGAGTTGAGCCATGTTTACACCACAACAAACAGACACAACCTGGGTTTTCCCATGAATAGAAATTAATTTCAACTTGTGAGAAAGAAACGAATAAAAAGTTAGCCTTAAAAAGCATTTATAGCTATCTATGAATAACTGTCTTTAGAAGACTATTAAATTTTTCTTTAAACGTTTATCACCATTTGGTAAATAAGGTAACAGAATTACTTTTTTTTTTTGAGATGGAGTTTTGCTCTTGTCACACACGCTAGAGTGCAATGGCGCAATCTCGGCTCACTACAAGCTCCGCCTCCTGGGTTCAAGCGATTCTCCTGCCTCAGCCTACCAAGTAGATGGGATTACAAGCACACACCACAATGCCCAGCTAATTTTTTATATTTTCAGTAGAGACGAGGTTTCTCAATGTTGGCCAGACTGGTCTCTAACTCCTGACCTCAAGTGATCCACCCGCCTCGGCCTCCCAAAGTGCTGAGATGACAGGCGTGAGCCACTGCATCCAGCCCAGAATTACTATTTTAAGATGACTAACGAAATGCAATCCTCTACAAATGTAAGTGGACACGAAATACCATGGCTTCTAATTATTCTTGGAAAATATACACATTGGGTTTAAAATGATCACTTGAGTAATGAAACGGTTTGTCCATTTCACTAATAACCACTATAAATTAATGAAGAAAGAATTTATCATCTTGAAGGACTAGTGCCACAATGTCTTACTAATAAGAGATACTCAATATGCTTTATAGGAACTTAGAGAAAGATTTGCAGCATTTTCCAAAACAGAGAGGGGGAATTTAAGAGTGTTGGTGGGCTGGGTGCGGTGGCTCACGCCTGTAATCCCAACACTTTGGGAGGCCGAGGCAGGTGGATCACGAACTCAGGAGATCAAGACCATCCTGGCCAACATGTTGAAACCCCATCTCTACTAAAAATACAAAAATTAGCTGGGCATGGTGGTGTGTGCCTGTACTCCCAGCTACTCAGGAGGCTGAGGCAGGAGAATTGCTTGAACTCAGGAGGCGGAGGTTGCAGTGAGCCAAGATTGTGCCATTGCACTCTAGCCTGGGCAACACAGTGAGACTCCGCAAAAAGAAAAAAAAAAAAAAGTGTTGGTGGATTTTTTGAATACCTATAACAAATGCCCTCTGGAACTAAAAGTATCTGATTCTAAGAGAAAAACAAAGACAAAAACCCACCATACATCTACAATTTCTTTGTTGAAATAGTTTTTGAGACTCCTTTAATAACTTACATCTTAACCCTTATTTTTAACTATATGAATAAATATTTTATGTGAAATTTTGGCAAATTATGAAAAAATTTATTTTTACATTGTGTTTTTCTAAATAGACCTATTTTTAATGTATTCATTGTATTTTTTTATTATACTTTAAGTTCTAGGGTACATGTGCACCACGTGCAGGTTTGATACATAGCTATACATATGCCATGTTGGTTTGCTGCAACCATCAACTCGTCATTTACATTAGGTATTTCTCCTAATGCTATCCCTCCCCCTGCCCCCCACTCCCTGACAGGCCCCAGTGTGTGATGTTCCCTGCCCTGTGTCCAAGTGTTCTCATTGTTCAATTCCCACCTATGAGTGAGAACATGCGGTGTTTGGTTTTCTGTCCTTGCAATAGTTTGCTGAGAATGACGGTTTCCAGCTTCATCCATGTCCCTGCAAAGGACATGAACTCATCCTTTTTTATGGCTGCATAGTATTCCATGGTGTATATGTGCCACATTTTCTTAATCCAGCCTATCATTGATGGGCATTTGGGTTGGTTCCAAGTCTTTGCTATTGTGAATAGTGCCGCAATAAACATACACGTGCATGTGTCTTTATGACAGCATGATTTATAATCCTTTGGCTATATACTCAGTAATGGGATTGCTGGGTCAAATGGTATTTCTAGTTCTAGATCCTTGAGGAATGCCACACTGTCTTCCACATGGTTGAACTAATTTACACTCCCAACAGTGTAAAAGCGTTCCTATTTCTCCACATCCTCTCCAGCATCTGTTCTTTCCTGACTTTTTAATGATTGCCATTCTAACTGGAGTGGGATGGTATCTCATTGTGGTTTTGATTTGCATTTCTCTGATGACCAGTGATGATGAGCATTTTTTAATGTGTCTGTTGGCTGCATAAATGTCTTCTTTGGAGAAGTGTCTGTTCATATCCTTTAGCCACTTTTTGATGGGGTTTTTTTTTCTTGCAAATCTGTTGATGTTCTTTGTAGATTCTGGATATTAGCCCTTTGTCAGATGGGTAGATTGCAAAAATTTTCTCCCATTCTGTAGGTTGCCTGTTCACTCTGATGGTAGTTTCTTTTGCCGTGCAGAAGCTCTTTAGTTTAATTAGACCCCATTTGTCTATTTTGGCTTTTCTTGCCATGCTTGTGGTGTTTTAGACATGAAGTCCTTGTTCATGCCTATGTCCTGAATGGTATTGCCTAGGTTTTCTTCTAGGGTTTTTATGGTTTTAGGAATAGACCTATTTTCATATAAACTTTCATTAAAAATTTGCCATCTTCTAATAATTTGTGTGCAAAGGATTTTTCCATAACATTTACAAGTTCCCAGGATACCACAATGGAGGGTAACTGGAGACTTCTGAATATATACACGGTAGCAAGAAATCCTTGTTTTACCCTCCAATAACACCTACACAATCAGACACTAATATTTAAGATCTATACTGTGGAGGAAACACATTCTCATTACTCAACTTTCACATTTTCACAGCAAATATGCCTCATATTTTCATGTTTTGTATATTATTTAGGATAACCAGATGGTTTTCTGAATCTCTACTGTATGATTTTTTTTTTTAATTTTAGAAACAGGGTCTTGATATATTGCCCAGGCTGGACTTGAACTCCTGGACTGAAGTGACCCTCCAGTCTCAGCCTCCTGAGAATCTAGGATTTACAGGCATGAATCACCATGCCCAGCTCTACCTTAAGAATTTGACCTTATCAGTGATTTTAATTAAAGGAAGAAAGAAGATTCCTGGGGTACCTTTTCAGTTTTAACACATATTACTCTTCCTTCTAAGCTAATCCAATGATCTCTCTTTTTAATCTTGGCCAAGACACCCCTTGGCCACTGTATTAGTCCATTCTCACACTGCTATCAAGAAATACCTAAGACTGGGTAATTTATAAAGAAAATGGCTTTAACTGGCTCGAAGTTCCACAGGCTGTACAAGAAGCATGAGGCTGGCATCTGCTCAGCTTCTGGGGTGGCTTCAGGAACTTACAATCATGGCAGAAGGAAAAGGGGGCACCAGAACTTCATACGGCTGGAGCAGGAGAAAGAGAGAAGGGGGATAGGCTACACACCTTTAAATGACCAGCTCTCATAAGAACACCCTCACTATCACAATGACAACACCAAGGGGGATAGTGCTAAACCATTCATGAGAAACTGCTCTCATGATCCAATCGCCTCCCACCAGGCCCCACCTCCAACACTGACCATTACAATTGAACACGAGATTTGAGTGGGGACACATATCCAAATCACATCAACCATCAATAACGAAGCATTCTACTTCTTCCCTATTTCAAATTCACAATATCATTGTTTTTTGTTTTTGCTTTTTTTTTTTTGAGGCAGAGTCTCATTCTGCCACCCAGGCTGGAGTGCAGGGGTGTGATCTCGGCTCACTGCAGCCTCCACCTCCTGGGTTCAAGCAATTCTCCTGCCTCAGCCTCCTGAGTAGCCAGGATTACAGGTGCCCACTATCACGCTCAGCTAATTCTTGTATTTTCAGTGGAGACAGGGTTTCATCATATTGTCCAGGCTGGTCTTGAACTCCTGACCTCAAGTGATCCACCCACCTTGGCCTCCCAAAGCGCTGGCATTACAGGTGTGAGCCATCACGCCTGGCCTAAAATTCACAATATCTTTTATTGCAATCAAAACTTTCCCCCTCAGAAAATTAGTTATTGGGCTAATTAAATTATATTACTGTTACCTTCTGTTGGTAAGCCGTCAGGTTATTTTTTGAAAGTTTTACTTACAGAGCATATAAATTACCCTTGGTTATTCTCAGCTGTGATTGAGTTCTGTGAAAGCATAGTACCCTAGTACCCTGGGATATCTCTACATGTGAAATTATTCAAATGTCTCCCTTACTTTTTTTTTTTTTTTTTGAGACAGGCTCTGTTGCCCATGCTGCAGTGCAGTGGCACAATTATGGCTCATTTCAGCCTTGACCTCCTGGGCTCAAGTGATCCTCCCACCTCAGCCTCCCAGGTAGCTGGGACTACAGGCACACACCACCATGTCCAGCTAATTTTTGTATTTTTTAGAGACGGGGTTTCGCCGTGTTGCCCAGGCTGGTCTCGAACTCCATGGCTCAAGGGATCTGCCTGCCTTGGCCTCCCAAAATGCTGGAATTACAGGCATGAGCCACCATGCCTGGCTATCCTTTCTTATCACTTTTAAGGTGCTGATGACTCACACACAATAGAGCCCAACCTTCTCAAAACTGTAATTCTCTACCAAATACAGTCACTAGGAGGTACCAGCTTGGTTAAATCAGAATACATCTTCATTTACTCATTCATTTATTTTAGAGAGAGGGTCTTGTTCTGTCACCCAGGCTGGAGTGCAGTGGCACAATCATAGCTCACTGCACTCTCAAACTCCTGGGCTCAAACAATCCTCCTGCTTCAGCCTCCTGAGTAGCTAGGACTATAGGTGTTACAGGTGCACAACACACACCCAGCTTATTTTTTAATTTTTATTTTTTGCTCTCCACATGTGCCTTCTGAATCACTTAATAGTAACTTTGTTGAAGAGATAAATTAACAGTACTAGCTTAGAGTCCCAGCTGTATCTCACTTATAAATAAGGGTCTGCTTTATCTTATTGTCACCACTGAGATGCTAATACTATTCTCTAGGGCAGAGATTCTCAACCAGGGCATTGTAACCCCTAGGGGACATTTGGCAGTGTCTGGAGTAAAAACGTTAAGTGGGGTGCTGGTTGTTAGTAGCACCTAGTGGGTAGAGGCCAGCATGTTATTAAGCCTCCTATAATGCCAAGATAGCCCCCCACAACAAAGAATTATCCTGTTCAAGATGTTAATAGTACCAAGGTTGAGAAATCCTGCTTTAAGGAAATAAAAGTAGATTGAAAAATTATTCCCGTTTAAACTTCGGGGTTACCATCCGGGCAGTGCAGAGCTCTGACTTTGAGCTTCATAATAGGAAGATAAGTTGCCAAGCAGAAGCCCTGTGATGGGAGTACCCCAATATATTCTCATAAAGGAATTTAGTCAACATGGACCCACTGGTGTGTAGACCAGGTTCCAGGGAATAGTGTAACCATCAACTTGATAGTGTTCATAGCTAGTGAGAAACCCATCCTTCACGTTTAATTTGACTGCATAGAAAATTTGTGAGTTGAATGGAGAATAAAATAGACAACAGATGTTAACCAAACCATCTAAATAACTTTACGAATAGCCTTTCTTGATCGATTTTTAAAATCTCTTCTTGTTGGGGAAGTGTTGGGCTTGGAGGATGAAGTGCAATAAATACCTTCCGTGTTGTGACATATAAGAAAACCTCTAGCCATTTTTAGATTTTAATCATCTTACCCACATTACAGATGTAGGCTGTTTGGCAGAGGCTCAGAGGAAAGAGTGTTATCAGTCCTCAGCCATCTAATTACTTACCTTAGAGAAAATTAGGCAATGTTCCAAGTCTACAGAAGACTCATGTTCTGTTGGGAGTTACTAATTACAAGCAGACCTAAGAAGCATTAATTTGTTTTGGTAATCATGCCAGGGTGTATATAGCTCTGCCAAATAATACGGGAAGTAAAGACTGGGGAGAAGGTGAGCTGCTCGCCTCAGCTGGTAAAAGAGGGATTAAAACCAGATGGCCTCAATTCGTCTCTTTTAGCCAAGCTCTAAACAAAATATTCCTTGTGCTGAAGTTTAAATTAAATTGATGCCTGACTGCCCCACTCCTAATAATCTAAAATAATTCTGTCTTTTAAAAATAATTTCCTGTTTTGCTGTTTTTTTTAAGAACTTGAGATAGGCTGGGTGTGGTGGCTCATGCCTCTAATCCCAGCACTTTGGGAGGCCAAGGTGGGCAGATCACCTGAGGTCAGGAGTTTGAGACCAGCCTGGCCAAAACAGTGAAACCCCCACCTCTACTAAAAATACAAAAATTAGCCAGGCATAGTGGTGCGTGCCTGTAGTTCCAGCTACTCAGGAGGCTGAGGCAGGAGAATTGCTTGAACCCAGGAGGTGGAGGCTGTGGTGAGCCGAGATCGCACCACTGCACTCCAGCCTTGGCAACAGAGCGAGATTCTGTCTCAAAAAACAAAACAAAAAAAGAACTTGAGATAGTTAAAAGTTACTCTGACACACACCCACACCCACATCCATTTGCGTACACAAGAAAAAAGACTGTGAGAAAATAAACCAGAATGGAAACAGTAGTTATGTCTGGATGGTGGGATCATAGGGGATTTCTATTTTCTTTTTATATTTCTATGATGTTTCCACAATTTTTACAATTAAGCACAGATAATTTTTATAATCAGAAAACAACCTGAAATAGGGCAGTTATTTATACCCATTCTGTCTTTCTATCCCATTCTCTAATTATAATTCACTTCTACCTACACTGATATCCTTCTAAAAAAAAATGGACTTTTGCTCTTGTTGCCCAGGTTGGAGTGCAATGGTATGATCTCGGCTCTTTGTAACCTCTGTCTCCTGGGTTCAAGTGATTCTCCTGCCTCAGCCTCCCGAGTAGCTGGGATTACAGGTGCCCACCACCATGCCCATCTAATTTTGTATTTTTAGTAGAAACAGGGTTTCACCATGTTGGCCAGGCTGGTCATGAACTCCTCACCTCAGGTGATCCACCCTCCTTGGCCTCCCAAAGTGCTGGGATTACAGGCCGGAGCCACTGTGCCTGGCCCACTGATCTCCTTTAAATATTGATATGGCTATTTATGCTGGAAAAGGTAAATAACCAGCCATAATACTAATCAAATCAAAATCTCACCCATTATTACCTACTTATATAATTGGCTGTGTTGCATGTTGCTAATGGGTAACATGTTAACCTTTTATTCAAGAACTAATTTATCAAAGGACTTCTCACATTGTATCTCTAAGGATAAGTACACATATTCTTATATTCTGGCAAGGTACAGTTCAAAGAAAAAGACAAAGGAGGAGAATAGATATCAGGTCACAACCTGGCCGGTTATAGGACATATTGAAGATACAAGGCTCAAACCTTGAAAAATATCTGAAATATAATTACATTTATGCTCAATGTCTAAACTTATATGTAATGTAAACACTTAATGAAATTCTTAGGTTGGTAATATAGAATACTTGATGTTGGCCCATGTGAAGCACAAATATTTCTATAGTATGTGAAATAACATAAGCTTACCTAAATTTATGATCAACAAAGAACTGAGAGAAACGGTTTGTTTTGCTATAATACTAAGAAAACTCAAGCAACTGAACTTATGCATATGAAAGCAGGAGTTGATAACTCAACTTCCAAGAAAAAAAAAATCATCAACTATTTTAGGTTCAAAGGCAGAGCCATACCATACATTTACAGATGTCACAATTGAAAGGAAACATGTCCCCTTAAAATTAAAGTCTATATAGTTAAACAAAAGACAATAAAGTGCCTGTAGAAGCACAAAATAAAGAAATTCCCTGTACATACCACTCAGCTAGTGAGGCTGTCTTGATATTAGCCAGTAAGTGAGAAATAACTTATGCTCACAGTGATCCTGGTAGCAGGTAAGTGATCTCGTCCACTAGCTATTTCCAGTTCCAACTTGTTAACCACTGGGGAATTCCTGTTTGATTTATGACACTTTTCTGATGAGTATAAGGCCATGAGAATATTTGCAGGGTTCTTTTAGAATAATAATCCTAGTAACTCTTTGGCTAAAGCACCATTTGCAGACTAGTTTCTGTATGGATGCCATGGTAGTGAATGTTTAGAGGCCATAGAATATGGGAGAGATATGGTCCCAGGTGGCATTAGCCCAAGGTAAATTGAGGAAAAGAGGCAGTTATTTGGACCAATAGGCTCTCATCCATTCCATGCTCTTACACTGGCCTGTAGCTGCTCAAATCTCCCTCACAGAGCAAAACTTACCTGTTCTATTTCTCATTCTCTAAAGCCCTTTGCTCTCCCTGAGCTGAGACCTGTGATGGATTTCTAACCTATAACACTGTAAGATAATGAATTTGTGTTCTTTTAACCTGCTCAATTTATGGCAATTTATTATGGCAGCAATGGAACACTAACACACACATTGTAGTTCTAATTTGCATTTCCTTGATGACTATTAAAGCTGAATACTTTTTTCACATGTTTATAAATACTTGGACATCCTCTTGTGAAGTGCCTGTTCAAGTTTTTTGCCCATTTTTCTATTGGGTTATCTATTTTTTTCTTATTGGCTTTTAAGGTTTCTTTATATGTTCTGTAGGAGTTCTTCATATATTCTGGATACAAGACCTTTTTCATATATATGTATTGCACTCTGAAGCTTGCCTTTGTTCTCTCTTAATGGTGCCTTTTAATGGACAAAGCTTTTAACGTTAATAGAGTCCAATATATCCAGTTATTCCTTTTGGTTCATTAATTTTGCATCTTATTAAAAAATCTTTTTCTGTGAGTCATGAAGATGTTCTCTTACGCTTACTTCTAAAAACATTATTGTTGTACCTTTCACGTATAGATCTGCAATCCATCTTGAATTCAGTTTTGTATATGGTAAAAGAATATTCATTTTCCTCCATATACATATTTATTAACCTAGCACTATTTGGTGAAAAGATAATTTTCTCTACTGAACTACTATGCACCTTTATCATTAATCAGGATACCACATATGTGTGGATCCATTTTTCAACTCCCTATTCTGTTCTTTTGATTAGTTCATCTATGTTTGCCCTAATACCATACTGTTTTTCTCAACTCTTTATTCTGTTCTTTTGATGAGTTCATCTATCTTTGCTCTAATACCATACTGTTTTCATTACTATAGCTTTTTTGTTGTTGGGACAGGGTCTTGCTATGTCACCAGGCTGGAGTACAGGAGTGCTATCATAGCTCACTGTAACCTCTAACTCCTGGGCTCAAGTGATCCTCTCACCTCAGCTCCAGAGTAAGTAGGACTACAGATGTGCCACCATGCCTGGCTAATTTTAAATTCTTTTCTAGAGACAGGGTCTCACTGTATTGCCCAGGCTGGCCTCAATTGATACTCCTGCCTCAGCCTCCCAAAGTGCTGGGACATTACTATAGTTTTGTAACAGATTTTTTATATCTGGAAGTCTAAGTCCCCAGGTTGTTCTTTTTCAAGATTGCCTCATATATTCTTTACCCTTTGCATGTCTGTATAAAATTTAAAATCAGCTTTTCAATTTACACACAAAAAAAAAACCCTGCTGGGATTTTGATGAATCTGTAAATGAGTTTCAGAAGAGTTGTTATTTTCACAATCTTTCAATTTATAGAAATAATTATGTTTTTCTACGTATTGAAACAGAGTTACTTTTTCTCCATAATGTATTATAGTTTTATGGTAAGGGCATTTAATACTTTTTATGCTGTTGAAAATTGTAATTTTTTGTAAGTGATATCTTTTTAAAATTTCATTTTCTATTTGATGTTGCTGGGATGTAGAAAATTGATTTTTAGAATATTAACCTTGTATATGCAAAGGGCAAAGTCATTTATTTAGGACATCTTTAATTTTTCTCAATAATGTTTTATAGTTTTAATGGAAATAACATTTTATATAATATTTTAGATGCTAGTAAAAATGATAATATTTTGTAAATGGTATTTTAAAAATTTTTAGTTAAATTTGTTTTTCTTGCTGGTATATAAAATATAGTTGCCTTTTGTATAATGACCTTATACCCTTATCAATCCATCTTGAATTGAGTTTTGTGTAAGATATGAAGTAGAAGGAAAGATTTATTTCTCCTATATGCATATTAAATTAACCTACCACCTATCTTAACATCTGTAACTTAATTACATCTGCAAAATCTCTTCTGCCATGTAAGGTAACATATTCACAGGTTCTAGAGTGTGGACATTATTGGCGGGCCATTCTGTCCACCACACTTTTATTTTTGTCTTCCTCTATTGCACCAGCTAGGACTCTCAGTCCAATACTGAAGAGAAAGGAAGATGGCAGGCATATTTGTCTTGTTCCTACTATAAGGAAAAAAAGCTTTTAATATTTTACCATTTAGTATAATGTTTGCCACAGATATTTTGCAGATGTTCTTTATCAGATTAATGATGTTCCTTTCTACTCCTAGTTAGCTAAGAATTTATCACAAATAGGTATTGAGCTTTACTAAATACTTGCATTGATTGAAATGTTTATCTGATCTTTTTCTATTAATATGGTAAAATACCTTAATTTTCTAATACTGAGCTACCCTTGCATTCCCACTTAGCTGTTACGTATTATCTTTTTGAAGATATATTGTTGCACTTAATTTGCCAATATTTGGTTTAGAATTGTCAGTACTTTTTCATGGAAGTTTTCAGTCTAAAATACATACTTTTTTTTGCTTCTACCTTGGGGAATATAAGCACTGTTTTTGAATTTTTTTTTAAATTAAGAGATCTTTATTCTCCAGAACGTTATAATCTTCTGAAACTTGTCCATATTGATCCAACCATATAACAGCTCTTTTTGCTTCTACCTAAAATTTTCTGACCAGGTATGGTGGCTCTTATCTGTAATCTCAGCACTTTGGGAAGCCAAGGCCAGGAGTTTGAGACAAGCCTGGGCAATACAGCAAGATCCTGTCACTACACAAAATTTTTAAAAGTTAGCCAGGCATGGCGGCACATGCCTGTAATCCCAGATACTCTGGAGGCTGAGGTGGGAGGATCGCTTGAATCCAGGGTTCAAAGGCTGCAGTGAGCTATGATTGCTCTACTGCACTCTAGCCTGGGTGATAGAGTCAGACTCTGTCTCAAAAATCATAAAAAATAAAAATTAAGAAATTAAAAATAAAATAATTTTTTGATGATTTCTTTGTCTGAATAATGGAAATATGTCTAGGGGTTGGCAGTCTTATAGAACACACACATTTCCAACAGAATAATCCATTTTCATTTATTTCCTGCATTTCTGCCAGCTCACAGTATATGCTAAATCTGTCAAGATAGGGCTGGATCTATTTTATAGTAAGCAATACCCGGTATACTGTATGTTCTTAATAAATACACAATAACATTAAAAATGAAACCACCAGATGGTGCCACTGTAGGTAATAGTCAGCTTGTTAATTCCAACAGTAAAGAATGTTTTCTTTTAAGCACTATGTGAAAAAAATTTATTGAGATTGCCATTACTGCACATACTAATAATCATCTACTGCTTCACTCCATGCCTGACACCGCAGGTCCCCAAAGTCACCAAATGTTCAAATCAATATTGCTTGAAGTTAGAAAAGCACTGGAGTTGAATTGGAGGATTCACAGAGGTGTTCTCCCCGCATTTAGGCTGTGAATCTTTTTTTTTTTTTTTTAGCAGTGACTTGTTACTGCTCTGTGTTCCACGAATTAAAGCCTTTTTAAATAGAGAAGGGACGTTATACAAGATGAGGAAAAAATAATAGATAAGTTTAAGAAGATCAGAAACTTATAGTTGATGTCAGCTGTCCTAATTTTTCACCTTCCAGAGCATTATGAGTTCACTGAAACAATGTGAATGGTATCTATAAGAGCTTTGACTATTAGAGTCTTGATATAAGTCTGAGGCCTAATCACTACTACAAGTCTGTATCCAAGATAAAAAGGAAGCAGGTCTCCTGCATTTCATTCTATTTAAAATGCATTTAGTCTCCTGCCCATTATCCACATTTGTTAATAACAGTTCTCATCTGAGGGCTAACTCAGTTGAAGTCCTGCACTGCAAAATACTTGACTGCATTATGTGACAGGCACATTGGAATGGTGACAAGCAGCCAACCCTATAAAATACTCCAGAATGATGGGTGTTACATCTGATCAATTCCACTTGCTAAGCATATACAGTTCTTGCACATTATCAGGAAAAACTATAATACTGGCCTCACGTTTCCATGGTGACTTGTGAGAGCTATTCTTAAATTTAAGAGTTACCTCTTTTAATCAACAATAATTTTCATCTAGATGATATTCCCAGGCTACCCTGAATTATATTATCATGGTGGTAATTTACTTTCTGTCTCAGCTCAAGGTAAAATTTATTTGCCTAGGGCCAGAGAGAGTAGAGGGGTAGGGGTGGGTTGGAAGGGCATGTAGCAGCTGAGGGACATGGGAATGATAAAAATTGCTTAAAAAGGAAACAAAGCAGGTAACAGATTTGAATACAAAAAAGTATTAACTTTTCAATAATTTTAAAAAATTTGCAATGGAAAAAGTACATTTTTCTTACCTGCTCTTTGTCCTCACAAAAGCTGTACAAATCAACATAAATATGCTTTGGGACAGCATTTTTAATGTTAAATTACAGCATAAATTTCTCACTTTAAGCATCAATTAACATTTTAGTGATTCTAGCCCAGTCAATAAAATATATAACTTTAAAGAAAATTCCTTCTGATCCAATGACAGCTAATCTTGTTGGGATTCTGAAACACTAGCTAAAGACCACAAAGACTACTTCTGGCTAGTGGACATTAAAAGAAGCAGCACAGATTCAAGTAAGTAGGTAAAGAAAGCTGTTATTATTTTAAGCAAAATTAAAACAGATGGGAGAGACAGACACACATGTATTCAGATATGCGCCTGCCTCACATTTAATCTTTTATGAATGGCTGCTCCCAGATGGTGATGTGATTCAGCAATGCAATTTTAGATACACCATCTATTTTCCTTACTTCAATGTACTGTGTCAATTACAACTTTTCCACTTAGTGGCTGATGCAACTATCATCAAAAGAAAAATAAACCATCATGAAAACAGGTTCTCTGATATTTTGAAAACAAGGTGATATTCAACTTGTCAAACCAAGTCCAGACATTTCTCTACACTCTCCATCCTTCAATTCGTTACAGGTTTGGTACTTCTATTCCACATTCACACAAATGGTGAGGTAATGAAACAAGAGACCAACATAACAAACACATTATGCTGATGAGTGTTTGTGAATCTCTCACTAACTGACCCCAGAATGGGACATGCTGTCCCCTAAAGTCTCACAGCGTGTCACCTGTACCTCTTCTAGGACATCATGTTTTATCTTGGATAATGATAAGAATAATAGAAATACAGAATTCTAACAGAGCAACTACTGTATCTTGTCATAGTTATTAACATGCCAACTCCCACTGAGATAGTAAGCTCCCAGATATAGCAGCTTCTTCATCTTTTTAGATCTGGCACATAGCAGTATCCAGCAGATAGAGAAATCAATTAAGATACATTAAATGAATACATAATAACAGTTGCCACTTGTACCTATCATATGCCAGGCACTGTGCTAGATACTTTACTTACATTCCTTTCCTTCCCAGTTTTATTGAGGAGTAACTGACAAGAAAAAATTGCATGTATTTAAGGTGTACAATGTGAGGCTTTGATATATGTGTACATTGTGAAATGATTACCACAAACAAACTAATTAATATCCTAATATCCGTCACCTCAGATAGTTACCTTGTGTGTGTGCGGTGAGAACACTTTCTACTCTCAGCAAATTTCAAGAATACAATGCAGTATTATTAACTATAGTCCTCATGCTGTACGTTAGATCTTCAGAACTTATTCATTCTGCAAACGGAAACTTCATATTCTTTGACCAACATCTCCCCATTTCCCCCTAGACCTCAGCTCCTGGCAACCCCCATTCTACTCTCTGTTTTTATGAGTTCAACTTTTTTAGATTCCACAGGTAAAGTCAGTTCATGCAGTATTTGTCTGACTGGCTTATTTCACTTAGTGTAACGTCTTCCAGGTCGTACATGTTGTTATAAATGGCAGGATTCCCTTCTGTTTTAAAGCTGAATGACTTCCCAGTCTCTGTGTGTCTCTGTGTGTGTACCGCAGTATCCATCTATCAATGAACACTTAGGTTGCTTCTACAGCTTGGCTATTGTGAATAGTGCTGCAGTGAACATGAGAGTGTAGATACGTCTTTGAGATACTGATTTCATTTCCTTTAGATATATATCTGGAAGATATGTATCTGGACTATATGGTAGTCCTATTTTTAATTTTTTAGGATTTACTTACATTCTTCCACTAATGCTATAAACAACCTAACCCCCGTTTGACAGATTAGACAAGCTATGAAGGCTCATGGAAGTGAAGTAAAATGCTTACAGATCTTGTAGCTAGGTAATTGTGGGGCTGGCATTCCAAACCAGACCTGTATAATGTGGAAGTCTTTGAGCTTTCAAGCATATCACACAGCCCCTCCTCTGGCCGAACTCCCATAAGCTCAGGTCTGAGTTGTCGGGTGGGGACTGCAGGAGGTGGTAGAGTGCAGACCCCATACCCGGGCAGTGACACTGGCAGCCCCTGCACTGTCATGAGTGGGCAGCGATTGGAGCAGTGTCTTTACTGGACACCTGTGACCAAACAGCCTTTGGGGTGTAAACAGTAATGGAAGATACCACTACAGAAAGTAAAAACAGGAGAAGAAGAAAATAGTGGGTGTCCTGTGTTCACCATGAGAAGTGCGTAGAGCTCATGGGAAACATGCTGAAAGCCCTTCCGAAGGAATTGGAGCAGAGCCAGAGCTCCTGCAGAATATGGGGGCAGGGCCAAAGAAATAACTGGGGAGTAGTTATTATAATCCTGTTATTGCCCTATGGAGAACTAGGAAATGTGGGTGATAAGTCAATATTAATGTGGCATATTTTTTACCTCCCAAACTAGGTTATAATCTCCTTGAAAGTAATATCCATGCCTTTTTTTTTTTTTCTGAGGCAGAGTCTCACTCTATTGTCCAGGCTGGAGTGCAATGGTACAATCTTGGCTCACTGCAACCTCTGCCTTCCAGATTCAAGCAATTCTCCTGCCTCAGCTTCCCAAGTAGCTGGGATTACAGGCATGCGCCACCACTCCCAGCTAATTTTTGTATTTTTAGTAGAGATGGGGTTTCACCATGTTGGTCAGGCTGGTCTTGAACACCTGACCTCGGGTGATCCACCCGCCTCGGCCTCCCAAAGTGCTTGGATTATAGGCGTGAGCCACCACACCCTCCCATGCCTAATATTATTTCTGTGTCAGCCATGGTTCCTAGCACATTTCCCTATAATCCACTCTGTAACTTCAGAAAGCAGCCATCCTAAATTAGGTAGCTAATGTAAGAGAAGCCACACCTTGGAAGTTGTCCTAATGGTCTGCCAGGTCAGTTTTAATGGAGCCTAGGAAAAACAGCACCAGTGGTTAGGGTTTCTCTAGCCCTATCCAGAGGACAGGACTCCTGGATGGGTCACCAAAGGTATTCTGATTGGTATGGCACTGGGTATTGAATAAGAGAGGATACATGAGGTTATCAGAGCTTAAGCGCATTGATTTTTACTCAATTTCTTTGATTTTAATTCTATACTCAGGAAGACAACATCCGATCTTTATTCAGTTTATAAAATTGGATACCCTACTTAGAAGGGACAGTGGGTGCAGCCCACAGAGCATGAGCCCAAGCAGGGCGAGGCATCGCCTCACCCGGGAAGCGCAAGGGGT
Source organism: Homo sapiens (assembly GCF_000001405.40). Taxonomy (NCBI): domain Eukaryota; kingdom Metazoa; phylum Chordata; class Mammalia; order Primates; family Hominidae; genus Homo; species Homo sapiens. Next base: position 197,062,562 of record NC_000002.12, read on the forward strand.
CAGGGAATTCCCTTTCCTACCCAAGGGAAGCACCTGGAAAATCGGGTCACTCCCACCCTAATACTGCACTTTTCCAACAGTCTTAGCAAATGGCACACCAGGAGATTATATCCTGCACCTGGCTCAGAAGACCCCATGCCCACAAAGCCTCACTCATTGCTAGCATAGCAGTCTAAGATTGAACTGCAAGGTGGCAGCAAGGCTGGGGGAGGGGCGCCTGCCATTACTGAGGCTTGAGTAGGTAAACAAAACAGCCAGGAAGCTCGAACTGGGTGGAGCCCACCACAGCTCAAGGAGGCCTGCCTGCCTCTGTAGACTCCACCTCTGGGGGCAGGGCAAAGCCAAACAAAAGGCAGCAGAAACCTCTGCAGACTTAAATGTCCCTGTCTGACAGCTTTGAAGAGAGTAGTGGTTCTCCCAGCACACAGCTGGAGATCTGAGAATGGACAGACTGCCTCCTCAAGTGGGTCCCTGACCCCCGAGTAGCCTAACTGGGAGGCACCCTCCAGTAGGGGCCGACTGACACCTCATGCGCCTGGGTATCCCTCTGAGACGAAGCTTCCAGAGGAACAATCAGGCAGCAACATTTGCTGTTCAGCAATATTCACTGTTCTGCAGCCCAGGCAAACAGGGGCTGGAGTGGACCTCCAGCAAACTCCAACAGACCTGCAGCTGAAGGTCCTGACTGTTAGAAGGAAAACTAACAAACAGAAAGGACATCCACACCAAAACCCCATCTGTACGTCACCATCATCAAAGACTAAAGGTAGATAAAACCACAAAGATGGGGAAAAAACAGAGCAGAAAAGCTGAAAATTCTAAAAATCAGAGCGTCTCTCCCCCTCCAAAGGAACGCAGCTCCTCGCCAGCAACAGAACAAAGCTGGACGGAGAACGACTTTGACGAGTTGAGAGAAGAAGGCTTCAGATGATCAAACTTCTCCCAGCTAAAGGAGGAAGTTCGAACCCATCGCAAAGAAGCTAAAAACCTTGAAAAAAGATTAGACGAACGGCTAACTGGAAAAACCAGTGTAGAGAAGTCTTTAAATGACCTGATGGAGCTGAAAACCATGGCACAAGAACTACGTGATGAATGCACAAGCTTCAGTAGCCGATTCGATCAACTGGAAGAAACAGTATCAGCGATTGAAGATCAAATGAATGAAATGAAACAAGAAGAGAAGTTTAGAGAAAAAAGAGTAAAAAGAAACGAACAAAGCCTCCAAGAAATATGGGACTATGTGAAAAGACCAAATCTACGTCTGATTGGTGTACCTGAAAGTGACAGGGAGAATGGAACCAAGTTGGAAAACACTGCAGGATATTATCCAGGAGAACTTCCCCAATCTAGCAAGGCAGGCCAACATTCAAATTCAGGAAATACAGAGAACGCCACAAAGATACTCCTCGAGAAGAGCAACTCCAAGACACATAATTGTCAGATTCACCAAAGATGAAATGAAGGAAAAAATGTTAAGGGCAGTCAGAGAGAAACGTCGGGTTACCCTCAAAGGGAAGCCCATCAGACTAACAGCTGATCTCTTGGCAGAAACTCTACAAGCCAGAAGAAAGTGGGGACCAATATTCAACATTCTTAAAGAAAAGAATCTTCAACCCAGAACTTCATATCCAGCCAAACTAAGCTTCATAAGTGAAGGAGAAATAAAATCCTTTACAGACAAGCAAATGCTGAGAGATTTTGTCACCACCAGGCCTGCCCTACAAGAGCTCCTGAAGGAAGCACTAAACATGGAAAGGAACAACCGGTACCAGCCACTGCAAAAACATGACAAATTGTAAAGACCATCAATGCTAGGAAGAAACTGCATCGACTAACGAGCAAAATAACCAGCTAACATCATAATGACAGGATCAAATTCACACATAACAATATTAAGCTTAAACGTAAATGGGCTAAATGCTCCAATTAAAAGACAGAGACTGGCAAATTGGATAAAGAGTCAAGATCCATCAGGGTGCTGTATTCAGGAGACTCATCTCATGTGCAGAGACACACACAGGCTCAAAATAAAGGGATGGAGGAAGATCTACCAAGAAAATGGAAAACAAAAAAAAGGCAGGGGTTGCAATCCTAGTCTTGGATAAAACAGACTTTAAACCAACAAAGATCAAAAGAGACAAAGAAGGCCATTACATAATGGTAAAGGGATCAATTCAACAAGAAGAGCTAACTATCCTAAATATATATGCACCCAATACAGGAGCACCCAGATTCACAAAGCAAGTCCTTAGAGATCTGCAAAGAGACTTAGACTCCCACACAACAATAATGGGAGACTTTAACACCCCACTGTTAACATTAGACAGATCAACGAGACAGAAAGTTAAAAAGGATATCCAGGAATTGAACTCAGCTCTGCACCAAGCAGACCTAATAGACATCTACAGAACTCTCCACCCCAAATCAACAGAATATACATTTTTCTCAGCACCACATCGCACTTATTCCAAAATTGACCACATAGTTGGAAGTAAAGCACTCCTCAGCAAATGTAAAAGAACAGAAATTCCATCAAACTGTCTCTCAGACCATAATGCAATCAAACTAGGACTCAGGATTAAGAAACCCACTCAAAACCACTCAACTACATGGAAACTGAACAACCTGCTCCTGAATGACTACTGGGTACATAACGAAATGAAGGCAGAAATAAAGATGTTCTTTGAAACCAATGAGAACAAAGACACAACATACCAGAATCTCTGGGACACATTTAAAGCAGTGTGTAGAGGGAAATTTATAGCACTAAATACCCACAAGAGAAAGCAGGAAAGATCTAAAATTGACTAACATCACAGTTAAAAGAACTAGAGAAGCAAGAGCAAACACATTCAAAAGCTAGCAGAAGGCAAGAAATAACTAAGATCAGAGCAGAACTGAAGGAGATAGAGACATAAAAAATCCCTTCAAAAAATCAATGAATCCAGGAGCTGGTTTTTTGAAAAGATAACACAATTGATAGACCGCTAGCAAGACTAATAAAGAAGAAAAGAGAGAAGAATCAAATAGATGAAATAAAAAATGATAAAGGGGATATCACCACCAATCCCACAGAAATACAAACTATCATCAGAGAACACTATAAACACCTCTACGCAAATAAACTAGAAAATCTAGAAGAAATGGATAAATTCCTGGACATATACACCCTCCCAAGACTAAACCAGGAAGAAGTTGAATCCATGACTGAACTCTGAAATCAAGGCAACAATTAATAGCCTACCAACCAAAAAAAGTCCAGGACCAGATGGATTCACAGCTGAATTCTACCAGAGGTACAAGGAGGAGCTGGTACCATTCCTTCTGAAACTGTTCCAATCAACAGAAAAAGAAGGAATCCTCCCTAACTCATTTTACGAGGCCAGCATCATCCTGATACCAAAGCCTGGCAGAGACACAACAAAAAAAGAGAATTTTAGACCAATATCCCTGACAAACATCAATGTAAAAATCCTCAATAAAACACTGGCAAACCGAATCCAGCAGCACATCAAAAAGCTTATTCACGATGATCAAGTGGGCTTCATCCCTGGGATGCAAGGCTGGTTCAGTATACACAAATCAATAAACATAATCCAGCATATAAACAGAACTAAAGACAAAAACCACATGATTATCTCAATAGATGCAGAAATGGCCTTTGACAAAATTCAACAGACCTTCATGCTAAAAACTCTCAATAAATTAGGTATTGATGGGACATATCTCAAAATATTAAGAGCTATTTATGACAAACCCACAGCCAATATCATACTGAATGGGCAAAAACTGGAAGTATTCCCTTTGAAAACTGGCACAAGACAGGGATGCCCTCTCTCACCACTCCTATTCAACACAGTGTTGGAAGTTCTGGCCAGGGCAATCAGGCAGGAGAAAGAAATAAAGGGTATTCAATTAGGAAAACAGGAAGTCAAATTGTCTCTGTTTGCAGATAACATGATTGTATATTTAGAAAACCCCATCGTCTCAGCCCAAACTCTCCTTAAGCTGATAAGCAACTTCAGCAAAGTCTCAGGATACAACATCAATGTGCAAAAATCACAAGCATTCTTATACACCAATAACAGACAAACAGAGAGCCAAATCATGACTGAACTCCCATTCACAATTGGAGAATAAAACACCTAGGAATCCAACTTACAAGGGATGTGAAGGACCTCTTCAAGCAGAACTACAAACCACTGCTCAATGAAATAAAAAAGGACACAAACAAATGGAAGAACATTCCATGCTCATGGGTAGGAAGAATCAATATCGTGAAAATGGCCATAATGCCCAAGGTAATTTATAGATTCAATGCCATCCCCATCAAGCTACCAATGACTTTCTTCACAGAATTGGTAAAAACTACTTTAAAGTTCACATGGAACCAAAAAAGAGCCCGCGTTGCCAAGACAATCCTAAGCCAAAAGAACAAAGCTGGAGGCATCATGCTACCTGACTTCAAACTATACTACAAGGCTACAGTAACCAAAACAGCATGGTACTGGTACCAAAACAGAGATACAGACCAATGGAACAGAACAGAGCCCTCAGAAATAATACCACACATCTACAACTATCTGATCTTTGACAAACCTGACAAAAACAAGCAATGGGGAAAGGATTCCCTATTTAATAAATGGTGCTGGGAAAACTGGCTAGCCATATGTAGAAAGCTGAAACTGGATCCCTTCCTTACATCTTATACAAAAATTAATTCAAGATGGATTAAAGACTTAAATGTTAGACCTAACACCTAAAAACCCTAGAAGAAAACCTAGGCAATGCCATTCAGGACATAGGCCTGGGCAAGGACTTCATGTCTAAAACACCAAAAGCACCATCAGAGTGAACAGGCAACCTACAACATGGGAGAAAATTTTCGCAACCTACTCATCTGACAAAGGGCTAATATCCAGAATCTACAATGAACTCAAACAAATTTACAAGAAAAAAACAAACAACCCCATCAAAAAGTGGGCGAAGGACATGAACAGACACTTCTCAAAAGAAGACATTTATGCAGCCAAAAAACACATGAAGAAATGCTCATCATCACTGGCCATCAGAGAAATGCAAATCAAAACCACTATGAGATATCATCTCACACCAGTTAGAATGGCAATCATTAAAAAGTCAGGAAACAACAGGTGCTGGAGAGGATGTGGAGAAATAGGAACACTTTTACACTGTTGGTGGGACTGTAAACTAGTTCAACCATTGTGGAAGTCAGTGTGGCGATTCCTCAGGGATCTAGAACTAGAAATACCATTTGACCCAGCCATCCCATTACTGGGTATATACCCAAAGGACTATAAATCATGCTGCTATAAAGACACATGCACACGTATGTTTATTGTGGCACTATTCACAACAGCAAAGACTTGGAACCAACCCAAATGTCCGACAATGATAGACTGGATTAAGAAAATGTGGCACATATACACCATGGAATACTATGCAGCCATAAAAAATGATGAGTTCATATCCTTTGTAGGGACATGGATGAAATTGGAAACCATCATTCTCAGTAAACTATCGCAAGAACAAAAAACCAAACACCGCATATTCTCACTCATAGGTGGGAATTGAACAATGAGATCACATGGACACAGGAAGGGGAATATCACACTCTGGGGACTGTGGTGGGGTCGGGGGAGGGGGGAGGGATAGCATTGGGAGATATACCTAATGCTAGATGACACATTAGTGGGTGCAGCGCACCAGCATGGCACATGTATACATATGTAACTAACCTGCACAATGTGCACATGTACCCTAAAACTTAGAGTATAATAAAAAAAATAAAAAAAAGAAAAAAATAAAAAAAAAATAAAAATAAAATAAAAAAAAATAAAACACCAAAAGCAATGGCAACAAAAGCCAAAATTGACAAATGGGATCTAATTAAACTAAAGAGCTTCTGCACAGCAAAAGAAACTACCATCAGAGTGAACAGGCAACCTACAGAATGGGAGAAAAATTTTGCAATCTATTCATCTAAGGGCTAATATCCAGAATCTACAAAGAACTTAAACAAATTTACAAGAAAAAAACAAACAACCCCATCAAAAAGTGGGCAAAGGATATGAACAGACAGAAAACATTTATGCAGCCAACAGACATGTGAAAAAATGCTCATCATCACTGGCCATCAGAGAAATGCAAATCAAAACCACAATGAGATACCATCTCACACCAGTTAGAATGGCAGTCATTAAAGTCAGGAAACAACAGGTGCTGGAGAGGATGTGGAGAAATAAGAACACTTTTACACTGTTGGTGGGACTGTAAACTAGTTCAACCATTGTGGAAGACAGTGTGGCGATTCCTCGAGGATCTAGAACTAAAAATACCATTTGACCCAGCCATCCCATTACTGGGTATATACCCAAAGGATTATAAATCATGCTGCTATAAAGACACATGCACACATATGTTTATTGTGGCACTATGCACAACAGCAAAGACTTGGAACCAATCCAAATGTCCATCAATGATAGACTGGATTCAGAAAATGTGGCACACATACACCATGGAATACTATGCAGCCATAAAAAAGGATGAGTTCATGTCCTTTGTAGGGACATGGATGAAGCTGGAAACCATCATTCTCCACAAACTATCACAAGGAGAAAAAAACCAAACACTGCATGTTCTCACTCATAGGTGGGAATTGAACAATGAGAAAACTTGGACACAGGAAGGGGAACATCACACACCGGGGCCTGTTGTGGGGTGGGGGGAGTGGGGAGGGATAGCATTAGGAGATATACCTAATGTAAATGATGAGTTAATGGGTACAGCATACCAACTTGGCACATGTATACATATGTAACAAACCTGCACGTTGTGCACATGTACCCTAGAACTTAAAGTATAATAAAAAAAAATTGACCTTCTCTTTGCTGAATTGCTTTTCCACCTTTGTTAAAAATCAGTTGGGCATATTTTTGTGGGTATATGTCTAAGCTGTCTATTCTGTTCCATTGTGCCTATCACTCTGCCAATACTTCAGTCTTGATTACTGGGTAAGATATTAACAAGATTGTCAGGTATTGACACAGTAGTATAAAATATATATTATATATTCAAGCTATATAATAATTCTTGAAATTAGGTAGACTGATTTTTCCCACATTGTTCTTTTTCAGAATTGTGTTAGCTTTCTAGTTCTTTTGCTATTCCATATAAATTTTAGAAAAATCTTTCATTCGTCTATGAAAACCTTGCTAGAATTTTGATAAGAATTGTGTTAAACCTACAGATTAATTTGGCATCTTCATTATGTTGAGTCTTCTAATCCACGCATACAGAATGTCTCTCCTTTTTTTTTTTTTAGATCTCTGATTTCTTTCATCAGCATTTTGTGGTTTCAACACACGTCTTTTGGATCTAGGACTAAGCACAGAGTTATTGACAGCAATTTTTTGGGGCAGTTGAAAATAATATTGTACTTTTAATTTTGGTATCTACATATTCATTCCTAGTACACAGAAATGCAATTGATTTTTATACGTTTATCTCATATCTTGTGACCTTGATGAACTCACTTATGACTTCTAGGATTTTTTGGTTGATTACTGGGGATTTTCTATGTAGACAATGATGTCATCTGCAAATAGGAACAGTTTTGTTTATTCCTTTCTGATCTGTACACTTTTTATTTCCTTTTCTTCCCTAATTGTTCTGGCTAGAACTTTCAGCACAATGTTGAATAGGAGTGGTATAAGAAGACATCCTTGACTTAGTCTTTTACCGTTAAGTAAATTAGCTGTTCTTTATCAAGTTGTTACATGCTCTTTATCAAGTTGAGGAAGTTCCCCTCTATCTAATATTTCTAGGAGAGTTTTTTGTTGTTGTTGTTGTTGCTTGCTTGTTTTATTGTCTTGAAGTGCTCAATGTTATCAAAAGTGTTTTCTGCATTGGTTGATATAAATCTGATTTTTCTTCTTTAGCCTGTTAATACAGTGAATTACACTGACTGATTTTCAAATATTGAAACAGGCTTGCATCCCTGTAATAAATTCCATTAGTCATGGTATATAATTCTCTGCATGTATCACTGAATTCTATTTGGTAATTTGTAAAGATTTTTGCATTCATGTTCATGAAAGACATTGTGCTCGCTCTCGCTCTCTGTGTGTGTGTGTGTGTCTTTGGTACTTAATATCAAGGTATTACCTTCATAAATGAATTGGAAAGTATTCTCTTGTATTCTATTTTCCAGAAAAGACTGTGTAGAATTATGTTAATTCTTTAAGTATTTGGTAGAATTCTCCAGTGAAATCATCCATGCCTGGAAATTTCTTTAGGGGAAGTTTTAAAATTTAATTTTCTGAATAGTTAAAGGGCTATTCAAATGATCTACTTCATACTGGGTAAATGGTGGTAGTTTGTGTTTTTCAATGAATGAGTCTATTTTATCAAGTTGTCAATGTATGCAGAGTTATTCATAATATTCCTTTATCCTTTTAATATCTGTAAGGTATATGGGGATATCCCCTATTTCATTCCTGATATTGTTAATTTATGTTTCCTCTCTCTTTTTCTTAGCTACACGTTTGTCAATGTTACTGATTTTTCAAAGAACCAGATTTTTGTTTCATTGAATTTCTTCACTGGTTTTCAATTTCATTTATTTCTGCCTCCATCTTTATATCAATTTTCTGCTTATTTTGAGTTTAATTTGCTCTCTCCAGATTCTTGAGGTAGAAGCTTAGATTACTGACTTGAGACTTTCCTCTTTTCTGATGTAACCATTTTGTGCTAAAAATTTCTTTCTCAGCATAATTTAGCTGAGTCCCCAAATTTCACTTTGTTGTACTTTCATTTTCATTCAGTCCAAGATATTTTTTGAATTTCTCTTGAGGCTTTCCTTTTAACTCATGAATTATTTACAAGTCTGGTTTTAATTTCCTAGTGTTGGAGATTTTCCTGGTATCTTTCTGTTATTGATTTCTAGTTTTATCCCATTATGGCTAGAAAACACGCTCTATATGATTTCAATTCTTTTATGTTTTTTGAATTTTGTTTTATGGTTCAAGATATTGCTTATCTTTGTGAATGTTCATGGGCACTTGAACTAAATATGTATTCTCATGTTGCTGGGTAGAGTGTTCTTATTGTTGATCAGATCCTCTTGGTTGATTATGTTATTGAGTTTTTCTATATACTTGACAATTTTCAGTCTCATTGTTCTACCAATTGTTGAGAGAGAGGTGCTAAAGTCTCCCACTATAATTGTGTATTTCTGTTTATCTTTTCAATTCTAACAGTTTTTGCTTCACATATATTGTAGCTCTGTTGTTTGGGGCATACATATTTAGGACACTCTCCTTGAGTGGGGTTCCAACCCTTACTAGGCTGCCTTCCTGACTTCCCTCCTGCGGCCTCAGTGCCAACTGGGCTGCCTTCCTGCTCTGCTCAGGCTTCCCTAGTGGGTTTGTGACTGAGAGGGAGGGAGGGATGGAGGGAGGAAAGAAGGAAGGAAGGAAGGAAGGAAGGAAGGAAGGAAGGAAGGAAGGAAGGAAGGAAAAGGAAGAAAGGAGGAGGGAGGGTAGGGGGAGGAAAGGAGGGTGGGCCAGATTAACTTATTTTTTTGGTTGACTTGTAAACTGCCTTCTCTTTAAAACAAAAAATCTTCCTTTTTCTGACATCACTGAGTCCTTAGAAGTTTCCACATCAGAAGCAATAATTCCTATTCCTTGAACCTCTTAGTGCTCCCTATCCATCTGGAAGAAATTACAGAGAAATGTGTGCACATATGTGTATGTGTGTGTATGTGATGTCTTTATACCAGTTTGACATGTTAGTATAGGTTTTTATTGAAGAAGAAAACATGGAGGACCAGTTGCAATAAAATGAGCTGGTATTGGAAAGTAATCAAATCTAAAGAAAAGTCCAGGCCACAGAAAGGCAAATTTTCATTTCTTTTCTCACCTGCCATCTTCTATGAAATACCTTCCTAACAAACAGGACAGTTGCTATATACTTAAAAATTAGCATTGATGTTTTATCACTAAATAAAGCTTAGTCACTCACAGTGTATTTCACTTGTTCAACAACTTTTGGCACCTGATAAGTGCCTGACAGTATTAGAACCTAATGCCTTATAAGTTGATATTTAAATCCGCAAATGTTTAAAGGATAATAGTTTATTTTTCCTTAGAGCTCAGCATTAATTTTTTCCTGAAACAATGACTAAGTGTTTAGCTATTTACTGAACCAGCGAGTCATGGATATAATCAAATAATACATTTATTCTCTTTTTCCCTATACTAGGTCCGATCTCCTTTATGAGGTTACTTCTTTTCCTGCCACTTCATGCAAAATCTCCAACAAATAATAAAGAGTTCTCTAGGCACTTTAGTTTAAAACATAACTTCATGTCAGCAATCAATACATCTGTTCCAGTATGACAATCACAGACTCCTAACATTGTTAAACTTATTAAAACTCCTTCCCGCCTTCCCCTAAAGACTGAGTGGGTAACGAGACATGGCTGACTTCTCTGTTCCCCAACCTAGGGCTTCTCCTCCTCCTCATCTGCCTCTGCCTCCTCCAGTTCTAAAGGGGATAGGCAAAGGAAGACACATTAGGAGCAGGGACAATGGTCTGACTGGCACCCTTCTGGCAGTGATGTCTTCTGACCAGGCCAGATGTTTACAATTGTCCCTCTCTTAGATGCTGAATTAGGTTCTCCACCATCACTGGGGTGTCTCACCTGCAGTGCCTCTGCCTGGGTGAATGGACCTTCCTGCTGGTAACTTATATTCCCCTCTCCACACTAGGAATCCTGGGTCTCCTGACTCTTCCACGCAGCCTTCCCGAGTGGGATCAAGGAGAACCCCAGGCTAGCTCTGGCCCTTGGCTCACATTTGGACATTGGGAAATATATACTTTGACCCATCATTTCTGAGAGTGGAGTGATTTCCCAAACACAGCCTTCTTCTTATTTAGCTGCCTGGCCAGCAAGTTCTGGTCAGAGCCATTTAGTCTTCAGATTTATCATATACCAGTCTGGCATGCTCCCTAAATTGTGTGGGACACAAATAAGATATCTAAGCAATCTCCCTGAAGCTTCCCTCCCTTAAGGTTGGGGTCAAGAGAAGGCATTCTATCTCCTCCACTATGAGGGGTGGTAGAATTCACAGCAGAGCTAGCTCCAAAGAAGCCTTCTCTCTAATCTCTAACTTCTTGTTCTTTCCAACTGTGACTTTAGAAATGGGGAAGGGGGCCATGAGTTGAAGCACCAGTATCTCACTTTGAAATGTGGAGGCAATGCCCCAGTGTCCTAGGCCCTCAACTGAAGGCAAAACTGAAATGTTCTATTTTAACACATCCTGTTGAATTGTTCTTTCATCAGCTGCCAAATTCATTCATGGTAAAGCCCCCAAAATTTTTTCTGCCACATTACAAAAAAAATGGAACATCTTATCATAAAAAATTGTCTATTCCACTGTTTTGGATATAGATTTACATCCAAATTCTAACTCAAAATTTGTGAACTTATATTCACATCTGAGAGGATGCCAGTGGTATCAAAATATCCATGCTCACCCCCACCCTCGCCCTTAATGAGAGTTCCTCATAGGATTTTATGTTTCTCTCCAACTGAATTAAATAGAAGAAAACACAAGACCAGCATTGTTGAGGTTTCCAGAGAACACTGCCCCTTGGCAGGCTGCCTGCTGGGAGGTCAGGCACAACCCAAGTCCTTCTCTTAGCAGGACCTCTGAGGAGAGAAAACAATCATCAGAGACTTGTTTGGAGCTGGGGTTCAAATTTACTGATTTTTCATTTTCTTGTCCTTAGATGACCACCCAGTAGTTTTCCTTTTTTAAATGCTTTTCTCTACCTGCTTTCTTAGTCTTGAGAGGCGTAATGACACATTGCCAATGTAAGTCCATATTATTTTTCTAAGAGATGGGGTCTTGTTCTGTCACCCAGGCTGTACTGCAGTGGTGCAATCATAGGTCACTGAAACCTCAAACTCCTGGGCTCAAGCAATCTTCATGCCTCCGCCTCCTGAGTAGCTAGGACTACAGGTGCACATCACATCACCATACCTGGCTAATTTTAAAAATACTTTTGTAGAGACAAGGTCTTGCTATGTTGCCCAGGTTGGTCTTGAATTCCTGGACTCAAGCAATCCTCCCACCTCAGCCTCCCAAAGTGATGGGATTATAAGCTGTGAGCCACTGCACCTGGCCATAAGTCTGTCTTATACAGACACATATAGTTATTCAGAGCCGGGTGGTAATGGTTTTCTAAAGTCCGGTGATAAACACAAGAAACAACCTAAAACATTGAGTCGTTTATTTGAAAGCAGCATAATTTTAGTGTTGAGTTGCCCAAGACACAGTTGCTTTCAGTCTTTCTTCAGAGAATCCCAGAAGCTCCTAGAATATGTAAGTAGGGGCATTTGTCACCCCTACTTATTCTCACAGTTGAAGTTCAAGTTCATTCCTATCATTGAACAGGGGAGAAGATTCAGAGAAGCAGCCAAATTCCAAGTGATTTGGCATGAAAAAATCTCAGCCTGAAAGTAATCAGAGGCCTAGAGTTTTCAATCTCTCTAAGTTTTGTAGACAATTTACATAATTACATTGGCACACACATTTTTCCATTTCAATAAAAAAGCCTCAAAGATCTTTATGTTCATGGACAAATCTTTAATATTGTAAAAAATATAAAATAAACCAATATAAACTCAAAAATTCCAAATAGGGGCATGATTCCTTGATTTTTCTTTTCAGAGCCAGTAAGAATACATTTCAGATAGAGGAAAAGGGAGGTCTGGAACTTTCCTTTGCCAATACCCTTCCTCCACTCAAACATACACAAGAAGCTTTATTAGCCAAGTCTCCCCCACTTTGCTTTGATATTTTGAGCCCAATTGAATATGACTGATCACAGCTCTCAGTACATGTTTGTGGGCAGATTTTTGCTTGCACACATAGTACGAACGTCTTTGATCAAGACCAGCTGAGAATACTGGCCTAAATAGGTAGACTTGGCAGAATTCTCAACCTTGGCTATTTCTATCAAGGCTAAGGGGTTCATACTACCTTTTAGAAGTCTTTTTTCCTCATGGAACTAATTAAATATAAGTCTGTATAATAGAAGTAAAGTTAAAACAACTATAATAATTTCTGTTTATTTTTGATTACAGCAAAACGGACTGAACACAAAGTGGTTTATAAATTCCATGCTTACGATCACAGACAGGAGCCACAAACCATGAATGCCAAAGTAAACGCAGACCAAGCTGAGTGTCAGAGTCAAAGAAAATATACATCAAATTTAATGATACATATTTAATGATATGTATAATCACTGTAATTGCTTGAGTAGACAGGAGGAGGCGCCAAAGACACATTTCATCAGCCTCACAAATCAGCTGGTCCAGATGGCCCCCCATCTTCTTCAATCCTACTCCAGCGCCCAGAGGACAAAGTCCCTGGACCGGTAGTGAAGGCCAGAGGACCACACATACTCATTTACTCTCTCCATTCCCTCCACAGGCCAGAAGCATAGGCTGGGATGGTGGAGTCAAAAATGATCTCCTTGCACAATTCCTGCTCAGAAGCTCAAATAACCTATGAAGAGCTACCAGATGTGTGTCTCTTTGTCAACATAACTCTAGCACAAAGCACAGAGTCAGGGACAATTTGTTAAAAGGATGACCCCTGCGAAGACGGCTATTTGTGTTGGGAGATGAGGAAGAAGATTGGCATGGCAATGTGAAAGTCTTAGAAATTCACCTCCTAGTGCATGTAAGTTAATTGGTTTGCTTTCCTAACATCTAATACCCAAGGAAATTGGAGTTTTAAAGACTGTTAAGATATTGGGTTCCTACAGAAAGAGGGAAAATATATGAGAAAAAGCATCCCCCTCAAAACCCCACTTCTTCATTTAATACTTGTTTTGGGGTTTTTAAAAAAACTTTTAGGTTCAGGGGTACATGTGCAGGTTTGCTATATAGGTAAATTTGTGTCATGGGGGTTTGCTGTACAGATCATTTTGCCACCCAGGTACTAAGCCTTTTACCAAATAGTTATTTTTTCTTATTTTCTCCCTCCTCCCACCCTCCACCCTTAAGTAGGCCCCAGTGTCTGTAGTTCCCCTCTTTGTGTCCATGTGTTCTCATCATTTAGCTCCCCCTTATAAGTGAGAACATGCAGTATTTGGTTTCTTGCTCCTGTGTTTGTTTGCTAAAGATTATGTCCTCCAGCTGTATCCATGTTCCTACAAAGGACATGATCTAGTTCTTTTTTATGGCTGCATAGTATTCCATGGTATCTATGTACCATACTGTCTTTATCCAGTCTACTGTTGATGGGAATTTAGGTTGATTCCATGTCTTTGCTATTGTAAATAACGCTGCAATGAACATACATATGCATGTATCTTTATGGTTAGAATGATTTATATTCCTTTGGGTATACACCCAGTGGTGGGATTGCTGGGTTGAATGATAGTTTTGCTTTTAGGTCTTTGAGGAATTGCCACAGTGCCTTCCACAATGGTTAAACTAATTTACACTCCCACCAACAATGTATAAACATTCCCTCTTCTCCACAACCTGGCCAGCATCTGTTATTTTTTGACTTTTTATTAATAGCCATTCTGACTGGTATGAGATGGTACCTCATTATGGTTTTGATTTGCATTTCTCTAATGATCAGTGATGCTGAGCTTTTTTTCATACGCTTATGGCCACACATATGTTTTCTTTTGAAATTCACTTAACACTTGTATCAAAGACAGGCCCTATTCCCTTTTCCCTCCTTTCAGAACCCTTTCCTCCTGTCTTATCTCCTGTTCTAATCCATCCACAGTTAGGTGAGCCAGCAGTGGGGATAAGATACCTGCAAAGGCCTGATTTGTGGTTCCACTCCTAGGGGAAAGTCCAGGATTGTTTTCAGGGTTGTGTTTTGTTTTGATTGGGAGGGGTTGGGGCATAAGAATGTTTTTAGCCTACTTAGGATCTTTGCTTTGTACGAACTACACCCCAGAGGAATTTTGGGATGCATTCCAAAATAGGAATACATAAAACTTTCTGTCCCACTAAAACCATTCAGGAAAGTGAGAGGAGAACTTTCATCCTGTGTTACAAACGGCTGACTGAGGTTTCTTTCCTGAAAGCAAACAACAGTAACACTTCTACCAATTATATTGATAATCCGGTCTGTTCGACTGACAGTGTAAATTAAGATCAATTAACACCTCCTCCTAACCGTTTTTGAATGTTTTATAATTGTCACAAATAGTCATCTCTTTGTAAATTACACAGGGCAAATGTTGATCTAATCAAAGGGGGGTAATTTCATTTTCAGACAAAATTTGTGAAACCTTCTTATGGACAGGAAAAACTCTTACTTGAATAACAGAAATAATGGTACCAAAATGGTCTTCCTGAAAAAATGAAGATATTGCATGCGATATGTTATTTCTATACAAAGAAGGTGTTAGGATAATTATCCTGAGTTTCTAGACTATGAAGGATTAAAGATAACTCACAAAAGTACTATAGAACAGCACACATTATTAAGACTATAATAACAAACTGTATAATAAAAGTTTGTTTTATCATGACAATTATGACATGGTTTTCATAGAGAAAACCAATTAAAGACAGCTGTGTCTTAAGTATATTTTGGAAGGCAGGCTCATAATATGTAGTGACAGTAGAAAGCCTTCACTCTGCCACTGATTACCACACACACACACACACACACACACACACACACACACGCATACACATTTTGTGAGGAGCATTTCTTATATGGGATCTAAACACAAAGCCATATTTGCTAATAGGTCTATACCAACTTCCATGGCAATGCTGGTGTTAGGAGGCAGAAATGGTACTGCCTTATATCGATGACTACCATGCTTTTGTGCTGTGCTTAAAAGCCTTGGGTGGTGGTGGGGCTCTAACCTGCAATGGAAGGCAGCATGGTGCAGTAGAAAAAACACTTTTTGAAATCAGAATTCATGAAATCCTGATTCATGGACCCACTTTTTACACAAGCCAGAGCTACAACTCTGGAAAAAAACAGTTAATGCCTCTGTGATTTGGGGTATGTGTGTGTGTGTGTGTTAGAGAAAACAAAACAAAACAACTCACCAATTCCAGACACTGCCTGTGCCCATAGGCGGCAGCATAATGTATGCTATTGTAACCTTCCTTGTCCCGGATAGATGGATTTGCATCATTTTGAAGCAGAAACTCTAGACATCTGTAAGTATAAAGATGAAGTGTTATTTTAGAAAACATCTCTGGACTGAAAAAGATAATTTATGTAAATCCTCCTATTACGAACGTTCCATGAAGTACTTTATGAGTTTGTTTCTTTAAAAATCCTACAGCAATGAAGTTTTATGTGTTGAAAATTGTGTGTGTGTGTGTGTGTGTGTGTGTGTATGTTTTCTGTAGCTATCTTTATTTGAGCTTAATATAGCCATTCTAGAATTCAGGAAAAGCTTTAGGAAAAAGAGGGTAATTACGATTTTTTTCTCCTCATCTTCAGGTAAGAACATCTGTTATCAAGATTACTGAATAGCAAGTTTTGGAGCTCCATGTTCAACAAAGTCTCAATAAAGAAGTGGTCAGTATCAGGGCAAGTAACAGGGCAACCTCAATAGGGAGGGGTTTACTCTTAACCTCACCATAAAATCAAAGGTTAGAAAATGAAAGTTAAAAAGAGTAAGAAAAAAAAATAAGAATAGCCTAAACAATAAAAAGATTAAAGGAATGGGTAAGCATTTTTAAAGAATGAAGAATTAACTTCATAACCACATATGAATAAAGAGGCTTAAATTTCACCATTAGGAATATAGACCTGAAAAATCAATGTTTAAAGCCTTTTCAGGCAGAGTTGTAATTTTTCTGAAAAAGCCACAGTCTTTGGAATGCTTAGAGGAAGGAGCACGGCTCCACCTTCACTGAAGAGCCCAAAACTCTGGTTCACAAGTACCCAGGAATGTAATAAGTTCTGCTCAGGGCCTACTGCAAACGGTCCAGTCCTGCTGGGAAAGAGGGAGTCACTAGTCAGGAAGCGCTGCTTCATAGCATCAGCATTATCCCTGTGGCAGTGGGACAAACATGTCTTTTACAAGACCAAGCTGATTCAATTTCATACTCAAATCAAAATGTTAAGATTCTAAATATCAACCCATACATTAAATAAGACCTTCCAATAGAAAATTTCTATAGTTTACCCAAAAACTATAAATAGCATTTACCTATCTTTTGGTATAAGGCAAAACGAAAAAAGTCAATTACACATAGGGACAATTAAAACAGACACTTCAATTTCTAGAAAAACTGATGAAAGCCATACATTTTAAAAAAACCAAATACCCACATGTCAATAATAAATCAAACTATTCTTAGAGTCTTGCTATTATTCTCTCTTCGGTCATTTGCACCTTATAAGGAAGGAAGTTCTTTTTTATTTTGGTAATTAAATGCCCATGGAAAGGATCCCAGGTATGACTCACTGTAAATTGAATTTGACTCTTTAAATGAAATCACTCAATAGGAATAACATGCTAGTGGACACACAATTCCCAATTTCTGAATGGATTATATCCTAAAAATCAGTTAATAAATTGAATTTGTAATATAGCCAAACTATATATACTAACAACAGTATTATTATAATAAAAGTAATGTAGAATTTGCATATTCTCCACATTGCTTGTAAGGAAAACATGCATTCCGTGTTTTCACTGGGAATGCCTAGTTTTTTTCTCTTCCCAGAGCCTAGTAATTTTGGCAATTAAGATGCAAAGCCAACAGATGCACATGACGTCAGAGGCGTATCTGGATACAGGGAGTGGCCTCCCTTTGCATAGAAGAACTCTCAGGCAGCTGGTTCCCCCTGCCCCCCTACCTTTCTTGTCCCCTCCCTCTCTATCAGCTTGTCTGGCTCAGGGCAAGCTTGCAGTTCACTGTAAAAGGAAGCGTTTGCTGCAGTGGCTTAAGATGCTAGTCTTTTAATATTGTTATTTTAAATTTGGGGGTATTAAAGCAAAACTCTGGTCATTCTATTTTATTCACTGCTGCATTTCCTGTCCTCATCCCAATTACCATCGAAGTTAGGTCCCACAACCTGCATTGGAGCCACACTCTCTAACTTCCTTTCCACAACAGTCTGGGCATGGGAGGAGCACAGTGGAAAACCCTGGAGTAGACACAGGCATTCGGGCCACAGAAAAACTGGCTCCTCTAACAATGGAAGAATAAATAAGTTAACAACGATGTGCCTGCAGACTCATAGAGCACCATATCCACTGGATTCCACAGGGGTGAGGCACAAGGAGTGGGTACCAATTCGTTTGTTTGTTCATTTACTCAACAGTTATTGAATATTGACTATGTGCTAGGCACTGCACTGAGCACTGTAAGCTTCTCACTGTGACCTGTGGTGCAGAAAAGACTCAGAGGACGAAGCTGTAGAGGTTCCCGTGCATCTACAGCCCTGAGTGATGGCAGGCACTCCCACCCCTGCCACAGCAAAGAGCTACGTCTCTGTTAGAAGCCAGGGAGAGGCAGGTGGGATGAGGGGCCCAGGAGCATCCTTTTGCAGGAGCAGGAGGCTCTTCCTAAATTGATGTGCATGTGGGCTGGGGGTGAGGGGAAAGCACAAATGGTTAT
Source organism: Homo sapiens (assembly GCF_000001405.40). NCBI lineage: Eukaryota > Metazoa > Chordata > Mammalia > Primates > Hominidae > Homo > Homo sapiens. Next base: position 197,081,238 of record NC_000002.12, read on the forward strand.
TTCACACCGAAGTATTAAGACCTTTTAAAATAGAATCTGCTAAATAGATGTCCCCAGGTCATAAGAGCAGAACCTAAGCCTCTGAGAGGAGTCTTTGTTTGTCTTCCTTGGTACATGATGCATCGCAGTTAGAATGATATTTAGGACACCAGGTCCTAAAAACTGCTGACCAATCACAGTGGTGGCTGAAGCAAAGCGTACAATTTTAGAAAGTTCCCTGTGTGAAAATAGCAGAATTGAAGGCTGTATTAAAAGAATAGTTTCTTCCCCATTAAAGGCAAGCCCATATCACTTCCTCAAGATCCCAAGTGAAACCCCAAAATAGTAAGGCAGGCAACGTGGCAACTCAGAAAAGCAGAAGAAGCGTCAGAAATGGCACCTTGTTCTTAAGCTGAGAAGAAACTTACAGTGTGGCTTCCTTTTCCTTCAGCTCCCTGGCTCTTTCAAGTTCTTCTGAATTATCATGGGCATTTCCTAAGATAGTCTTACTTCTCAGCATAAAGGATAGAAAAAAAAATTGCAATTAATTTTTTAAATGGCAAAGCTGTTAATGGTTTTGGTGCAATTTATATCTCAATGATTTTTACCCCAACCCAAAAGAAGTAAGCACCACTGATTTTCATTGAAGATATACATGGTTCTCTCCAAAGCCATCCAGTAAATCTATTCTCTCCCAAGGATCCAACTGGAATATGATTTCTTAAAACTTCCACTTAAGTATCAGCAATTAAGGTAACAATCAAGTTGCCCACCCTTCTATAAACATCCTAAACTTCCCAAGTAAAGAAGTGAGTTAGCTAAAACTTCTCTGACTCCTACCACATTCCCCACTGCCTCCTTGCCAGCTCAGCATCTCATTTGTCCAGAAATGGGGTCCTATTCACCCTTCGTCTGCCAGAACAATTCTTCATCATCCAGAATTCCTTTTCCAGCTCTTGACAGATGAAGTATATTGTTTCCCCATCCTTTTCACCACCCCCAATCTATTCCAATGAATTGCCTGGAGCTTGGCACATAGTAGATGCTCAATAAATGTTTGTTAAGCAATGTCTGTTTATAACCTGCATGCCTAAGGGATCAGAATGCTACATCTGATATTATTATTTTGATTTATTATATAACTATGAAGAGGAAACAAGCAGTATTTTTCAAACTATGGATCATAAGCCATTACTGAATTGTGAAATCGACTTAATGGGTTGTAGTCAGCAAGATTTTTTATCTAATGAAACAGAGAAAATGTCAGAATGCATCACACATGGTAAAAGTAAATATGATTTTATGAAAACTTTATTTCCATTTTACATACTATATGAACTATATATATGTGAATGTGCATATGGGGTCATGACTGTAAGATGTTACTTCTCACTGTGGGTCACCATCTAAAAGCCATTGCTCTACAAGAGAAGCAATTACCACTGACCCAGAATCAATTCCACAGCACAAGGCAGCAAATAATTCAATAGTTCTTCAAACAAGGTCATCAAAAAGTATTCCTATGAAGGAAGCCCTTCCTTAAGCTTCTAAGAACAATTTCATCAACTGTGGGCATCTCTCCAACCTTTTTCCCTTTAACTAGTTCACTTATTTCTGTTTTCTATTCCTACGCACCTAGAATCCAAACATGCCCTGAGCAACCAACTTCCTCTCCTCTAGCTCCTGAAAGGGCATTCATACCCAGGTTTGGAGCAATGGTGCCTAGTTTACATGTACTAATGCTGAATTTAAAGGCTGTTGGGATTATGCATGGGTGGATGTTTTTGACATATGACATATATATTAGCAAATGTAAGTTTTATAGCAAATGAAGCATTTAAGTGGTGACGATGAAAACTACGGTATATGTCAAAATAAATTAAAACAGATTTTGAATGAACCATAAACCTGAGCTTGACAGCTCCACTTGGGATTCAACCCAAAGAACAGAGAAGTTATTGTGCAGTGACATGTAATAATCAAACATAAATTGACCAGAACAGGAAAGCCCAGGTTTGGAATTAAGCAAATCTAACTCTTTTGGGTTAGTCTAACTCTTTTTCCATGAGGCGGTATGAAGAAAACTTAGCAATCCTTCCCCACCACTCCCCAACCCTGTTCCCAGAGGAAGCATGAGCAAGGCTGTTTTTACTTTCTATCCATGTCTGATGCAGCGGCGTAATGCAAAGCTGTGCGTCCCCAGTCATCTGTTTCATTAACGTTGGCCCCTGTGGTCACTAATGTCTCAATACAGTGGAAATGACAATTCGCAGCTGCATAGTGCAAAGGGGTCCTGAAAAACAAACAGCAATTTATTACTCCATTCAGTCTAGAAAACAGGCCTGTTGTTGGCACTAGCACTGGCAGCAGTATGCCTAGGGCATGGAAAGCTCTTGGACTCTCAGAGTGTGTGGAGGCCAAAGTCATGCCTTCCTTCAACTATACAAGTTAGGTATCCCTTATCTGAAATGCTTGGAACTAGAAGTGTTCTGGATGGTTGAGCATCTTTTATTCAAAAATCCAAAATTCAAAATGTTCCAATGTGCATTTCCTTCGAACATTTTGTCAGTGTCCCAAACGTTGCAGATTTTGGAGCATTTCAGAGTTTGGATTTTCAGATGAGGGGTGCTTAACCTGTATAAACTGGAAGTGAGGCTACAAAGACAGTGGCTTCAAACAAGGCCATCTACCATGGATCTGTCCTTTCTTTTCCTTCCTAGAGCCTACCCTAGTTCAGGTCTATGTTATTGCTTTTTTGGATCATTGCAAGCCCATCCTATTGGCTTCCTTAGCGCTAATCAAGTGTCCATAATTTCTAGTTAATGTAAATGAAGAATTTTTTTTAAGGTGCAATACCCACATATAACAATCATGTTCTAAAACCTTTGGTTCTCTCTACTAACCAATACTTGATTCCTCAGCCTAGAATTGAAGACTTTCCAAAACTGGTCCCAATCTCCTTTGATGGGGTATCTCTCTCCCCTAGATGTACCCAATAGGATAACCAAACTGGATGACTTGAGGCTTTCTGGATCATGTCCCTACATCCCCCCTACCTTTGTCCAGGTTGGTTTAGCCCCAGGAGTGCCCATTCACGAATCACTTCCACCCATCAAAACCCCACTCATCGTCTTGTCCCAGGGGCTAGTTCTCTTTAGTTTGTCTAAGATGGCTTATCTACTCTCTGGGTCTGTCTTGAGTTCTCATCACATATTGCCTTGATTTTAGCACTGGTGTATTGTCTCATCCTCCCCACTGAACTGCAAGCTCCTTGAGGGTAGGGATGTTGGTTAATGGGAAGAACAATGCAGAATCCGAATCCAAATCCAAATCAGAAGCCCTGGGTTCTGGCATTGGCAGATGTGCAAGCTGGCCTAAATCACATCCCCTCTCTGGGTCTTGACTTCTTCACCCTTATTTCAACAAGAACTTTTAAGCTACTGTGCCCTACCTAAGGTCCTTCTAGGTCTAAAATTCTGTGTATATGTGTAAATCATTTAGTTTCTCTCTCATTAGTTGACTTTTCTCCTCTTTAGTTAAAAAAAAAGAAATTTTAAATATTTTACCTATTGGATTGCATATGTTTTAATTAGACTGAAAATTATCAGGTAACAACCTCATGACAGAGCCCAAAGATAAAGGCTGTAAGGTCCTTCTAGGTCTAAAATTCTGTGTACATGTATAAATCATTTAGTTTCTTTGGACTCAGCTTTCTCATCTATTAAAAGGGGTAACAGCATCCCCACATACCTCATAGTGTTAGTATCAGAAAACACAAGCACCTCGTAAAGGGCAAGACTACAGAAATATAAAGTAATTTGCTGTACATTACTTATTTTTAGCTCTCGATTGTTCAGCAGTTTTTCTGGTATGACCAGCTGATAGTCAAAGAATAATAAACAAATGATCAGTTTTCAAGTATAATTATTTCATATTTTATAGTCAACTTATGGGCTCTCTCACTAGTTGATTTTTCTCCTCTTTGGTTCAAAAGAAATTTTAAATACTTTACATATTAGATTGCATATGTTTTAATTAGACTGAAAATTACTAGGTAAGAACCTCACGACGGGGCCCAAAGATAGGGAGAAAATGATACCCAGTTCTTGTCCTGAGGAGGCTCACAGTCAGGTGGGGATGTCAGAGACATGTGAACCAGAGCAACTCCATCTTGAATAAGGGCTGGGTAAAATGAGGCTGAGACCTACTGGGCTGCATTCCCAGATGCTTAGGCATTCTAAGTCATAACATAAGACAGGAGGTCGGCACAAGATACCGGTCATGAAGACCTTGCTGATGAAACAGGTCACAGTAAAGAAGCCGGTCAAAACCCACCAAAACCAAGAAGGCAACAGGAATGACCTCTGGTCATCCTCACTGCTACACTCCCACCAGCCCCATGACAGTTTACAAATGCCATGGCAACATCAGGAAGTTACCCTATATGGTCTAAAAAGGGGAGGAATGAATAATCCACCCCTTGTTTAGCATATAATCAAGAAATAACCGTAAAAATGGGCCACCAGCAGCCCTTGGAGCTACTCTGTCTATGGAGTAGCCATTCTTTTACTTCTTTACTTTCTCAATAAACTTGCTTTCACTTTACTCTATGGACTCGCCCTGAATTGTTTCTTGCGCAAGATACAAGAACCCTCTCTTGGGGTCTGGATGGGGACCCCTTTCCCATAACAGGGAGAGACACAAGGAGTGAGAGTCCATAAGAATAGTGTGAGGTACTCTGCAGTCATGAAGGATTAGGGTGCTAGGGGAGCAGAGAAGAGGGGCATGCCATCGGTGCACAAGGAGGTGTCACTGACATGAATCTGAAAGGGCGGGTAGGAGTTGCCTTAGACAAGTTGGTAAGAAGAGAAATTTGTGGCAACCCCAGAGAAGGAGGGTACATGTAGAAAGGAAGGGTAAAGAGATGCAATGGGAAAAAAAATTATATATATACATGAAAAATATATATCCATGTACCAGCTAGCATCATGGCATCATTTACTTACATAAAGGACCATTAAGGTAAGAAGAGTTCTATGACCCATTGGTGGTGTGTGTGCACTTAATGTTTTAAACATGTCTGAAAATTCATCCCAAGATGAAATGTTCAATACATATAATAAAATATTCTAGATCTTAAGACTAGGATTTATGTGTTCCACTCTGCTAGAAACAGAATTTTCCAAACTATATCCATGTAGGAGTTTTGTTTTGTCTTTTAACTGAAAAAAAAAAGGGAGACAATTGGCACATCTAAACAGCAGCTGTGAGTGGAGATGCTTTCTTTGTGACTTGTTATTTGCTTTGTTGGCAACCTCTATGAGAAGGGACTTCCTTCCGAGGAGGATGGAATCCCCCCAGCTAACTTCCCGGTTTACCATTTCAACCTAACTTGATTACTACATAGACCACTCCCAGTTCCTCTTATTTAAGCACTTGAAGCACAACTCTCTGATTACATACCTCCCACACTTGTCCTTTTTATGGAAATCTGCTCCGCTGCTCTGCAAGAGTTTTATACATTCCACATTACTAGAAAGACAGGGAAAACATCATTAAGATGGAAGAGATCAATTACTGGCCTATCTTCAGCAAGAGCTATTTTCTGCAGAGTACAGGACCAGATGAAAAGATAGCTCCTGGTCTAAATTCCGCTAATAAAAACCTGAACATACTAGAGTAATGACATATTGTAAGGATCTAAAGTTCCTATGATTCCTTTTTCAAAGCTAATAAATCAATAGATTAAAGAGCTTGGTGGAATATTTTTAATTCCATGACTAAGAAATTTAATGATTATTACATGATTAAACCCTCCAGTGATGGTTTCATCATTTATCCTAAAATTCTTTTTCCAAAACCGTCAAGAGTTTATGAAACAACCACTTAAACCTATAATAATTTCATGTCACCTTTAAACAATGAGCCAGAGTGGATGGGCGTTACCTTCTATCACAGCAGAATGAATTCACCATGATAACCACTTTCAACCCAGATACTCCTTAATAGAAAATAAAACAACTGTATTTCCCTGTCTTTGTAATTTATGCAAATAAATGTGCAGAACCAAGGCTGAAAATGATGTCATGGAGCACAGTGATCTTCCATAGCTTCTTTATCATTTGCAGAAGCAATAAATCATATTTAGTAGAGAGAAAAGGACCCATCAAAGTGATTTTTCCTATTAAAGGGCATGTAGCTAAATAGTAATTCTAATAGGAATTTCAGACATGAATCTGGAATTGTATGTTGTCACTTTCTGTACAGGTCTGATATTTTTTAAATGTGAGCATACAAAAGAGACAATTGTCCATCATTGTTCTAAACTTAGGATGCTAGAAGTGGCCTGGAATTATTACTATAACTTAAATAAGAAAAATGATCTCAATGATAAACCTGAGCAGGGCTCTCCTCACCCCACACCCACCCTTTATAGCCACCTTCTCAGAGAAATAGCTCTTTCAATCATAACATGTAAGAACTTTTTAAAATAAGTATGTGTTGGTGTAGCATGCCAGCTGATATAAAGCACCTGTCTCTTACTGAATGATGCCAAAGGATCAAGGGTAGTGGCAGATCCAACTTGTGTGGCTCATGAAGCTCATACAATTTGGGGGCTGAGGTAGGGGGAAGGGGTCTTTTTTAAAAATAATACAAAATTATGAATACAAATTTAGTTATAAGAATTCAGAAGGGACTCATGTAAATAAGGAGCCCTAAAGTGTCACCATTTATCCACCTCTGATAAATAGGTAATGCCTTTGGTAATATACAAATGACAAATGGAGAAGCATTACTGTTCCTTAAGGACCAGGAAACTGATTAAGAACCAACATCTTCCCCAAACAAGGTCATCCAAGAGATGCCATGTTTAGTCAATGTGTGGTCACATATATCAATGACATTGATCAGAGCTTCAATCTTACCACTGGTAAGTGAAAAGAAAGTAGCTGATGAAAAATTCTCTTTACAACTTTAAAAAAAGGTAAGGATTAAATCACTTCTTGCCTGTCTTTTGGGTTTTCTTGACCTATGTTCACATTTAATCATTAAAAGACTAAAAATTAGATTTGAAACAAGGACAAAAATGTCTGTAAATGAACATAAATTAATTCAATCTTTGATTCTCTTGATTATCACCCACATAACAGCAACAAAAGAGGAAAAACCTAGGAACAAATTTCAAATTATTGTCTTTTGGTGTATGGGGTAACTGATATGTATTCTATAGCCTGAAAATCTATAATTTAAAAAAAGAAAAGAGAAAGAAGAAAACAAAAGAAGAACTATTTGCTATTTGAAATGGGCTAATAATTTTTCTTTGGTGAAACAAAATGCTTGTGATGTGGAAATATAACATAGTGATATTTGATAATTAGTAGAAATGATTCTTATTTTACTAAGGAAATTGCCTTTGATTCACAGACAACTTAAGTCAAGTCAATAAAGATGAATTAGTAACTCATAAATTAACTAGAATTGGTAACTACTCACCCTCCTGCAGCAGCAGCATGAAGGCACGTTCTTCCAAATTTATCTGGGGTGTCTATTTCAAAGCCTGCAGACAGCACGTGCTCATTACTAAACAAGGATACTATGCTATACTTTTGTCCTAGTTAAACCACAAGAAACATTGCAGAGACAGAAAAATCAGTTAGTAGAAAAACCAGAATGCAAGCAATTGTAGTCAGAAAGAGGTTGTCATGGAAACGAATGGGAACTGCTCAAGCTTGGCAATTTTATAGGAAGAACCGTGAAGTCAAGAAGGATTTATTTTCACATTCAGCCCTGGGTGAACCACAGTCCCATTTTTTAATCCCAGGATAGAAATTTATGAAACCAATTTGAGATAAGTAGGGCAATCGACAGGCAGATAGAACTCATGGACAAAACATAGAAGCAAAGGAATAATCTTAGCATGCTGGAACAGATTTTTTTCTGAAGTGTATTTCAACCTTTCAGTTGGTTTAAGAGTTGGGAAACATGCTTGCATGCAGGGATTATTTTTTAAACATGCCAACAGCAGTGAAAGCAGAATCAGCCATAGGTAAAGTACTTAAAGGAAAAAAAAATGCCTCTGGGATATCTCATGAATTAATTCATAAACAATCTTTGCCTTGCAGACCTCTACCATTTTTGAAAGCCCAGGAATTTCTTAATATATGACAGTTGGCAGAGGTAGTGATAAGAAAGATTAGCAAAGCTCCAAACCAGAAACAATCTCTTGGCTCCAAATAGTCTCATATTTTAAAAATTGAAATTAAACCTAGTTGGAGGAAATCAGCCATAGTGATTTTTCAGTGCCCAGGGAGTGGGAAAGTAACATGACATTCTCTACCACCAGATGTAGGGTATTTGGCCTTTTTCCTTTGTTGAAAAATATTAAATGCTAAACCATCATTTTAAACCTCAAAGACTTTTCCTTCTTCTGTGATGTAACCTTTCTGTAAACTCTGGCCATCCCTGCCATGTTTCACCCTGGAACACCCAAGCTTTTACTTGAAAAACAGGCAAGACTCTCATTCTGGGGCAGGAATAATGACATTCAAACAGCTTTAACACCAAGGATTGTTGGGAGCTGTCACATGCAGTTAGCTGAGAAATACAACTCATCCTGACGAGTCAGGTAATGACATGAAGCACAGGCAGCCACTCACTCTGACCAGACACCTGAAGCCATTGACTCATGTACAGGACACATTAAGCCTCATCTCTGCTAACAGATTTACTTACCCGATGATAACAACTTTCTGCAGCAGTCAGAGTGAGCATTTAGGGCAGCTAAATGTAAAGGGAACATGCTATGGATTCCACACCTGAGGAGTAAGAAAACAGAGCAACTCACGGCAACAGATCTCAAGATACATGCGGAAGGACAATTACCTTTCTAGATTCTCTGATGAAAATTAACAACACCTTGTGTAGGGAGTCTTGGCTGAAATAATTTGGTAATTCTTCCATTCAATAAATAATTATGCAATCAGTTTCTACCTTAAAATAATAAATGCCTGAATCAAAACCATAATTAAAAGCCCATTACCATAGGAATGTATATTTTTAAGAAAATCTGTTTCACATAAAGCATGACTCCTTAAATGTAAAATTAATTTCCCTGTCATTTTCTTTCAGCTTGGTGATTGTATGTCTCATTCTCTCATTCATCTATTCAACACTTTCTAAGCATCATAGACTATGCTAAGGGCTGGATATAACAATACTGAGCAAGACAAACTCAAGTTTGAAAAGCAACCTGTTTCCTTTCTTTTTTTTCTTTTCACTTTTTTTTTTTTTTTTGAGACAGAGTCTCACCTGTCACCCAGGCTGGAGTGCAGTGGTGCTGATACAATGATAGAGGCAGGGGGCAGAGAAATTCTAGGCAGAAAAGGGCAGGTTCTGAGCAAAACCCCACTCTCAAGCTGAAAAGCCTGAAACTGTGCCCCAAAGTGAGAACTTATATCCCTGTTTTCCCACTCAAATGTTGCCTTTTCCTAAACTACCCATGGCCCTCCCCCACCAAATCCTGTGCCTATAAAAATCCCAGACTCAGCTAGTAGACAGGACTATGGCTGAACGTCAGAGAGAAGCAGCTTGATTTGAGAGAGACAGTTTGATGGCATAACTTCAGAGGAGAATCTGGCCAGAGACAGCTGGACTTCAGGGGAAGATTATCTACCCATCCCATCCCCTTTTCAGCTCCCCTTCCTGCTGAGAGCCACTTTCATTGGCAATAAAATCCCCTGTGTTTACCATCCTTCAATTTGTTCATGAGACCTCATTTTTCCTGGATGCCAAGCAAGAGCTCAGGAACCACAAGTGCAGATATAAAAGGCTGTCACGCTGGCCCTTTGCCCTCGCTGGCGGAGGGCAGCTGCCTTATGCAAAAAGGCAAAGGGCCCACTGAGCTGTTAACATTTAAGCCAACCGTGGACGGCAGACATCAAAGCGCACTGTAACATGCCCTCAGGGGGCTTTGGGAGTTGCAGGCACCCCCGCCTGGATGCTGCTGCAGAGCCTGCACAGAGTTCACTCCTGCCCGTGCCAAAGCAGCCAGCTGGTTCCAGCACTCACTCACCCCAGTTCCCATGCTCATTTGCTCAGGCGTTCCTTCCAGCAAGGAGTTGAGAGTGGCAGGCTGAGTAAACAAGGTACCCCTGTCTCAAGTCCCACAAAGGGGTCAGGGAAATATCCTGCTTCAGTGTAATCACAGTACACTGCAGCTTTGACCTCCTTGGGCTCAGGTGATCCTCCCACTTCAGCCTCCTGAGTAGCTCGGACCACCACAGGCGCACATCACTATACCCAGCTAATTTTTTGGTGTATTTTGTAGAGACAGGGTTTTGCCATGTTGTCCAGGCTGGTCTCAAACTCCTGGGCTCAAGCAATCCACCTACCTTGGCCTCCCAAAGTGCTATGATTACAAGCATGAGCCACCACGCTCAGTCCTTGTTTTATTTCTTGATTTGATAAACAAATATTATTGTGGTATTATGTCCCAAGCACTTTGCTAGGAGTTAATAATGGCTATATTGTTGAAAATAAAGTTTTGGATAAGAATAAAAACTAATGTTTGCCTTTTGCTGATCAAACTTCATCTTCCTAATAGATTTTTACATTGCACATTAACCCACATCACAATACCAGTCACAAAAACACAATTGGAGGTAATAAACATTACTTTGCATATATTTCATAAATCTAGTAGTATTTAAGAGAAAATCTAGAAAAGGACTTTATAGACCGACCCCCACTAAGACACAGTCACCAGGATGACCCCTTAAGGGACAGACGTCTTCTGTCGGCAGCACTTTTTGCCTTCGGGATTAAATGCTCCTCCTCTTCCCTACTACATCTTCTTCAGCAAGGACCCAAAGCCATGTGCTGAATTGTGGCTCATAATAAACAGCATCACCAGGTGGCTCCTGTGTACTTGTAAGCATCTATAATGTTAGTGACCACTTCTCATAACATCTTATTTTAATCAAATAATACATTTCAGCCTTTTAAAATCTTCTGCATAATACAAGCAAGTATGGGACTATATCTGTTTACACCCTACAGCATTAATTACCTAAGTCTCCTCTCTGGCACAAAGTGGCCCGTTTTCAGACTCCATGCTTCATAAAGAAACACATATGATTTGAATTTGTTAAGCTTTGGGTACATACATTTTATTTACCATCTCAAAAGTTATTATGATGATGTGTGTGTGACTGTGAAAAAGGATATACACATTCACAGACATTTCATGGTATTCAGGGTTTTGCAAAATTCAATTCTGACAGCAATTAACCACTGTTTTCTCTTTCCATAATAGCTTCTTCCTATTTAACGGTGGTTTTATTCGGTCTTCCCTCTGTTTGTTTTCCTTTCCCTATATGGAGATTCCAGCCCAGTGTGTATAACAGCTGGCATCCATCAAGTGATGCAATTTGCTCATCTTCCAGGCAGCATCATGTGGAGGAGAACTGCTTGTAATTGCCTCGCTCATCATTTACCAAAAAAAAATTCTGAAATGCAATTGCATCAGTGATGACCTTGATGCTCTTGAACGGGCAGAGGGAGTTGGGGGATAGGAGAGAAGCTTTTCTGCTTATGCTATTATTTATATTGTTCCCTCTTGATTCAAGAGAAACATTCTTTTTTTTCAATGCATAACATGTTTTAAAACCTCCTTATAAAATGGCACTTAAAGCTAATGTGATTTTACCTAATCATTTTATTTGTTTTGGGAATTTAAGGCAAAACTATGTGATTAAATATATCTGGACATTTAGAAGAGGAAAATGGATAGAATATTTTCATTCCTGAAAGAATATGCCTGGAATCAAGGACTGGATTTCTCAAGATTTCTTTGAGCCTCCCTCATTCTTTAAATACATACAAACACACACACACACACACACACACATATGTTCATATACACGCATAAATAAAAATATATATACACATAATATATATACAATATAGTTTATAAAGTTCCATATGTATCTTTATGTAAAATAATACAAGCAAATGAATTTGAGGAAATAGCATCAAACTCTATAAGAAACCAATTGGGAAAAACAAAAAGTATAAGTGGTAGTATAACAGCAACAATATGATATATTCCATAAACCTCATTATCAATATTTCCAATCAATCTTGCCACTTAAAACCCATCTTTGTATAATTCATCAAACTCTACATTCGCTGATTTTTTTTCACTGCTCCTTACAAACCTGAGAAGATGAAAGAGATAGAACTACTCTGATTTAAAAGGTCTAGTAAAATTTGTTTGATATATATTTTTTACTCCACAGTGAATAAAAAGTTACTACTTCAGTGCAGGATTTGAAAACAGATTCGCATAGACTCAAATACTATTGGCATTTGCGCTTGCATATGAAACTATGGTTCAAATAGTAAAACTAAGTTTCAAGTCAAGATTGGAAATAAAAGAAAAGCAGAATTCAGTGTCTCTGAATCAATTCAGGAATGATTTATGTATTTCAAAATAAAATTACTACCTTATTTTATAAAATAAGACTGCTCACAAAGGAAGGATTATAAAACCTTTAGCAGGAAAATTAGGACTTGGCTGTCTTAGCCAATTAAGAAGCATCACTCTTACTTCATCAGGTATACATCAAGGAAGATCAATAATGAAGGTGCCAAATCACACTAAACTTAACAATGCATAAGTTACAGGAAAGAGGAGACCAATTTCGTTAAATTGCCACATTTATTTGACCAGTCATTGAATTAATGGAACACATTTATATTAGCTAGTTCTAATTTAGCTGTTAGTTGGCATCTCCTACCCAGTTATTTCAGAATAAATGAGGTCTGCAGGCCTGTCTTGCAGAGAGCTATTAGAAATGAAGAAAGAGCCTTCACACGATTAGAATTTGGGGTCTTTGAAGCTTTCCCCTTGGCATCAGAGAGATGTGGCTGCCCTCCCTACATCCAGTCTTTTCTGAGCCTTCTCTTTAGGCCATGTGGGTAAAGAATACATGATTAAAGTGACAGAGTCAGAAACTTGGGGTTTAAGTCCTCATTTTGCCACTTGCTATCTACTTCACCTTTGGCAAGTGCATAACGGTTCCCTCCTCAGGAAAATAAGACAATTACAGTGACTCTATCATGGAGCAACTGTAAGGACCCATTGAGATAATGTTCATGTAGTGCTAAAATGGAGCATCACGCACATGGAAATCCTTTACCATACATGTTAGTATGATTGTTGCCCTTGCAATTCATATAAGGTTAATTGGTAATCAGCAGTACATGAGTTTTGAAGTTGTAATCAGGTTGTACTTCCTTAAAATCAGTTGTATGATTCCTTAAAAGCCAAGAATGAATCATGATCGGTTAACATTTCTGTTATCTTTCTGTGTGTCTAAATTCTTTATAATATTTACCTCACAAGTGTCCCAGCAAAGTGGGATTGGTTTAGCTTTGCTCACTGAGAGGATGAGACAAAAACATTTCTTAAATTTAGAATAGGATGATTTTATGATGTTTTACCCAAATGATCAATCCAAGTAAACAAACCAATTTCTTATGAATTTTATCTATGCAATTCCAAGTATTTATTATGCACCCTTAAGTGACAGCCATGAGACCTGGTCCTTGTTATTTGCAACGAACAGATGTTTTCAGTGGTTCCTTTTGAATCAAGTTTAAACACGCTAAAGTGGTTCAAGAGGCCCCTTCTCGATCTGGCTGTTGTCTAATCTGAATATTCTAGAATCTCAATAAACTTGTTTCCATTCCTCTAAGTGCCAGGCTCTGTCCTGCCCCCAGGCCTTTGCACATACCAGTCCCTCCACCTGAAACTCTCTTATCTTTCTCTCCTGTTTCTCCCATTATTTCTCCAACTAATCAGTGCATCTCCGAAGTACTGGAAATATCTTTGGGATCTCAAGAGTTCTCTGTGAGAATTTTTAACCTGTCTTTTCCTTTCTATGATAATCTAAAACAACTGGCATAAAAGCATTTTTTTTGACTCATCGGAGTGGCCCTTTATCACCACATACCTCTGCCTAATTTCAGTGTCCATGTTTGTACTGAGGATCACATTGGTGTTTGTGTAGTACTGGCATGGGCCAGTGAGAAAAGAATAAAGATGGGCTCAATGGACAAGTGATAAGGCTGAACCTAGGGAGGGCCAATGATAATCCAGTACCTGAGCCTTCCATATAAACAAAATTTGGCAGTAGCTTGAAGAAGGGGCTCTGTGCTGCATGCCAAGTCCACTGTTCCACCACTTTAAGCCACTGCAAAACCTCCATTCTTGCAGTGTATATTGAACTCTAAAGAGCCTGCACCTCAGCCACCAGGACCATAATCCTACACAAATGGTGACTTCACTTTGGCAAAATGTGAACCATCACATCATCTGCTATGTAGAGGCAGCAAGCCACTTGCTCAGGAGCTGAGGGTCCAGATCCAGTAGACTGAAGATGAGTCCCATTTCTATCCCTTACTGGCTTTGTGACTTTGAGCAGGTAACTGAACCTCTCCGTGCCTCACTTACTTCACCTGCAAGATGGGAATAATCATAGCACTTACCTCATGAGGTTATGGTGAAAGTTAAATGTAACCCCTCAGAGCAGTGCCCAGAGGGAAGCACTCATAATGTTTGCTACTACTAAATTGTGCAGTTAACATGAATGGTGTTGGTTTCTGTTTGCATGTATTTTGTAATTTTTTAAAATATTAATTTGCTAGCGTCAAAAGCCTAAGGAGTTCATCTAGTTTATGTTTATACATATTCATGTATCATTATGATAAAAATAAGTATATACTGAGGATCTAAAAGACTCTTGCTACCATGAGCTAACTGCTAGTCATCCTTCAGTCTTGGTTAAACCTTTACATCTTGCTTCTCTAGTCTTGTGAGACTGGGTTCCACATCTTAGATATTTTTCACACATCCCAGTGGCACCCAGCAATCGCTCTGGCATCACACTTAGCATGCATGATTGTATTGCTTGTTTAAATCTTGCTCCCAGGGGATCATAAATTCCTCAAGGGCAGGGACCTCTATAATCCCAGAACCTGGCATCATAGGTACCACTTAGGCCCTCAACCAATATTTAATGAATGAATGAATGTCAGAGCCAGTTATTCATAAACTATAATACCCCTAATTCTGCTGTTGAGGCAGAAAAAGAATGCATAATTGGTAAGGAAATAGGCAAATTAAAATCCTCGAGACAATCCGCAAACTAACAAAATTAAAGAAGATAAACCAAAGGGCTTTGACATCACGTAAAGTTGCATGAGCACTGAATCAAACCGTAGGAAGCTGCTCTGACTTAAAGTTCAGAGAAGCAAAAAGAATAACAAAGAACATTCTAATCAAGGGCTGACATTTATTTCAGATTCAAATAAATTCGTAAGAAAGTAATAATGATAAAACTTGTCATATAGAGTTAATTTAAATACATTTGGCTATATTGCTTATGAATGAAAATGGGTTCTTTTCACAAATGCTATTTGTTTTTTCACTTATCTATGAAAGGCCTATTTTTCTCCTCTTTAATAATCCTATAAGGAACCCAGATAACAGTGATTTTCTGAGAGGCTTTTGGCAAATTTAATCTTCTCCAATTACTCTTCCCTTCACTTTGATATTTTGCCCTAGGGTCGTTTCCATTCTCCCACACACACAAACACACAAAGGCACTTACACACACACATACAATCACTGCCCTAAGGAACCATTGTCACTGAAGGTAGCATGTCGCATCCCCAGATAGTTGTGACAAAGAAAGCAGACATGGCTCTTTCAGGCTGAGACAATGTTTCCCTCATCTGTGTCCCTAAGACATAGCAGAGACAATGGAAGAAAATGCTACTTGAACAACAATGCTATTTTTAAGGCACTTTTGCTACATGGTCTGTGTTTCCATAAATTGAAAGCAAAATAATTACATGGAAATAAATTTCCATCATATTGAATTAAATGGTTTTTAGGGAAAAATTTTAAGTAACCATTGGGTCCAGCTTATTTTTATTCCTAAAATGGATTCAAGTCTGGAAGAAAATCAGAAATTCATGATTGTTTGGCTAAAATTTCCCAAGTAACCCAAAGCTGAAAAAAAATACCACTGAAAATATTAACACATTACAGGTAAAGTCAGTTGGTGCCTAAATATTTATTTTTCTGCTTAATTAACACTGAGCATTTATTATCTCTATCTTTGGGCATCTACGATCTGGTTCAGAACTCCAGAACCTGGTAAGAGCGTACTGAATCTTAGTGTAGAGCTCTTTCCACAAAACTGAGAGGCTTATTTTAACTTACGACATCCCAATTAAAAAGTTCTTTTGGCTCACAGCAGATTCCCCTCTCTTCTGTAAAAAGACATCCCACTGCTAATACTATTTGTCAGCATTCTCCTCTTCTGTCATCCCTCAGCCTCATCTTTAGCCCAAGACCTCATCTTTTCTTCCCTGGACATTTGCAAGAGGCTGCCAAGTGTTTGTAGCCTGGACTGCCTCCAGTACGTCTGGACCGCCTGCAGTATGTCTGGACTGCTATCAGAGCGAACTTTCTTACACACAAATGGGATCATTAGACACAACCTGTTCTACGCCCACTTAGAATTCTTTAACAGCTTCCGAATGACTCAGAGTGGAATGTAATTCTTTAGCAGGACTTGCGAAGCCCTTTGAGATGTGGCTCTTCCAGCCTTTCCTCCTCATTTCTTTCCACTCCACCCACCAAACATCCAATGACCCAGCTTTAGAAATGTGCTTTTAACAGGTTCACATGTTTATGTCTTTATAACGACTGTTCCCTCTTCTTGGGATATCCTTCCTTTCTCCCATTTCTCTTTCTACCCCATAATTATGTCCATCTAGCAAACTCCTATATATCCTTCCTTTTGTTACAATGTCATCTTTTCTGGGGGATCCAGAAAATTAGTATCTCTCTCACTCTGTTCCCACAGCCTGGTCCAAACATCCATCTTAACAAATTTCACAATACTCAGTAATTTGTGCTTGTTCTTATCTCTACCACTAGACTGGGAGGTGTTTGGAACCCAGTTCAACTTAAGATGTTGGACAGATGAAGATAAACCATTATATCCTACCAATCTACCAGAGTGCTTCACAAAATTCATTTTAAGTCCAGAACACCTGCCCTCTGTGAATCTGATTTCATGATCCCACTGCGTCTTCCCCAGGCCATTTCAATTTTAGCTCATTCTCATACAAGACTTTCAATGATGTTGCAGAAAATTAACAAATAAAATTCCTAAGATACACTGCTTTCATAAGGTTTTTCTTCTAAAAATTTAGTTATTGTTACAGACTCTGATCAAGGCTAAACTCTTTATTCAGGCATTGAAGGCCCTCTTTAATTTAGTTCTACTACCTATTATTAAATAATAAAATAATAGTTAACATATATTGATAGCTCACTACGTGCCAGGCACTGTTCAAAGAGCTTTTAACATGCGTTATCTTTTTAATAACCTTAGGAGGTGTATTTATAGAACTCATATAGATCTTACCAGATACCAAAGAGCTTTACTAGTAATTAAGTCACTTAATCCTCATAACAAACCTACAGATAAGTACTAGTATTACTAGTATTACTACAATATTTCCAATTAGGCAAGGGGCTCAAAGTCACATAGCTCACAAGGGAAGCAGCTTGGATTGGCATCAAGGGAGCACCCACCAAAGCCTGGGCTCCCAACCACCCTGGGTCCTGCCCCTCGGTGGTGCACAGCATCATCACATTCTCTACTCTGTCAGGCCAAGCTCTTCCCTGGTGTGGAGTCTTTGCCTCTTTTGTTCCCGCTTTCCTCCCTGCTTGGGATGGTTGCCACCCTCTGCTGTACTCAGATAATTCTCAGCCCCTAAAGCCTAGCTAAAATTCATCTTCTCCTTGAAGCCTTTTCAGAAAACACTGGCCACCTTTGAGCTCTCTCCTCCCTGTCTATATTCTGTGACACAGATTGTCTACACCAAACATTTGCCACTTAAGTCTGTTTCATTTAGAACTTTATGATATATGATCTTGCATGGTTCTTTGACTTAAGTGGGTCTTGGGCCCTGAACAAAATTATGAGCGCCTTGAAACTAGGTAACTTACATCTTCTGAAATCTCCCATAGCACCCAGCATAGATGCTTTATGTATTTTTGTGGAATTGAAGTTCAAAATGAAGTCAGGTTCCCCCTTCCCTACATAGCAGATTGACTCAATTGTACTCTATAACCATATCATTAAAGCTGAGCAAGCAATCTGAATACATTCTAAATTGGCTCAGTTAGGTTTTATTTTTCCTGTTTAATATGAAGCATTGGGAAGGACAGAAGAATATTAGAAAGAAAAGTTACGAATAAAGTTCAAGTTTCCTTAATTAAAACCACTGAAATAGACCTCATTTGGATGAAGCTAAAAAATAAAATTGGTTCTTCTTTGCCTCTGTCATTAAAAGGCACTTAATTTATTTAAAATTTAATTTGTATTTAGTATAATGGTATAGATCCACCTTAACCTGGATAAATGGGAACTATCTACTGCACGGAAGAATCTTTTTGGCAGTATTCCCACTTGAGGCAATTATTCCACCGTATTTTTGCGGTAACCTACTTGGCTGTGTCAGCTCCGCTGGTTATTAAGGTGTTAATCAAAAGCTCATGACCGTATCTTGCAGCCACATGGAGAGGAGTGTTGCCGTCCTTATCCACACAGTCAATTTCACCTCCTGAAAGAGATATTTTAATACAGGATAACGCAAGGATTCAGGTTGATTCAGGTCCTATGTTCTCTGCTAGTCTCTCGTATCAACCAAATGTTGATTTCTTTCCTATTCCAGTTGTGCATCTTTGCTCCGAAATACAAGAATGCTTTTAAAGGGGACAAGTCACCATCTGAAGCAGTAGTAGTAGTATATCTGCGTAGACAGAAGTCTATTAGAGATGCTTTTGAGGCCGGGCGTGGTGGCTAACGCCTGTAATCCCAGCACTTTGGGAGGCTGAGGCGGGCAGATCACGAGGTCAGGAGTTTCAGACCAGCCTGACCAACATGGTGAAACCTCATCTCTACCAAAAATAAAAAAATTAGCTGGGTGTGGTGGTGCATGCCTGTAATCCCAGCTACTCAGGAGGCTGAGGCAGGAGAATCGCTTGGACCTGGGAGGCAGAGATTGCAGTGAGCCAAGATCGCACCACTGCACTCCAGCCTGGGCGACAGAGCGAGACTCCGTCTCAAAAAAAAAGAAAAAGAAAAAGAAAAAGAAAAATGCTTTTGAGAAATCTTTCCATATTGTCTTAGTTAAGAATCCAAAATCTCACAACTAAATGCCTGCTCTGAATGAAGAATGTATTCAAATCCCATAAAGTGTAATTCTGAAGACATGTTCAATTTTAATTTTCCCTGCTGAATTAAAAACCTATGTAAACCTTGTGCTAAAACATAAGAACCAAAGGGGATGGACAGTTCAGGAAATGATTTCATGTAATTTGATGATCTAGCTTATAGTATTTTAATATTATGACTAAAATGAGTAAAAGCATAGACAATAAACTGAAAATGCCTATATTTATAAAAACTATGACAATAATCATCCATACTTCTTTTAATAATATAGTATTGTCATTATGTTTTATTTTGCCTTCTCTTCCCCCAGTTTTTATTTCACTAAATTTCTTTTTTTCTCTCCCTTTTTCGTGTGTGTGTATATATACAATTGGTCTATTCATTCATTTATCTGAGGAACCATTTAAAAAGTTAGCTATCATAACATTTTACCGCTAAGTATGTTTTTCCTAAGAACAAAGACATTTTCGCACATAACCACAATTCCATCATTTTACCCAAGAAATTTAACATTCATAAAATAATTTTATGTAATATTAGTGCATATTCCAATTTCTCAGACTGTCCCCAAACTGTGCTTTATAATAGTTATCTTGTTGTTTTAATCCAGGATCCAATCAAATATCCTGATAGCACTTGGTTGTCATGTCTCTTTAGTTTCTGTTAATCCAAAACAATCCTCCTGGCTTTTTTTTTTTAAGTTTCTCATGTCGTTGATATTATTGGAGCCCAAATCACGAGTTGTGTTGGACGCTCTACATTCTGGAGTTGTCTTTTGGTTTCTTCATTATTAGATTCAGGCTAAACATTTTGGCAACAATTCCCAGAGCAGATGCGTGCTTCCCGCTCCATTTTCTTAGCGCACACAGTTATTCCATTACCAGGTGATGCAAAGTTTGACTACTTGCAATGGGTACCAACTTTCAGTTTGGGAAAAGAAACAGCCCTGAAAATGGATGGCAGTGATGGTTGTACAACAGTAGGAATGCACTGGATGCCACTGAACTGTACACTTAAAAATGGCTAAAACGGTAAATTTTATGTTATGTATATTTTACCACAATAAAAAAAAAGGCTTGATTATGTGGTTAAGGTGGTGTCTGTCAGTACACTTACTGCAAAAATATCTTCTCCTCTTTGTAATTAACAGGCAATCTGTGCGGTGATACAGGCAATCAGAGTGTACAGATATCTGATTTCCCAACAGACTTTTTCCACAATAATTTTTAGCATATGTGGGGAGTACTTTGTTCAAAATTTACCTGAATTTTTTACTGTGTGCTTATATTATCTATATAAGTTAGGTTCATTTGATTCTGTTTGCTTTCAAATATTTTTACTGGGTTTTATTTTATTTTAATAATATGTAAAATACATGTTTCAAAAGTCAAAAGTCATATTTTTGAAAAGGCTTACTCATTCTTATCCCTTCCTCTTCATCCTCATACACAACCTACAGCAAGCATTTTCATTAGTTTTAGTTTATGCTTCTGTGTTTCGCTTTGCAAAAAAAAACAAAAAACAAAAACAAAAACAAAAAAAAATCCCCCTACTTAACAGTATTTCCTAGAACTCACTTCTAAAGATGACTTCTTGGAGATCTTCCTGATTTTTGTACAGTTTTATTGTTTTCCATTGCACAGTTGTACTAGTTTAGTACACTCGTCTCCTATGGGTAAGCATTTAGGTTGTAAATAACATTTTGCTATTATCTGGAATGCCACAGTGAATAATCTCATATGTATGTTGCTTCATATTTGTTAGATGTATCTTCAAGGTAAATTTTCAGAAGGGAGATATCTAGGTCAAAGGGAAAATTAATATGTGGTTTTGTCAGATTTTGCCAGATTTCTCTCTGTAGGCACGGTGCAATTTTACACTCTAACCAGCACAGTATGAGAGGCACTTTTCCTTATAGCCTTGTCAAGCTTTTGAATATCTGCTATCTGATGGGTGAGAGCTGGTATCTCTCTGCAGCTTTCATTTGCATTTCTCTTATTATGAGGGAAGTTGAACATCTTTTCATATGTTATAGAAGGACCATTTGTTTATCTTTTTCTGTAAACTATTTTTCATGACTTTTGCTCATTTTTCTAAGTTTGTGTGTATGTCCTTAAACATATACACAATACTGATATCTAAACCATATACACATATGTATATATGCTAGTATAAGTAATATAAAACCCCAAGAAATAGAAATATGTGAATGGCTTAAATGTCCTCAAACATACAAACAAACTTAGAAAAATGAGCAAAAGTGATTTTCAATAACTTTTAAAATGAGTAAGCTCTATTTGGGAGATTACTCATTTATCAGCAATACATGTTACAATTATTTTTCTCCCAGGTTTTGTTTTTAATTTTTGATGTTTTTTTCCCTGTCAAAAAAATTTGGGGGGTGGCGGGGCGTGGTGGCTCATGCCTGTAATCCCAGCACTCTGGGAGGCCAAGGTGGGCAGATCACAAGGTCAGGAGATCAAGACCATCCTGGCAAACACGGTGAAACCCCATCTCTACCAAAAACACAAAAAATTAGCCGGCATGGTGGCAGACACCTGTAGTTCCAGTTACTTGGGAGGCTGAGGCAGGAGAATGGTGTGAACCCGGGAGGCAGAGCTTGCAGTGAGCCAAGATTACGCCACTGCGCTCCAGCCTGGGCGACAGAGTGAGACTCCATCTCAAAAAAAAAAAAAAAAAAAATTGGGGGAGGAATGTATTAGTCTTTTATCATGTTTGGGTTTGTTGTTAGGGAGTCTTTCCCTATACCCTGGTAACAAAGAAATTGACACATGTTTTCTATACGTGAAAGGTTTTCTTTTTCAGATATAGATATCTGATCCTTTTGGAGTTTATCTTGGTGGTGTGTTTGTTGACTGACTAAATAAATGTTCCCTGAATGCCTAAAAGACTGAAAATTCAAGAAAACAGCCTGAACAAATTCACAGAGGCAGAAACTAGATTAGTGGTTGCCAGGGGCTGGGGACAAATGGGGAGTGATGACTAACGGGTATGAGGTTTCTTTTTGTACTGATGTCTAAACCATATACATACCTATATATGCTAGGATAAGTAATATAAATATGAATGACTTCAATCTAGAAAGGTGTGATACATTTCTTTTAAGTACCTTATTTCTGATTGAGAAAGTATTTTCTTATTGTAGAAAATTTAGAAGATGTAGTAAAATAGAAATACAAAGAAGAAAACAGAAGTCATCTATAAATTCACTGACTATCCAAGATAGTCAGTACTAGTATTTTGGAATATTTCCTCCCAGTTGTATGTATGTGTGCATGCGTGTGTAGAATTTTCCCATGGTTGAGTTCCCGGTGTAGAAAAAGTTTTTTAGTCCTACGTTCTCCTTTAATGTTACATTACAATCCTTCCCATGTCATTAATCTTTTTCATTAATATAATTGTAAATGACTATATAATATCAGTATCTAGAGAATTTACTTAGCAAGTCCCCAATTAATAGGCATTGAGGGCATACCCAAATCTTTGCTATTAAGAAAAACACAGGAATGAACATATTTACAAATAGTCTTTACATTTCAGATGATTTCCTTTAGTAACTTTTTTCTTTTTCCTGAGACAAAGTCTTGCTTTGTCACCCAGGCTGGAGTGCAGTGACACAGTCTCGGCTCACTGCAACCTCCCCTTCTCAGATTCAAACAATTCTCCTGCCTCAGCCTCCCAAGGAGCTGGGATTACAGGTGCTTGCCACCATGCCTGGCTAATTTTTGTATTTTTAGTACAGATGTGGTTTTGCCATGTTGGCCAGGCTGGTCTCGAACTCCTGACCTCAAGTGATCTACTTGTCTCGGCCTCCCAAAGTGCTGGAATTATAGGGGTGACCCACCACACCCAGGCAGCAACATTTTTAAAAGTAGGACTATTGGACTAAAAGTATGGAGACCCTTGATACACACCAGCAAAAAACTTTTGAGAAAGGCTCTGCCCATTAGCATTCCCATTAGCAGTATACTTGAGCATTATACCAAAAAGAAGCCATTGAGAGTCTTCTCAGCTCTGGGGAAAGGGCATTATCTTCCAGGCCAGGACACTGTCCCTTGTAATAAGATCGTCCATAAGGTCCTCATCAGATCTATATGTCCTTCATTCCAATGAATCCTACTATTGGCCATTATAACTAACAACTCCCCAACATTTATTTTCAGCAAACAACGCTTTTTCTAGCCAAGTGTACTGGCAAAACGCAGGGCTAGAGTATAAAAATATTTGCTACAAAGTGAAATGATTAACAAAAATGTGTGCACTTTGTGAAGGGGACAATTGTTTCAAAAACTCCAATTAGCACACACAGGATTTTGGATGCTTCCCTCTACTCTCAAGACTTCTGTGTGTAGAATTTTGTTTGAAAATCAACTTGCTGCCAGTAAGTTTACCCATTTGGGGGTCTGCAACTTAATAGCTGTTTACGAAAAGGGAATCCCTTTTTAACTGACTGGGACAGAGAAATGTAAATGGGAACTTGAATAGAAATACTGATCTTTCTTCAAATCTTTGTTTCTGTGTTACAGTGGGGTTCTTTTGTTGTTGTTATTTTGGGGTTTTTTTTTGAGATGGACTCTCGCTTTTGTTGCCCAGGCTGGAGTTCAGTGGTGTAATCTCGGCTCACTGCAACCTCTGCCTCCCGGGTTCAAGTGATTCTCCTGTCTCATCCTCCCGAGTAGCTGGGATTATAAGCACATGCCATCATGCTCAGCTAATTTTTGTATTTTTAGTGGAGATGAGGTTTTGCCATGTTGGCCAGGCTAGTCTCTAATGCTGACCTCAAGCAATCCACCTGCCTCAGCCTCCCAAAGTGCTGGGATTACAAGCGTGAGCCACTGTATCTGGCTTTATTTTTAAAATGAATTGTCCAGATAATAGAGTATGATCACTTCTGTAAAGTAATAATTAAATATCTTTACATATATTCTTAAATACATAGAAAAATCCAGAAGTGTCACCAAACTGCCAATAAAAATTATTGGGATAGGGCTGAGGAGACACATTGGTGGAGATCACGGAATCTCTTTCATGACTTAATTTTAGTTTACGGTGAGCATGTACTAATTTTATAATCAGGAAAAATAATAAAGTTAGTTATTGTGATCGTCTAGGGACTCAACAGACAGTTAACTATGATCTGAATTTAGAAGTGTCCAATTGAGATCAATTCATTTTATGACTTGATGGTAGCTTTGGAGACAGGCAGCCACCTCGTCCCCACAGATACCTCAGAGCAATCCAGTGTGCACGTATCCATATCAGAGCTGCCCACGGTGGTCTGCCTGAAAGCCCCAGCTGTCGAGCTGATCCAGGGAGATGTGGGACAGAGATCCCCAGACTGCAGAGAAGTCTGCCCTGGACAAACACTCCATCAATCCACATCCTTCCCAGCCAAGAGTCACCAAATCATTCTTAAAAAGTGTTAGAGCCTCCAGGTTTACCAGTCTCAAATATGCCAAAAATTGGGTAGAGAAAGGGAAGAGTGAAAACTATCAGGAAGGATGGAGTAGGGGTCTGAGCTGATAAAAGTTTTTTCTTGTAGTTGTTGCTTTCATTTTACAAGTCAGCTTAAAACTGTAAAAATATAGATAACTGGCCAGGCACGGTGACTCACGCCTGTAATCCCAGCACTTTGCAAGGCCAAGGTGGGCAGATCACCTGAGGCCAGGAGTTCAAGAACAGCCTGGCCAATATGGCGAAACCCCATCTCTACTAAAAATACAAAAATTAGCCAGGTGTGGTGGCAAGCTACCTGAGTAGTCCTAGCTACTTGAGAGGCTGAGGCAGGGGAATTTCTTCAACCCGGGAGGCAGAGATAGCAGTGAGCCGAGATCGCACCACTGCAGTCCAGCCTGGGCTACACAGCGAGATTTCATCCCAAAAAAAGAAAGATAATTATTGTCCATATGTGCTTTTGTTATCATTTAAAATATATTTCAGGAGGCCAGTCGCAGTGGCTCACGCCTGTAATCCCAGCACTTTGGGAGGCCGAGGCAGGCAGATCACGAGGTCAGGAGATTGAGACCATCCTGGCTAACATGGTGAAAGCCCATCTCTATTAAAAAACACAAAAAATTAGCTGGGCGTGGTGGCAGGCGCATGTAGTCCCAGCTACTCGGGAGGCTGAGGCAGGAGAATGGAGTGAACCCGGGAGGCAAAGCTTGCAGTGAGCTGAGATGGTGCCACTGCACTCCAGCCTGGGTGACAGAGCAAGACTCCGTCTCAAATATATATATATATATTTTTTTTTTTTTTTCAGGAAAACATAACTTAGTGGAAAAATAAAAGACAGACTCTCTATTTGTTATCTGAAAACATGTTTTCTATATAAACAGCACCTCTAGATAAGTGCATTTCTATCTTACAATTACTCCACAAACCTTGCCATTTTCATTTGAAAATTTTTAAAACTTGCTTGGAATGCAAATGAAATCTCTTTACCGTTTGTCATTTGAAGGTTGCAAGTTAAATATTGGAGATTGATCATTGACAACCAGTGAGGAAAATAAACATTTGCCAGTTTAGAAGTATGCAGAGCATGTCAGAAAGGATAATTAATTAGTATCCTCTAAGCATTCATCTGAAATTAGTTTTTCATTGCACAAACAAGAATGATCAGCTTATTAAGTTGCCTTGGAAGGATTGTGAGCCAAAGGGTCAAAAATCTCACATTGACTCATCCTAACCTACAACTTGACTCTTCCTTTTCAAACTCTATTTATTTTTAAAGCTTCTGTGAAGAAAACATCATTTTTGAACTTGTGTAACCTGCTGGACGGCATCTGAGGGGGGTGCCTAGGGCCAATGGTGAGGTCAAATGCCTTCAGACACCAGATGCTGTCTTTGGTCAGTTGCTTTCCCTCTATTGCTGTGACAACACAGCTTCAGACAACAAACAATGTGATTGGATAGCAGAGGTAGTCTTTGCTTACTAACTAAAAAAGAGTGGGGTTTTTTTTTTCATTATTGTCTTACTAAAGCTGGATGATTCTGGAAAAACAAAGTTATGAAAACTAGTAATCCTGACTGGAGAGCAGTCAGAGAAGCAGAGAAAACTATTCAAAGTCCAAACACCAATGCAATTTAACAAAACAAATAAATACAAAGAACATTCCTCAGTAGCATGTTTAGTTGCTTCAGGGAGCCAAATGCTGTGCCCATGTGGTCCTGGAGGACAGAGGGGCTCCTGCTAGGTGATGTCCCACTCTGGGGGGACTGACACCAGGCCCTAGGGGCATGAGCTTCTGGAGAGGGAGTGTCCCAGCAACAGCCCAAGATTCTTCCCAGAAGGAAGCCAACAAACAGGAGGTAAAAAAAGAACTTCCTTTTCTTCTCCCCAAGGGCATTTTAAAAAATGTCAAATGGAAGAATTCACAGTTCTCACATGTGTTATGAATGCAAAAAAATTGTCAGTTGAGATAAGAGAATACCAAAGCATCCTTTTACAGGGAAAACTCTATTTCAAATATAAGTGACTCTCAGAGTAAACAGAATTCAATTTTAAAAGGAATTTTTTTAAAACACCATTGGTTTCTGGAGGTCATGTTTATAAGCGTGGTGGTTGAGAGTTCAGTCTCTGATGTCAGACTTCCTGTGTTCAGATCCCTATTCCTCAACATACTGGCCATTTATCCAGACACAAGTGACAACCTCTCTGCCTCAGCTTCCTCATCTTTGAAATGGAGATAATCATAGTACCTTTTTCTCATAGGGTGGTTGAAAGGCTTTATAAGTGGTGTTTAGCCAAGTGCCTGGCACACTATGAACACTTGGCTTTATCATTATCACTTAGCTTTATCATTATATATAATAGGCTACATATTATAGCCACTATATCCTTATCAATTCAGGCCCCTGGACCCCACCCAATCCATAAGCAAGATGCCAGGACAACCAAGAATGAGAGAGGTTCTGAAACAAAGATCCCCTGACCACAGAGGATAAGAGACAGGGTCTCTTTTAGGTCTCCCCCAACTCAAAAGTCTAGCAACAGCAGGGCACGGTGGCTCACACCTGTTAGCCCAGCATTTTGGGAGGCCAAGGTGGACAGATCATTTGAGGCCAGGAGTTGAGACCAGCCTGGTCAACACATGGCAAAACCCCATCTCTAGTAAAAATACAAAAATTAGCTGGGCATGGTGGCACACCTGTAGTCCCAGCTACTTGGGAGGCTGAGGCACAAGAATCGCTTGAACCCGAGAGGCAGATGTTGCAGTGAGCTGAGATCACCCCATTTCACTCCAGCCTGAGCAACAGAGTGAGAAAGTGTCTTAAAAAACAACAACAACAACAACAACAACAACAACAAAAACACAAATAAACAAAAAAAGTCTAGCAAGAATATCCAGGCAGGACATGGAATTCTTCCAGCCCACATGGCTCTTGCAGAGGCCAAAGCTGCCAGCAGTCCCCTGGGACTGTTGTAAGCATGCCAGCAGGACAGAGAGGAGATGCGTCATAGAGATGACCAGCATGGCCTGACGCACAGGGATGAACCTGCGGGGAAGGCAGTGCTTAGAAGGAGAAAAGTTGTTTTCCCTCCAACCTTGTCTCTGGAGCTTGAAGTTGCTCTAAAAGGGAACCAAGCTGTTTAAGTTTTGTTTGTTTCTAAAAGTTTTGTTTGTTTTTAAAGGGGGGTGGACATTATTTCTGAAAAACAGTTGAGAAATACAGTGGCATAAGAGACGTGCTCGAAAGAGACTAGGGTCACTCCCCCCGACCCCCTTTATTTACATTCAGCAAAATAAAACACGGTGGCCTTTTCAATAAAATGAATGTCAAAGGCATAGCACATATTTCAAATTAGAAATAATGGGTATTGCACGGTTAATTTCTGTTTTACCTTCCTTGGCTCACTGGAAACTTGTTAGGATTTCTTTTCCCTATAGCTTCACTGGAATGCATATAAATTTCCTTTGCTTTGCTGCAGATATTTTGCTTGCTAAGCATAATTCCACTGGCTGGTCTTCCATCCAAATGTCAAATGACTTCTTTGTTTTATGTCTTAAGTGACTAAGACATAACTCAGTGCCACTAATAATTCAAGTGTATGTGGTCCGAAATTCTTATAGATGAGAAAAATACAGGTCCAAGGAAACTGACTAATATCAGAATTTTGAGAAGTAGAAGTATGGGTCAACTAAAAATAGGAACTGCCAGATTGACCTGGAATATCAGCTTAAAATCTGAACTAAACCTGGTTTTTGTCTTTTTTAAATACTCTCTAAGATTTACTAATAGAAGTGATGCTGCTGGCCATGACCCCCTATTAGTAACATGAACCAGGATGTAAAATGATACTCCCTAGTACTTTGACTTCAGTGACAACCTGATGGTTCAAGCATACCTTTGTCGTAAGCCCAGAAAGTTACTATATTACTGTGACTTTCCCAGGTCTTCTCTGTCAAGCCTGTGAATTTTTTTTTTTTTAAGACAAAGTCTCGCTCTGTCACCCAGGCTAGAGTGCAATGGCACAATCTTGGCTCAGTGCAACTTCCTCCTCCCGAGTTCAAGCGATTCTCCTGCCTCAGCCTCCTGAGTAGCTGGGATTATAGGCACCTGCCACCACTCCTGGCTAATTTTTGTATTTTTAGTAAAGACAGAGTTTCACCATGTTGGCCAGGCTGGTCTCGAACTCCTGACCTCAGGTGATCTGCCCACCTCGGCCTCCCAAAGTGCCTGGGATTACAGACGTGAGCCACCACGCCCACCTAAGCCTGTGATTTTATGATCCTTTATATCACATCCTTACCTGCTTTTCCTCTAAGTCATCTCATTTTTCCTAATTTTGCCCAACTAGCTTAATAAGTTTTAACTTAGGAAATTATAGTGAACTCTAAAATTTAAAAATAATTCAGATTTGTTGCTGGAAAATGAATGCTACTTACCTTTATTAGTTTCAGAGTGAGATGCACAGGATCTTGAGCCTACATAAATACATCATTTCCAATTTCAAAGCTCATGCTCTGTGCCTGACTCCAAATTGACTGTGAAACTGTGGCTTTATGTTTTTACTATTAAGGTGGATGTTGATGACATGTCTGATGAACAGTTTTTAGCAAAGTACATCAAAGAATTATGTAATTGCATGCTTACTAAAACTCCAAAACAGGGCATCGACTTTCATATGCAGGTGACTGACAGCCAAATTCACAACAAGAAACTATCGAAATAATGACACTACTGAAGCATCTCTCTTACCATTCTGAATGAGGGTCTGTGACCGTGTGAACCTTCCATGGACAGCTGTCATGTGCAGTGGACTTTTGCCATCTTTACTCTAAAAAAAAGAGAGGGAGAGAAAAACAATGGAGGTGCTCATGAGCCAGTGACACCCATCTGAAATACCCCTATGGACACTCCTAATAATGCCCTGAAAACATTCATTTATTTATTTATTTTTTAAGTATGATCAACATGAGGCTGCAGTGAGCTAGGATTTTACCACTGTACTCCAGCCTGGGTGACAGAATGACATTCTTCTAAATAAAATAAAATAAAAGTATGATCAACAATTACAAGAGGCAAAGATAATTTTGAAAGGAAAAGATAAAATGTACCTGACCTCTCAAGTTATTGCATAACATCACATGTTTTAAAAGCTTAGAGAAACAGTTATCTGAAACCTTTATTCCTCTCCTGTGATCTACTGGAGAAGGAAGTTTCCTTCAAGGTGTTTTTTTCAACCTTTGTCTATAGTACACAAAAAAGACAAATGTGTTACCTTGCATGGTATTCTTTAAGCTGAAGCTGACCAAATGGCTCTGAATCACTGCAACTCTTAAAACTGACCTGAGGCCGGTCGTGGTGGCTCACACCTGTAATCCCAGCACTTTGGGAGGCCAAGGCAGGTGGATCGTTTGAGATAGTTCAAGAACAGCCCGGCCAACATGGTGAAACCCCATCTCTACCAAAAATACAAAAATTAGCCAGGCATGGTGGCGCATGCCTGTAATCCCAGCTACTGGGGATGCTAAGGTGGGAGAATTGCTTGAATCCAGGAGGCGGAGGTTGCAGTGAGCCAAGATCGTGCCACTGCACTCCAGCCTGGGTGACAGAGTGAGACTCTGTCTCAAAAAAAAAAAAGAAAAGAAAACTGATCTGGAACCCTCTACTATTCCCTCCATTATAATTCCATTTAAAAAAAAAATCACTTTTAAAATAAAATAAAACAAAAAAGAAAAAATTTAAACAAAAGAATAAAGAAAAAGAAAAAAACAGAAAAAAACAAAACCATAATTTTTTATTGTTCCAAAAGAGAATCTCTTACTTTACTTAACTCATTAGAAGTCACAGGACTAAGGCATGCAACTGTTTAGGAAACTGCCTTTTGAATGACCAGCTGGGAATGTGTGCTGAATTCATATATTTGTTACTATTCATGATCGAAATTATGAAATTTCCTGACACAGATTAAGCCAAAACACAGAAAATGTACAACAGCTATATACCAATCATCATTATACTAAATACCAAGATACCATATGTAACTAAGAAATAGTAATTTACAGAATTTCTTCTGAAAATAGGCCCAAAAGAAAATATTACTGTTATTTTAGAATAAAAGTATCCCCAATAGAGAGAATGTATTTTCATCCAAGTATTGTTATCAAAAAAATCTATGTAACACTTATTTTTATAAGTCTCAGAGGAAAAATTTCTCTAAGTCTGAGATTAAAATACGAGGTTTTAAAAATGCATGTTCATTTTGTGATGAAATCCAAATGCCTGTATTTTAAAATGACTGTTTTAAAAACTCCATCTTGGAAAACAAATAATAATTTAGGTAAGTATTTCTTAGAGTGGACCAAGGACTGCCCACGTCTGAATCACCCAGGATTCTTGTTAGAAATATGAATTCTGGGCCAGGCGCAGTGGCTCACGCCTGTAATCCCAGCACTTTGGGAGGCCGAGGCGGGAGGATCAAGAGGTCAGGAGATAGAGCCCATCTTGGCTAGCACGGTGAAACCCCGTCTCTACTAAAAATACAAAAAATTAGCCAGGTGTGGTGGCGGGGCCTGTAGTCCTAGCTGCTTGGGAGGCTGAGGCAGGAGAATGGCGTGAACCCGGGAGGCGGAGTTTGCAGTGAGCCGAAATCGTGCCACTGCACTCCAGCCTGGGCGACAGAGCGAGACTCCGTCTCAAAAAAAAAAAAAAAGAAAAAAAGAAAAGAAAAAAAAAGAAAGAAAGAAAAAGAAATATGAATTCTGTACCTTAACCCTGAACTACAGAATTGGGGTAAGAGGGTCCCATTTTTAACCCCTGCTTTGGACTGTGGGCTAAAATAGGTTATAAAACCAAGGTTTTAACACAAGCATTTTATTATATTCTATAAGTCTATTCCTTAGAAATAAAAAAGGAATTACACATAGTCTGTGCCAAGAAAAAAAAGTTAATTAGAACGGTAAGTTCATCTTAATTGAAAAAAAAAAACATGTATCATTATAATTCAATATTCTCAGGTAGATGTGGGAAGAAAAGAAATAATAGGATCTTTTCTCCATCTTCTATGAGTATAATCTGAATCAGAACAGACTGAGAAAGGAGAGCTGAAGCTTGATAATACTTTTAGAGGAAAAACTGGAGCAATCAAGAGAATGAGATACAAAACCATCGCTGACCATGAGACATACTGGGAAGGAGAGCTCCTAAAAGTTATCTGATTCCAGAGCTAGGCCTTAGTTGTCGGGACTGCACACAGTTCCAAGGACTGAAACACCTGGGAACTACTTTGGAATAAGGATTTAAAACACCCCCTTCCAATTAAAAAGTGATGACACTTCAAAATAACTAAGGCGAGAGAAGGCAGAAATTGTGGAGTTGGCATTAACTTGTCCCTAGGTGGTGCTATTTCTTTAAATTTTGCTCCAGTGTTTTCTCTTAATATGAAACCATAAGTAATTATTAATTAAATATATCTAAAGCTATAAATACTTCAGCATTTAGAAAATATCTTCACAATATTCAGCTAAGCAATTTTCCATGTCTATAAAAGAGCTTAAAGGCCTTACCAAGGAGTAACCACCAACTTGGTGGTAGCTATCTAAGTTGCAGGCAGAGAGACAAAGCAGAAGTGATCTCTGAAGTGTGTGGTGGGCAAAGCCAGGCCCATTTCAGGGATAGCAAACACCACAACCTTCTTTTCTCTGAGAGTGCTTGTGCACTTGTAAAGGGACAAGTAAATGGAGATGACCAAAGTTAGGTAAAATGCAAAGAACAGCCATATGATCAGTGGTGACAATTGCTTTGCATCCATCTTTGCAGATCTTTGCCTGGGTTCATCTATAGCCTGAGTCCAGGCTATAGCTGATATTTTTTTCTTCACATAGGGAAACAGGTAGATAAGGTGGGGAAATTGGGACAGAAAGCATTAAGAGTATCATGGCAGCCATTTTGGGACAACTTTGTTCACATGGTATGGGTGTAAAGGGAGCTCATTATTTCAAAAAGCTATAGAAAACCAATGAAACTCAAAAGGATAATACTTTTTATATAATTCTTAAAAGTTAGAACTCAGAACATTAAAGTTGAGACTAGGGAACCCTACTGAGTTTCATGATCTGAGAAATTGAAATTTATCATGCAGGGGTACTGGCTGTTGCTACTATTCCTAGAATTGCACAAAAAGATAAAACATTCCTTGCGTTCTCAAAAGAGAGAATATGTGCAATTCTTCCATCTATTCAAAGCTTTTATGAAAATTTTTTTCTTAATTTCTAGTCTCCCTCCAATTTTCTAGCTACATTTTCCCATAGAATTTAGGGCTTTGAAATTATTGTTATTTTGATAATCCATTTAATTAAGCAAGAAGCACTTCTATTGAGTTAGGCATAATCAAGCCCTAAGTCATAAAGGAAAAATACTGAGGATTAAAATATTTACAACAAATATTAGTACTCTTTCAGGGCAGAACTCAGCATTGCCTAAGGAAGATTAATCTTTGAACTAAAAGCAGTGTTTATATTTTCTTGACCACCAGTCTCCTCAGAAATCCATTCACTTTTTCTTTTATTCCTAATGCCTTCTTTCCTCATCTTCCAATATCCCATATACGTTCCCTAAATTTACAGACATTGTTGTTCCCCAGGGTCTTGAAAGCATAATGTTCTCTGTGGCATGGTACACCCCTGGGGTCACAGAGCTCAGTGGCCCTACTACAGAGCAATAAAAGCTCTATGGGATAACATTAAGTCCAACCTGCGGTTAGGGGTGGGGTCAAATAAGGTGAGAAACCCAATAAGTCTTCCTAATTCAATGCAAGAGCCTCCTAAAATACTGGTGTGAAAAAGCCACACATTGTCCAATTTATTTTGTTTTGTTTTGTATGGTTCTAAGGGCAAGAGAGATGGAACGTGGTTGGCTCACTCATTCCTCTCCTTTCCCTTACTTCTCCAACGTTCTAAGTACCGTCCCTATCACTGCCTACTCTTGCCCATTCCAGTTTCCACCTTCAACTTCTCCAACACAACCTATTCCATAATTTGGTCCTGGTACATATAGAGAAGGGAACTGGTCCACTTCAAGCAGACATGTTTCAACTCCCATCTCTTAGAGCTAAATGATCTAAGAGCCTGCAGACAGAAAAGAATTGAGACCATGCACAGGCTAAATGTCAGTGAACAGGAGGTAGACAACCTGGCAATGGCAATTTCTGAGTCTGTCTTTCTAAGTTGTATCCAGCACAGCTCTATGTCTAGTGCCTTCTTTAACGCTTACTTTGAATGCTTGCTAAAAGAGCCTTGAGATGCTACAGAAATTACAATGTAGTCTCTAATGGAAAAGAAAAAATATTTTATACTTTCTCATGTTCTACCTATTTACAAATTATAAGTAAACCATCAATTGATTATTGTATCAGTAAAGTATATCTTTATTTTATCACAATTAAACTCATATCATGAAGTCAAAAAACAGGACCAGAGTCAATCAATGTAAGCAAAATGAGGAACTGTGAAATGCAGGCTGAACACACATCCCTCCTCCTCTTCCCATCCATCTTTTAGTTGCTCATGAAGACATCACTTTTACTATTTTGTGAGAATAGAGGAAAACAAAGTGAACATGTGGATAGGTAATGGCTGCATTTCAATATGCTACTTCCCTCAACTTTTGGAAAATCTAAACAAATACAAATTGTCTTGCAATCTACAAACACTTTCAAAATCCAAGGAGCAATGTGGTACAGAGAGATAACAACTTTAATTAGACAGCTACCTCCAGAGTCAGACAGGATGGCTCTATGGAAATGTTAGATGATCCGTGCATCCAGAGTGAATCTGGAATAACTAAGGAGGATTCAAAGAGATTTAGGAAATCGGAGGATACAGACAGAATAGATGAAGGGAGACTGAGAATGAAGGCTAGATTTGATTCAAAATCCTATTTACACAGAGTCAATCATAATAAACTCAAATCTCAGAGTTTTAAAATGGCATTTCTTATATTCTAGTTATGATCAGCAGTCCACAGGAAAAAAATAAATATTAAAATTAAGGAATTATGCTTTTCAGCTCCATTTGTGGAAGGGAAGAAGGGGCTGCAAAAACCAATGTATCACAGAAGCTGAAGTCCCTTATCCAATCTGAACTGACCACTGGTCAGTTAACTGGGAGCAGTAGGCCGGTGTGCCAGAGAGTAGCCTTCTAGCCTCTGGTATGGGGCACACTGAGAGCATTGGTGGCATGTTTTACAGATAAAATGAAGTGCATCAGACAACTCTGTGAATTAATTAAGTGGAGGTTGGTAAAGAGAGCGCCTTTATTAAATTCCAATAATTTCCCTTCCTTTGAAGGATTCACAGGATGTCCTTCAGATACCAGGATGGCAAGACAGATGTCTACAGTTTTGGGAACGCTGGCAGTTTGACCACCCACGTGCTTCCTGCCCCCTCAACACCACGCTCTGCGACTTCAGCCTCACGCAAAGATTCCTTACCAACCTCAGACGACAGTTCCTTGGTCTCTTTGATGCCCCCATTCTTTTTTGTCTGCTTTCCATCTTCATGAAAACACGACACTCCTTCCTGTCTCCTCTAACTCCTTTTATCATCCCTTTCTCTGGCTCTTTCTCCTCCTCCTGTTCCTAAGAGTAAAGGGCTGTTTCACTTTCTGTACTCATGCTATTACATACTCTCTCCTTGGGCGGTCTCGTCCCTTTCTCCTGGTTTCAACAATCACCTTTACATGAATGAAGCAATCTACATTTTTTCTTCTGTTCTCTACCAGTCTGCCATGCTAGAACACCACATTTGACACTATTGGGCTTCTCAGACTGGCTATACCAAAACCTAAAAATCAGCTTGTCAAAAACTAAATATATTGGTTTAACTCCCTAAGCCTACTCTTCCTCCTGACGTCTTTCTTAATGAACATCAATAATAACATCTATTTTTCTAGTGCTTATCATGTGGCAGATATTATTCTACATGATTTATGTATGATAAAGCTGTTTAATATTCACAGCAGTTCCATGGAGAAGACACTATTGTTTCCCTAATTTTACAGATAAACTGAGACACACAAAGAGCTTGTTTATGATTATATAGATACTAAAAGTCAAGGCTAGGATTGGAATTTAGGCGGTCTGGCCCCAGAACGGAACACTTAACTACTCTGCTGCACCACCTTTCTTTGCCGGATTTCTTTCTTCCTTCCTACCTTCCTTCCTTCCTTTATTATTTATTTATTTATTTTTTTGACAGAGTCTTGCTCTGTTGCCCAGG
This sequence comes from Homo sapiens, assembly GCF_000001405.40. Lineage (NCBI taxonomy): Eukaryota > Metazoa > Chordata > Mammalia > Primates > Hominidae > Homo > Homo sapiens. The sequence continues at coordinate 197,117,286 of NC_000002.12, forward strand.
CTGGAGTGCAGTGGTGGGATCTCAACTCACTGCAACCTACGCCTCTCAGATTCAAGCAATTCTCCTGCCTCAGCCTCCTGTGTCGCTGGGATTACAGGCATGCGCCACCACACCCAGCTAATTTTTGTATTTTTAGTGGAGACTGGCTTTTACCATGTTGGTCAGGCTGGTCTCGAATTCCTCACCTCGTGATCTGCCTGCCTTGGCCTCCCAAAGTGCTCGGATTACAGGCGTGAGCCACCGCGCCTGGCCAATTTTTGTATCTTTGGAGACAGGGTTTCACCATATTGGTCAGACTGGTCTTGAACTCCTGACCTCAGGTGATCCACCCACCTCGGCCTCCCAAAGTGCTGGATTACAGGCATGAGCCACCACGCCTGGCCTCTTTGCCACATTTCAATCCTTACATTAGTCTTCAACTCCTCCAGTTCATGTCCCACCAAGTCTTGCTGATTTTCTTTCTGCAAAGCCTCTCCCTTCAGTCCCGTTCCCCTGTTCTCTTATTACCTCTTACCAATGCCAGTTTTATTGATTTCTAGTTATCCACTAATCAGCTCTTCTCTAGGTCCACTATACCTGGGTTTTCTTTTTTTCAAAAGTGAAAATAGCTTTTTTGGTTTTCTGGATATAAAAATAACATGCTCTGCCAGGTGCAGTGGCTCATGCCTGTAATCCCAGCACTTTGGGAGGCTAAGGCAGGCAGATCACTTGAGCTCGGGAGTTGGAGGCCAGCCTGGGCAACATGGCAAAACCCCGTCTCTACAAAAAAATACAAAAATTAGCAGGGCGTGGTGGCGTACACCTGTAATCCCAGCTACTCGGGAGGCTGAGGCCAGAGGATGGCTTGAGCCTGGGAGGCAGAGGTTGCAGTGAGCCAAGATCCCACCACTGCACTCCAACCTAGGCAGCAGAGCCAGATCCTGTCTCAATAAAAAAATAATAATAATAAAAATAATTTTTTAAAATTCTCATTGTATCACAATCAGAAGACTAAAGCAAATACACAAAAAAGAAACTAAAGTCTGGGCGTGGTGGCTCACACCTGTAATCCCAGCACTTTGGGAGGCTGAGGTGGGTGGATTGCTTGAGCTCAGGAGTTAAGAGACCAGCCTGGCCAACATGGCAAAAACCCCTCTCTACAAAAAAATACAAAAATTAGCTGGGCATGGTGGCAGGTGCCTGTAATCCCAGCTTCTCGGGAGGCTGAGGCAGGAGAATCACTTGAACTCAGGAGGCAGAAGTTGCAGTGAGCCAAGATCCTGCCATTGCACTCTAGCCTGAATGACAAGAGCAACATTCTATCTCAAAAACAAAAGAAAGAGAGAAAGAAAGAGAGAGAGAGAGAGAGAGAGAGAAAGAAAGAAAGAAAGAAAGAAAGAAAGAAAGAAAGAAAAACCTAAATCATAATTTTGTCTCTCTGCAGTGATAATTGTTGCTAGCATATTGGTACATACTCCAGAGAATTTTCTCTGTTTTTGCATCATCTACACACATAACCATAACATTTTAGCATTAAAAAAGAGATCATATTTCTTTATTGCATTTCAATGTTTTCATTGATAATACTAGGTGTTATTAGCCATTTTGATATTTGCCGTTCTTTAACACAAATGTACGTTTTTGTATTAGTTTGTATTTTTCTAATTACCAGTAATACTAGTTTTTCACAGGCTTAATGTATTTTTTATTCTCTCTTGTGATCTGACTTTTGCTCCATGTTTTCTAGTAATGATCACTTTTTCTTATTGATTTGTATGAGCTCTTTTTATATCAAGCATATTAACTATTTGCTTATCATGTATATTGAAGAAAATTTTCCCTAAGTTGCTCTTATTTTAATTTCATGTTAGAGGTTTTATTGTTGTTGTTTTGTTTTATAAATGTTTAAGACTTTTTTGTAGTCATATATATGATTATTTTCCTTTTTTTTTCCTGCCTTTGGTGTTCTGTGACCGGATTACTGTTTTTAATGCTCAGGTCTGATCATATGACCCCTAGAATGATTCGTGGCCTGCAGAGCCTGGAGAGGCCCAAGCTCCTTGGGCTCAAAATCATCCAGTAGATGAGTCCTCTTCCTTGGTCAAATCACATTTCAGCTCATTTCTGGCTCCTTTCTGTCATACAATTAAAAATAAAAAAGCTTTTTACAGACAGGATCTCACTAGGTTGCTCAGGCTGATCTTAAACTCCTGGGCTCAAGGAATCCTACACCTCAGGCTCCCAAGGAGCTGGGATTACAGGCCGAGCCACCACACTTGGCATGTTCATAAAATTATACTCTATTTGATACAATCAATTGCTATTCTGAAAATTTGTCACATCTTTCACCACTATTAGAAATTGTGAAAAAATATAAGATTTTAATAGTGAATAGAGAAGGTTATTAAAATAGACTGATGTGATATTCTTGAAATTACACCTTAGAAATCATTTTTCAAAACCAGAGACAGAATACACTGGGACCTTGCTTCAGGATCCCTGTGTGCTGGGAAGAAGGGAAGCCTGGGTTGAATAAAAGGTCTCCTAGCACAGCTAAGGATATTCTGCTACAATCTAAATGCATTCAAGTGATGTCGCCCAAATTATGAATGCTGCGTGATAAGCTCCCCTTGGTTAGCTGTCACATGGCAAGCTGACAAGTTACCTAGAGGTTTTCCTATCCAGAATTCCCACCCCTCTTTGCTCATGCTGTTCTATCTGGAACACTCTCTCTCAAATTATCTCTATCCCTCCTCAACTCAACTACATTAATCTTCCAAGTCTCCCCTCAAAATCGATCTCCATTTTTTATTCCCAAGCAAAAAACAAGTCAACAATTGCTTCTTAGAGTTTGCAATGCTTTATGACTCTTCTCATCATATCTTCTCTTGCTCATGATTACCTGAGTGCATGCTACCTCCCTACTACACTGTAAGTTCCTTAAAGGCAGAGACTGAATCTCATCTTAGAGCACTCTTTCAGTACCAAACAGAGGGCACTGGGTAGTCCTTAGTAAATTTGCTGAATAAAGGAATGATTGTGATGACCAGCTCAGTGCTACATCACTGAAGCCACTATCTGGGGTTTGCTTTAAGAAGGTATTGGCTGGGCACAGTGGCTCACACCTGTAATCCCAGCACTTTGGGAGGCTGAGGCAGGTGGATCACTTGAGGCCAAGAGTTTGAGACCAGCCTGGCCAACATGGTGAAACACCATCTCTACTAATAATACAAAAAATTAGCTGGGCATGGTGGTGCATGTCTGTAATCCCAGCTACTGGGGAGGCTGAGGCAGGAGAATCGCTTGAACCTGGGAGGCAGAGGTTGCAGTAAGCTGAGATCACGCCATTGCATTCCAGCCTGGGTGACAAGAGCAAAACTCCATCTCAAAAAAAAAAAGAAAGAAAAGAAAGAAGGTATCTGAGAAGCTCTAAACCCACACTGGAGTTGGAAACAGGCCTACAATCATTATTAGGCCTTCCTTTGAATTCTTAGCAACACTGCCCTATCAGCTCAACATTCACCTCAGTATTAGCTTCTGGGCAAGTCAATATCCTAGAGATCCAGTATTTGTCCTGACACATTCACTAAGCTAACAAGAACACACGGCTGGAGCCTTGGTACCTTTCAGCTGATACCACCACTCCTGAAGAAAAATAACACAACTTTTTTTTTTTTGTTTTTGAGACGGAGTCTTGCTCTGTTGCCCAGGTTAGAGTGCAGTTGCACAATCTCAGCTCACTGCAACCTCTGTCTCCCGGGTTTAAGCAATTCTCTGCCTCAGCCTCCCGAGTAGCTGAGATTGCAGGCACCCGCCACCACGCCTGGCTAATTTTTGCATTTTTAGTAGAGATGGTGTTTCACCATCTTCGTCAGGCTGGTCTTGAACTCCTAACCTCATGATCTACCTGCCTCAGCCTCCAGACAACTTTTCTTATAGCCTCCAAATCCAGGACAAGGCTGTGAGGTTCCAACTCACTAAAACATGGCATAATTTGCAGCAGTTGATTTTGCTCAAACAGAAGCTCAATGCAAAGGCATTCAACACAGAGACTAAGAGTGTCATACCTGAATGTTAACATCTGCCCCGTTGTTTACTAACAATTCAAGACACAAAGCACCATGAGTGGAGGCAGCAGCAAAATGCAAAGGGGTGAACCCATTATTGTTTGGCTGGTTCACGTTAGCACCGTAGTCAATCAACTCGTTAACCACAGCATCCTGTCCATTGTAGCAGGCGATGTGAAGCGCTGTATTTCCATAGACATTGATTTCATCAATCTGCAAAAGAGTCCAACACAGGGTGATTAAAGTCATTAGAGCCAGTTTACTCCATTTTCCACAAAAAGCATAACGGCTGTGGCTAGAGAAAGGAAATAGCCATCCGCCAATATAATTGTTCAGAGCTTACTCTTGCCCCAGTGTGGTCATCTTGGGAATGCTTGTCACCCCATGGTAAAGATCAGCAAAAAGTCAATGTGGCAAAAAATGAACTGGAGACAGAGAAGTTTCATCCTGGGGAGAGGTATTTTTCAGCTAACAAAGGAATAAAAGGTGAAGGGCAAAGCTGCTTTCAAAACACCAAAAGAGAAGTAAATCAGAGGAGAATGAAAAGAGTCCCACACTCTAGGATTGGGGCACAGAAAACCTCAAGAAATGGTGGGGGATGGCAGAGGAAGTGGCTGCGGAGATGGCAGGGGAGGTGGCTGTGGAGTCTAAACATGGAAGGCGGGTCAGAATCCACTCTCTGTTTTGCTCTGGAGTCCGACACCTCACCAGGTTGCATTTTAGTAGCAGAGCAGTGGTGCCGTCAGGAGGTGTGTTTCGTCCACGGCTCCCTATTGCTTTCTGAGACCTGCCCTGGATGCCTGGTTTCCTCATTATGGTTTTCCATAATGATGCAACTTGGTTTTCCTTTCTTGGGGGACAGGATGTTCCAGCCTCACCACTGCTCCTGTTCTACCAGCAGAAAGAGAAGGCAGCAGTCTGCCTTTTCCAGCTCAAGAGTAGACATTGCTGCTGTTTGTCTCTGCCATTTATTCATTCATTTCTGCTGTAAGTCATGACTTAGAAGGCTACATTTGGAAGGTGGGATGCAGAACCTTGGCCAGTCTTTAAGAACAACTGGTTAATATATATTACATAGAATCTTTATGTCTATATATTTATCTATGTTGATATAGAAAGTTATTCAGTTTCCAGTTTTCCTCTGCTTAGTGTATGCCCCCACTGCCCTTCATCAGTTGCCCACAAAAACTCAAAAAGACAGGATGCTAGAAAACAATTCCCCTGCCCTTGAATTAAAGTGCAAACAGGATTTAACTTTAGAATAACAGAAATCTTACAAATACACTGGCCATGCATTGATGCATTCATCATAGCTCACCTCCACCCCCAGGTTCAGGAGATGCTTGACAACATTAATCTGTCCATTGGAGGCTGCAGCATGCAGAGGGGTATAACCCTTCTTATCCTTACAGGTCACTTCTGCGCCATGGTTAATGAGCAATGCTACAACATCCAAGTGGCCTTTACAAACAAAGCAGCAGAAAACATCGTTAACCTTTATAGGACAATTTGCTGATTCATTTCACCTAAATTATCAACTATTAGCTTTCATCGCCACCAGTATTTTGCTGAGTTATTTGTAAAAAGCTGGTTCATGGCAACTATTCAACAAATATTTATTGAGTACCTCCTATAGTCAGGCATAATGTAAAAGCTGTGGGGAGAAAAAAGATGATTCATATGTGAGCCTTCTCTTCAAGGAGATCTAGGTGATGCTTGTTACCACACTAATGAATAATGGTGAGGTTTTGCCAAGATATTAGTAGAGAGCCTTTAAAAATGTTGTATTAAAATGAAAGCAATGCTTTTGAAAACAATTGCCATTCCTCACTGAAAAGTTTAACAATGACAATTCAGTTAGGAAAAACTGATAAAAGAAAAAAAAACAATTAATGAGAATGACCCCAGATTATTGTTTAATCATATAAAATTACTGCTGCTCAACTGTATTTGGACCCACAAAAATGGCAATTACATATGCCTCAACTTAAAAGTATCCTCATGAATTAGAGGCCAAACAGAAAACCCTTCTAGTTTTAGCTCCTGTTAGCATTTTTTTCTACAATATTTTACTCTGTTCCATAATTCACTATATATAGAATAAGCCTGTACAACATGGTGAAACCCCATCTCTACTAAAAATACAAAACTTAGTTGGGCATGGTGGCACATGCCTGTAGTCCCAGCTGCTCAGGAGGCTGAGGCATGAGAATCACTTGAACCTGGGAGGCAGAGGCTGCAGTGAGCCGACATCACACCACTGCACTCCTGCCTGGGCAACAGAGCGAGACCTTGTCTCAAAAAATAAATAAATAAATAAACAAAGAAACAAGCATATTTGACCTTTATTTCGGGACTGAAGATTGTTCAATGCTTCAGGATCATTGCTCTAAATATGGCTGAAAATTGAAGGGTAGAAGACAAGTACTGACTCCAGGACTTTGTGTGTGTGTTGGGGTGGGGGGAAAGTATTGGCTTGTTTTATTAAAATTTGACTCTTTTCTCTCCAAGACTTTATATAGAAAAAATTTTTTTCGATTATTAGTGCTGCTATCTTAAGCTATTTGCCCTGGTTTTGCCTATTATTCCTATTTGTATCCTGACAGCACACAAAACAATGATTTGATTTCTTTAGAGTCATTTATCCAAATGCTTTAACTGTATATACATCAGCAGAGAGCAATCGTGAAACTTTGCATTCTTTGAGTCCTATCCACACTAGCTTAGTGTGTGTTCGGCCTACACAGCTGTCTCCCACAGTCACTGGCTCCAGTCCTGCAGGTGCCACGCAGTCATTTCATATGCTTCAGCCAACTCAAAAATCCATGTCAACTTTTTTTTTTAAATGCTAATGCTTGTAAAAGTTTAAGATTCTGTTTTTTTAAGCCCAAGGATTCACTCAGACCCACCTTTAGCCACATAATTTATTTCATCCCTGCCCCAACCTACTCTTTCTCCCTACAATTAATGTTAATTTTTAAAGTGATGATAAAAGGCACATATGCTTGTTAAAAAGGATTCAGAAAGGCAAAAAGGTATTAAAAGAAAACCAAAATCATCCACAATCATAAATCCCCAAAGACAATCAATTAAAATTTTAGCATATAATATTTTCCAAGTTTGTTATTGTACAGATTTTTCAATGAAAATGAGAATTATATTATTTATACTGTTTTATAATATGCTTTCATTTAACATATCACAGACTCTGTGTTAATAAACACTCATGGACTCATCACTGTAGTTACTGCAAAGTGTCCCCTTGTGTGGATCTTCCAGAATTTACCAAAACAATCTCCTGTGGATGGGCATTCAGGTTGTTTACAACTTGGTGCTGATAGAATCCTGTCTATTTTTCTAATGGCAGGATGTTCTCCAATTAGAAACACAAAGGGAATATCTTAGTTCTTCATTTCCCACAAGTCTACACTTAGAATAAACTCTGTGAGATCTCTCATTTGTCAGTGGGATTTGCCAACAAAAGTGAAAAGGAAAAACGTAGAAATGTGAACTCTCCCAAGCGGGTAGAAATGAGGGCTGCAGGCTTCAGTTTTGTCGTCAGTGGACTATCAGGATAATCACCAGCGCCTCTGGTGCCCTCCATCTATAAAATAGCCAGAGGTTTGTCTTTTCTTCCTTTCTTTTTGTTTCTTTCAAAAATATTTATAAATTTAAAAAGACGAATGGAATTTGTGTCCTTGCTTTCCGAGCCAGTGCTCTTTCTTTTTAAAACACCTTATTTTACTGCCATGACAAGTTAAAATAAGCACAATCTGTGCAGCTTTCCAATCCAGACTGAAGCACATTCAAAGAGGCCCAAGCCATGATTCATTCCTCCTCTTCTTTGTAGGATAAATAAATATCTGACAAAGCAACTGCCCGACTGGAGTGCACTATGCATGCCAGTAAAACCAACCAAATCTTCATTCAATTGCAACCCAAGCTTGAAAAGAAGTCAGACTGGAGAAAACCTACATGGTCAATGAGAGACCCATGGCTTATTTAGTTAAGGTTATCTGTACTTTGCTTTCCATGCATGGAATCCTTACCCATGTATGCTGCCCAGTGCAGAGCACGCCGGTCCTTCTTGTCAAATGCATTGATATTTGCCCCTTTGGCCAAGAGTAAATTGACCATCTGAAAGATAACCAACAATGAAATCAAGCATACATTCTGTAATGGTGAGGCCTCCTCACTGCCTGCAGATGATCTGAGCCAAATTAACATGAAATCTAAAGGCAGGTCAGAGATCTGGAGTTCTGACAAAGTAGAAATATGATGTCAGAGCAGGACATGTGTCATGTGTGTCAGAGGAAAAGACTGAAGTGACAGCCTACTTTTTCAATTCATTGTGGCTCTAAAGTTGAGAATGATATAGATGCTGAAGGTTTGGTGTACAAATATTTTCATCACATTCTTTAAAATCTCAGCAAGAAGATCAGTTTCCACTTGTGGCTGAAAGTCCTGGAGGGAGCGTTCCAATTCTGAATGATAAAAATACCCACCTCCACGTGGCCGTTCAGAGCCGCATGGTGCAAGGCTGTGCGCCCCCCTCGGTCGGAGACATTGACACTGCTCAGCAGGGGAATGATCACTTCTGCACATTTGACAGCCTTGTTGGCTGCTGCCACATGAAGAGGGGTCTGCCAGTTCTTGTCCCTTGCATTGACATCAGCTGAGTGCTTAATCAAAACCTGTACTGCTTCCTACAACAAAAGCAGAGTTTGCAGAGGTCACTGACAGACGTTCAATCAATACTTACTGGTGTAAGATGCTTCACCAAACCCTGGAACTATGGAGAGAAAGGCTCCCCAACCCTACAGGCTGGCTCCAGACAAGCCAGGTAATATTTGGTAAAGATCAAAAGAGTGGCAAAGATAAAGACAGAATCACTTTACCTTTCTTTGTCAAGCCAAGAGCCCCGGCACATCTCTAAAATCAAATAAACCTTCTAAGTATATGATGATGTCCTTACAATGTAGAAGGCACTCTTAGGCCAAATGAGAACACCCATGTGCAAGTGTGCATACCAGGGTAAAATAACCATAGACAAAAAGACCTCAGACATTCTTGGATCAGTTTATAAATCTTTGGTTCTCTCTGCCAACATCTTAACCCTCAGCATCGTGTGATCAATAAGTGGTCAAGACGGGAAGTAACATCTCTGTTACCATCTCAACTTAAAGCTATGAGTTGTTTCCATCTTTTCCATGTTATAATGGGTCACTTCTTTTGCCATTGTTGAGTTCCTTCACCTTCATTGGGCCTCCCACATTTTTTCTTCTATTGGCCCAGTCAGCTCCCTAACCTCTTGATCTATGACTTTCAACCCTGGCTATGCAATGGAGTCATCCATGCAGCTCTTAAAAGCACAGAAGCCAAGCATGGGCAACATAACAAAACCCCATCTCTAACGAAGAAAAAAAAAATCGACAAACATATATACAGGTGCAAAAGTAATTGCATTGCTTTTAATGGCAAAAACCGCAATTACTTTTGCACCAACCGGGAGTGGTGTTGTGGACCTCTCTAAATCCTAGCTACTCAGGCGGCTGAAGTGGGAGCATCACTTGAGCTCAGGAGTTTGACGTGATCACAATGAGCTGTGATCATGACACTGCACTCCGGCCTGGGCAACAGAGCAAGACCCTGTCTCAAAAAAAAAAATACAGTAGTTTAAAATGATTATGGAATTAAATTCACAGACATATGGAATATTAGAAATGGAGAAAGCCCTAAGGTTCATCTGAGCTGACCCCTTCATTTCATAGGCAGCTTTATTTTATAGGCAAGATGACAGAAGTCCAGGGCAATGACCTGTCAGCCTGGCTGACTTATGGGCTCTTGCATTTTCTAACAGGCCATTTTCTACTAGGCTTACTCAGTGAGTAGTCTCAGTCAAGCATCCTGACATAAATAGATTCAACAGTTAATTCTCCTTAGTTATTTACATTTTTAAATCCTAAAGTTTTAGTCTGCTACACTGGCTTAATACATATAATAGAAATTTAATATAATATTTTGGCAAAAACAAAGCTTTGATTAAAAACAGATAACTACCTTTTTAAAAACTGCATTTCTCTTTTAAAAGTTTTAAGCTTGGAAGCTCTTTAACTTGGTTTTACAAGGGAGTAATTTGATGGCTATTTAGGGAATTAATTTTTTTTTAATTAAAGAAGTCTGCCTTCTCCTGTATCACATATTGGCTAAAAATTAATACCCAGGAGCTTGCTCTGGCAGAAATATACAAGGTAAAAAAGAAACTAATGTGGGGGAAGGGAAGCTGAACACTTCCTGAATCAAGAAAAGATTATTTTTCTTCTGTTAAATTTTTTTTAATCAACTTTTATTTTAAGTTCCAGGGTACATGTGCAGAATGTACAGGTTATATAGGTAAATGCATGTATGGTGGTTTGCTGCACAGATCAACCCATTGCCTAGGTATTAAGTCCAGCATCTGTTAGCTATTCTTCCTGGTGCTCTCCCTCCCTTCTCCCCACTGACAGGCCCCAGTGTGTGTCGTTCCTTCTCACATGTCCCTCTGTTCTCATCGTTCAGCTCCCACTTGTAAGTGAGGACGTGCGGTGTTTGGTTTTCTGTTTCTGAGTTAGTTTGCTAAGGACAACAGCTTCCAGCTCCATTCGTGTTCCTGGAAAGGACATGATATTGTTCCTTTTTATGGCTGCATAGTATTCCATGGTGTATAGGTACCACATTTTCTTTATCCAGTCTATCATTGATGGACATGTGGGTTGATTCTGTCTTTGCTATTGTGAATAGTGCTGCAATGAACATAAACATGCATGTATCTTTCTAATAGAATGATTTATAATTGGATTGCTGGGTCAAATGGTATTTCTGCTTCTAGATCTTTAAGAAGTCACCACACTGTCTTCCACAATGGTTGAACTAATTTATTCCCACCAACAGTGCAAAAGCTTTCCTTTTTCTCTGCAACCTCACCAGCATCTCTTGTTTCTTGACATTCTAATAACTGCCATTCTGACTGGTGTGAGATGGTATCTCATTGTGGTTTTGATTTGCATTTCTCTACTGATCAGTGATATCGAGCTTTTTTTCATGTTTGTTGGCTGCATGAATGTCTTCTTTTGAGAACTGCCTGTTCATGTACTTTGCCCACTTTTTAAAGGGGTTTTTTATTTCTTGATAAATTTGTGTAAGTTCCTTGTAGACTCTGGATATTAGACCTTTGTCTGATGGATAGACTGTAAAAATATTCTCCCATTCTGTAGGTTGCCTGTTCACTCTGATGATAGTTTCTTTTGCTGTCCAGAAGCTCTTTAGTTTAATTAGATCTCATTTGTCAATTTTTGCTTTTGCTGCAATTGCTTTTGGTGTTTTCATCATGAAATCTTTGCCCATGCCTGTGTCCTGAATGGCACTGCCTAGATTTTATTCTACAGTTTTTATAGTTTTGAGTTTTACATTTAAGTCTTTAATCCATCAAGAAAAGTTTCTTTAACAGTGTTTTTCAAACTGTCTGTGGTAAAGAACCAGTTTTCTAAAAATAGTTATTATTTCAAATCCATCACTTTTGAGCCAATACTTTTGTAAAATACAATAAAAAGTAATCAGTAGAATAATAAAATGAAATAAAAATGAGATAAAAACTATAAATGTAATTATTTTATTATTAAAGTTAATGGGCATGAAATTATCAAATTGCCCTAAAAGTTTCTGACCACCTACTCTTTTCACAACAGATAAGATAAAAGCTCACAGTCCAGCCCCAGTGCTCAGGCATGCTGTGAATCATGCTCCTTCAAAGCCTTTGTTTGTTTCTTTTTCTTTTTTTTTTTTTTGAGATAGAGTCTTGCTCTTTCGCCCAGCCTGGAGTGCAGTGGTACCAACCCGGCTCACTGCAACCTGTGCCTCAGTTCAAGCGATTCTCCTGCCTCAGCCTCCTGAGTAGCTGGGATTATAGGCATGCGCCACCACGTCCAGCTAATTTTTTTGTATTTTTAGTAGAGACAAGGTTTCACCATGTTGGCCAGGCTGATCTTGAACTCCTGACCTCAGTGATCCGCCTGCCTCAGCCTCCCAAAGTGCTGGGGTTACAGGCATGAGCCACCGCGCCTGGACCTTTGTTTCTTTCTTAATGAACGAACACCTGTGAGGATTCTGGTATTTCCCCCAAATGGAGGCATCAGCCCAGTTAACGTTCTGTTTTAGGATTGTAGGCCTTGTTGGATGACACCCTGTAGCAGGCTGTCCTATATAAGATGCAGAAATAATAGAAAGGAGGAGCTGTCATGGGATGTCATATGGGAGGTAACTGGACATGCCATTTGCGAGTCAGTCAATTTCTACTTTTTACAACTCTTTTTATTTAACAAAAGGCCACTTCAACCTTGAAATAAGAAGTAGAAACATACACTGTGGCACATGGAAAAGATGAGAATAGGAGGCATGTGTCTTAGAAACTATCATCCTTAATATTTGTTTCTTTACTCTCAAATGTGCATTGCATTTCAGTGGTCATAAATTACTCATGGAAAAGTAACTGTTTATGACTACACATAGTCCCTGCAGCCATAAGCAATGTCAAGTTTTATAAATTACAAGTTGCTTTAGATAGGGGTCAAAATGTTATACAACTGTCTGTACTCTCCACAAAGCCTGGCAGTTGCTTTGCACATAGTGTATATTCAATAAATTTGGGTAGAATAAATACATTGCTGTAATCATCAGCAAAGTCTGTAAGTAATAATCTGTAAGTGTTAATTTTACATTACTCTGGGCTGATGTCCCTGAGGCTGCTCTTAAGTCCTGCAGGCTTATGCTATATTACTGTAATCATAGCAATTTCATATTTTGTAAGAATTGTATAAATTGATGTCCAACCAATTTGCTCAATTAATGGGATTGTTCCTCTAAAAGTACCAAAGTACCAAGCACCAAAAAAACTCACCCATTATTTTAATTATTATTACAGCACAATTATTCTAAGAACTAGGAGTGCAAAGGCAGTTCACTGGAGACTTTGGGATATGAAAGAATTCTAAGCGAACTATTTAAGAAGTGCTGACTTTAACCATTAGGAACGGCAGACACTAAAGTATGACCAGTGTTTAATCTCAGTTCTCGAAGTGTGGCATGTAGACGACATGTATCAGAATCTTCTTTTGAAAAGGCAAATTTCTGGGCCTAACCACAGGCTTCATTCAGAATCACTAGGGGTGAGGTTTTAGAACAGGAAGTTTCAACAAACACCCCAGAGAGTTTAAATGCACTAAAGCTGGGTACCGCTTGTCTACATTCTAATAGATTATAAAATGCTTACTTTCTTCCTATTCCAGATATGACCTATATTCTACACATGAACAACTTTTTATAATCACGAAGATAATTTAAAGAAAACAATAACATTCTACTCTTCCATATAATGTTTCCAATTCTCCTGTCTACTAGCATTAAGCCCACAATAATGATCATGTTTTTTAGAGGAAAGGGTAGAACATAAGTTTTTAAAATTTCAACTGTAAAATAAAATGCTTATCCTGCTCAGCTCTGGGAAAGATCTGTATACCAGTTGGGTCTTCTGTCTGCACAGAAGCCAAAAATAGATGTGCTTTATTGGCTAGAACAGGCTCCATAAGGGTGCTAATGGGAATTGAAGAAAGCAGCACAGAATGGTGGTTAAGCAGGCAGCTTCTCTAGTCACACTTTCCTCCACTTTCTGGCTGTGACATCAACTTCGTTGGCTCCCTACTAACTTTCTGAGATTACATTTCCTAAACTAGTATTGCCAATAGCATCCGTCTCGAAGGGTGGATCAGAGGTTAAAAGAGAATAATATACAGAAAGTCCTTAGCATACTGCCTAGCAGATAGTAAGTACTTTTTTTTTTTTTTTTTGAGACGGAGTCTCGCTCTGTCGCCCAGGCTGGAGTGCAGTGGCGCGATCTCGGCTCACTGCAAGCTCCGCCTCCCGGGTTCACGCCATTCTCCTGCCTCAGCCTCCCGAGTAGCTGGGACTACAGGCGCCCGCTACCACGCCCGGCTAATTTTTTGTATTTTTAGTAGAGACGGGGTTTCACCATGTTAGCCAGGATGGTCTCGATCTCCTGACCTCGTGATCCGCCCGCCTCGGCCTCCCAAAGTGCTGGGATTACAGGCGTGAGCCACCGCGCCCGGCGATAGTAAGTACTTAATAAACACTCGTAACTACAACACCTACATGGACACAGTGTCCTCACTCCTACACTCTAAAGATAAGATACAACCATTTTTAACTTTTCTAACCAAAAGACAGTCTCTAGAATGGAGAAGTGAAAAGTTCAGCAATTCTCCTCTGATGCTCCTCTCAACTGGTTATAGCAGAAAGGGCACCTGGGACGGGCCAGCCACGTCTGCACATAGGCCACAGCAGCCTGCATGCCTGGTTATCTCCCCAAATACTGTATACTAAAACTAAAAGCCACACTTTGTACACACTTTAGGCCTCCTGTAGCACACTTAACAATGCCTTCTACCAAGTGGGCTTCCATAAACGTGCGTTAGACTTTCTGGGTTTGTGTACATTTCGTTCCTTTCCCCTACAGTTGCTCTTTTCCAAGAAAGAAAAGCAAAAAAAGCAAGAACAAGCTGAACACAGGAAATAATATGAAATAGGCTTCACATGAACACTTCAGAATATTCCCACTGGCAGCCCCAATTCTTGCTTATCTATGTTAGCTGGCACTATAAAAGATGTTTCTCTAATATTTTAGTAAGAGCCTCTCTTCATTTCTTCACAGCCTAGGGAGTACACAGAAAAAAAAAGGAGAATGAGTTCAGAGAAGCCCTTAGGGAGCCAAAAAGGAGACAGTGCTGTTGGGCTCCAAGCTGTTTCCAACCTGGGAATCCCAGATGTGCCAGATGTGGGGAGCAGGTTGGGGGTAGGAAAGGGTCGTGGAATTGTGTCTAGAAGGGAAAACACAAGACAGCCTGGTCAGCATCACATAAGTCTTCAAGACTTATCTCTAGAGCTCAGTTATATTTTAGGAGATTTTCAAGAGGTGTGATTATGTCTTGATCTACTTTCTTGTCTATGGAGGACATAATGTCAGGCATGGATTCATATTTAATCAATATTATGATCTGACACCCTTATTGCTTAACATACTCAGGAAATGAACTTAGCAATGCACCTTATTTTTCCAGACACAGAAATCTGAACATAAATCTTGCCTGGATGAAAACAAGGCTCCAAAATTTTGACTTAGACTGATATCTGTGTTATATGCAATTGCAAAACCAGCCTTGATTTTGCAGGTTTCAGTGGCTTAGTTGGCTTTTAGTGTACACATTCCCATAAACATGCTTCAACTCTGTTCACCCTGCATGCATAAAAGATTATTACCATCAACATTCTGATATGGTGTATACCAGTTCTATCTTACCAGTTGTACACAGAAAATTATTATAGCTTAAATTGAAAACCCAGTCTTTAATGAATAACTCAAAAAAAAAACAATTCTTTTCTAACTAGGCAAGATGCTAGAAATACAACGGCAAGCAATAGGCATGGCATACATTTCAAGGAGCTTACTGTCTAGAAGATCTTTTTAATTCAAATAGAACAACAATTTCTATGGTAGTTTTGTATTGTGCCAAGTTGGCTGAGTTGAACTAAATTTCCCAGAATTCCTTTCCCTGTAGTACTCCCTTTAGGGTTGGCCACAAGAGATATCTGATGAGTTTTGGAAGGCATAAGTGAAACTACAGCCTAACTGGTATGCTGTTGGGCACCAGGTAGTGTTGCAGCTTCACATGATGACACTAATCGGCTGGATCACCACGTTGGCAAGGGGCAGTGCCTGGCTTGATGCTTCTTCAGATCCTGCTGCATCTCCTTCAGTTTCTCCAATTCTTGGGCCAGGTGCATGCACAACTCCTTCTGCAAGTCACCCATGTCCATGATGTTGGAGGCAGTGTTAGACAGACCTCAGTTCCAGTTTGTCCTTGATCTCCCCCATTTTACATCCAGCTTTTCCACTGTAGACTCTGCTGACCTACAGTGACTTCAGGGCCTCACAGAATCCAAGGTGATAGCCTCACACAGACCACAGCAGCCCTACACACTTGTGTAAGATCTAATTCCTATAATAAATATCTTGCTCTGTATCTCTCATGGTGGTTCTGCTTCCCTGGTTGAACCTCAAACCCTGAGAGATCAATTATCTACATTTTATAAGCAAATAGGCTTTGAGGACAGACAGTATAGAGTTTATAAACTTTTCAATGAAGAAATGGTTTCAAACACATGAACATGTAATATCAGTGCTTACCAATCTAAAGAACAGACCTGTGCCAGCTCTCAGCTGAAACCATATATCCATCTTGACAAGTGCTAACAGTTAAATTCCAAAATACCAGTCCAAACCTTCTCTTTTCTTCCCCTCAAATCTACTTTCTTTTCCCCAACTATTAGTTAGGAGAGGCATAAAATAATGGCAATAAGACTAAATTCCAAAGAAGAAGGAAATCTGAATTTAGGACTTCCACAGGACAGCAATGTGCTTGGAGTTAAGATGTCTTCTCCACCGTCAGCTCTCACAATGGTTACAGAGACTCCAATTTTCTTTTCCTTTCTTTTCTTTTCTTTTTCTTTCTTTTTTTTTTTTTTTTTTTTTTTGAGATGGAGTTTCACTCTTTTTGCCTAGGCTGGAGTGCAATGGCGTGATCTTGGCTCACCGCAACCTCTGCCTCCCAGGTTCAAGTGATTCTCCTGTCTCAGCCTCCCGAGTAGCTGGGGTTACAGGCATGCGCCACCATGCCCAGCTAATTTTGTATTTTTAGCAGAGACGGGGTTTCTCCATGTTGGTCAGGCTGGTCTCGAACTCCTGACCTCATGATCCACCCACCTTGTCCTCCCAAAGTGCTGGGATTACAGGCATGAGCCACTGCGCCCAGCCGAGACTCCAATTTTCATAAGAAACTGTCCAACTTGCTGTGACAGATACTAATATGAAGACATCATGAGCTCATATGTGACCCAATTATTTACAGTTCAGGGTTTGTTTGCATTTAATTCCTATCTGGCTAGTGATTCTTTTTTCCTCCCTGCAAACCTACAGAGGGAGCTGGTTACTTGGAGAAGCAACAAAAGCCTTTCTCAGATTGGAAGGTCAGTCCATCATTAGGCTGACTGGATTCAAACACACTAAAGATACTTACAGAATGCAGACTGGTTGTTGATGGAAAATGGATGTTTTGAGGATTGAAGTCTTTGAAGCTAGTTGAGCTAACAAAGATAGAGATCACTTGGGAAAGGTCACAGAGTAATGAAATCATCTTTTTTGTGTCTTTCTTTTCCACTAGACTACACACTTCCTAAGGGCAGAGACCATCGGTCTTAGTTTTTTTTTGTAGCTCCATGAGCTACAAAGAAAAGGTGCCTGGCATATGGGAGGTACATATTGAATTATTTTCCCAACTAAAAAGACCTGGTTCTTGTTGAAGAGGAAACAAATCCATACATATTTTTAAAGAGACACTTAAATTTACTAAAGACCAAGTGGTCTTAAAAGGCCAGGAAATACTCCTCTATGAAGGGGTTGGTCTCATGAAGCTGGTAATACCCACTCAGTCAGCTCACTGCCCTCGTTTTCCCAGACAAAATGGAAATAAAATGTGGGACCATGAGAAGATTCTGAATTCTCCAGGGTCTGAGCCAGGCAATTTAGGATTATTGACCTCTCTCATTCCATGCGGGATATTTGGAAGGAGAACACAACCAACCCCTTTTAAAACCTACTAAAATCACAAAGCGCAGCAAGAAAAACCATGACTACTAAGCTGTCACCTAGCAAGTATATATTAAAATTTCCAGATAGTTGCCAAAGAGGAAAAGCTGACACCAATAACGGCCAAAGACACCTGCAACTTCTGTATATTAATTCTCAGCAAGACCTTTTGCTCCTAGGTGTACCTGGAGAACATCACCTTCTCCAGTAGCAGAGGAGAAGCTGCATTTGGTAAATTCAGCTATGGAGGTCAGTCATCCAGCACCAAGTGCATGCAAGGTTTGAACCTCTTGTATCCCTGGATAATGGGCATCTCCTCTGACCAGGCTTCAAGGCTGACATTCACCAGGGTTCCCTGCCACCCCTGCCTTCACATTGATCTTCTCATCCTTTATACTTCCCCTGAGCTACCTGATGCATTTACCATGGTTTGATGATCATCCTCCCTGTCCCTGAGTGCTAGACTTGTATAAATAATTATAGATAATCTATCAGTCATCTTCACCCGAATTTCCAGCATTCAACAACAAATTATTTCTTGGATGCCTAGACTGTACCAGGCTTGGGATACATCCAGGAACAAAGTACAGATCCCTGTCCTCATGGAGCTCCCACTCCAACGACATGTTTGCTGAACTCAGCGTTAGCAAACAGGACCCACCAGCCTCCCGGCCCCTGCTCCCCTGCTCTGTGCCTCTTCTGTTAACAGCATCGCCATTTACCTACCAGCTTCTTTCCCACCTCACCCCTACTAGGTACTAAATCCTGCCAGGTTTACCTCTAATGAGCTCTCAAATCATGGACTCAGCTTTATGCCCTCATCCCAGCTGCTTCAGGCCTCTTTTGGTCTCTTACTGGCGCTCCTCCCTGAGACCTCTCCCCCTCAGCCCATTCACATGCTGCCACCACAAAGGTTCTCTGAAACACAGATCTGAGCATACCACTCCCCTGCTGTGACCATTCTCCATTGCTCAGAGGATTCCAAGCCCTCTGCCATCTGGCCCAACCTCCACTATCAGATTTACCTTCTACTATAGCCTGAGTTCCAGTTATACCTCACTGAGGCCCCCATTCACTCACTTCCTTGCCTCAGTCCTCCCTCCTTCTCCTGGCCTGCTAAGTCCTTACTCAACCTTTAAGGACCAGATCAACTGACATCTCTTCTTGGAAGATTTCCTCTATTCAAGCAGGCAGTTAGTTGCTTTCTCCCGCAAGTCAATGATGATATTGTAATGATATGCTTTCTGCTTTGCCTCCTCCCCAGGCTGAGAACTCATTGAAATTCAGGATCATGCTGTCCATGTTGAACTACCCCAGATACTCCCCAGCCCCACTCAGCACTATGTCTGGCACACAGGAGATACTCAAATAAAAGCTGTTCATTTTGGGTAACCCTCTTACATTAGAGGTAAAAGCCTTCTGCTTACCAGTAAGGATTCTTAATTCGCTAGCAAGACTTTTTCTTTTTCTAGGCACAGTAGGTATTAGATTAAATATGGTAATCACTCACTTCACTTCTGGAAGCAACAGCCCGGTGCAGTGGAGTCAGCCACATGTTGTCCTTGGCATTTACACGAGCTCCTGGAATCAAACAGCACAAGTTAGAGGCATAATGGGGTCAAGGGAAGCCCTGCCGACGTTAAATCAAATGCTGTATCTTGCTCCCATTTGCCTGACATAACCACCACCTCTTCTTTTCTTTGTATTAGTCATGTGCTGACAAGATTTGATCAAGGCTGAGGGGACCAGAAGAAATCTGCTTTACCTAAAAATCTGGGACTAGCCAGATATTTTGGTAAAAAGAAGTCAGTTTCCATGAGGCTTTTGGATAGATAGGACATCAGGCCTATAAATTGCTCACTACTTTCTCAAACTATGGGGTAGGCAGATAGGCTCAAGCATGAGCCAAAACCAGCTCACACTCAGAAGAGTGCCCATGCTCAGCTCTATGAAGCCATGCCATCATCATGGAACAGAAGCTCCCTGCAAATGAATTCACAGGAAGCAGAGTTCACCCGCCTTCCATGACACCCTCGCCATTCTCCATGATCACCAGCCCACCAAGTCCATGTCTGAACAGCTAAGACATCTGATATAAGCTTCCTTTTAGGGGGTTCAGGGTTTTGATTAGTCTTCTGGTCAGAGATGGGATGTTTTATAAAAGGGCTACGAAAGGAGAGGAGGAGAAAATATGTGTATCTTTGTAGAAGCAGCAAGAGAAGTCAATTCTAGCCTTAGGATGATGAGGAAGGGAGCTCATGAGGACAGAGAGTGGAGAAACAAATCAAAGAAACTAGAAAGTAAGGCAGAGAAAAGGAAACACAGAGGTGGCGCCTCAGGACAAGGGCTGAGAAAGTGAGTCAAGGGGAAGCAGGAGCTGACTAATCTCCAAGAGGCTAAGGCCAGCTGATAGCTGGAAAATAGAAACTTTTTTAAAAGGCAGTGGACTTCCATGCGTAAACGTGAACTAGAGGTTTAGTTTAAGGCACTGGCTAAAAGTAAATAACAAATCATAGAGCTTACACTATTCTTTTCTTTAACTGAAGAAGAACAAATGCCATCAACAGCATTAATCACAGAAAACAAGAACATAATCCCTAAAACAAAGACAGCTGGAATGCCTCCCATCCAACCTCCACTTTGATTTCATTGGTTTCAGATGGAGTCAGGTACAAGGGTTATCATACTATGCTGTCAAAGTTGAGAGCCACTGATGAATTGTTGCTTAATTTATCCAGGTTAAAATTATTTAAATCCTAATTCCACTAACACCAGCTTGCCTGAAGGAGTTCAAGCTCCTTACGTCAGTAAGGACCACAGTAAAATCAGTTTGGGTGTGCAAAAATCAATAGGCATCTCTGGCCTCAGTAACAGGAAGCTGTGGGCTAAATGCTGTGGCATGAAATGAATGCGGTTTTGGAAGGACAGTGGGATTCATGGTCAGAAGATGTAGATTTGAGTTCTGATTTCAGCACCTGCTGGCCCAATGACCAAGAGCCACTAATCTGCACAGCGAGGCTAACAACAACAGTAATAATACTTCTCTACCCATTTCACCAGGTGCTAAGGAGAATTAAGTGAATAGGAAAGTGCTTTGTAAATTGCAAGGCACTAGAAAAACATTAGCAGTTCTTATTTCCAAATCACCTCCAATGTCTCATTCACCTCTAAATCTATGACTCAGATTTCCAAAGGAAGTGAAAGGCATGATCTTTGCCCTACAAAGGAAGAAGTCAAATAGGAACTTTAAGAACACAAAGAACCATCACCTAGAGACTGTAGAAATACATATCTTTTTAAGAGCAAGAGAGACTCAAGTGCTAGAGAATGCTAGGGAGAAGAAAATCCAGATGTGATTAAGAACAGCAAAATTGGTTAATTTTAAAATAAAATTACCACTACCAAAACCAAACTTCAGATTTCTTCTTCTAAATATTAGTTCCAACACAGTGTCAGGTGATGGTCACAAAGTCTACCTTTCTGGTTTAGCAACACAGCATTTATCCCTTCAGATCTTCCAACACTCTGGATTCAAACCTTTTAAAATTACCCGCCTTTACGTCAGGACTTTTCTTGCATCATAAATAAATATATGTATGACCACATTGTGTGGTAGATTTGACCACACTGTGTTTCTGTCTAGTAAGCCGAGTGCACATGTATTTCTTATTTTGGGGCTGTTTCTTTGGCACCCATGTCACAAACATCACTCAGACCATATGCAGTCCTAGAGAGCTGGAATTATTTTTATTATAGTCTTTGGCAGAGTAAATTTTGTGCTTTAAATTTTTTGTAAATTCAAAAAATGAATGCAAGTAGAAACCCAAATGTCAAGACACATATGGAAAGGTACTTCTCAAAATTCGTCAGGGAGAAGCAAATGAAAGCAGCATTTACATACCATTTCACATCCATCAAATAGGTAAAAATGATAAAGTGTGACGAGGCCAAGATTTGGCAAGGGTATGGAGCAACAGGAAAACTTAACATACAGCTGGCAAGAGTGTGAATTGGTACAACCTCCTTTGGGAAACAATGTGGCATTATCTAGTAAAATTGATGACATGCATGCCCAACCACCTAGCAATTCCACCCCAATCATATACCCTAGAGAAACTCTCACACATGTACATGAAGGTGCACCGCAACATGTTTATGTCAACAAGAAACTGGAATCCTAAATGTCAATCAAGAGGAAAATGGATAACGACGTTGTGGTATACCCGTACAATGGAATTCTACACTGTCATGGAAAGGAACAGACTGAAGTTCTGTATATATAAACAGATGTACTTTTAAAATCATAACACCAAATGAACAAATCAAGCTGCAGAATTATACCTATGGCATAATACCAGCTGTATTTCTATATGTTGTTTATGGATGCATAGATATAAAATAAAAGTTTAAAATATGGCTAAGGAGTATAAATACTAATTCTGGATAGTGACTGCGTCTAGGGAAAGAGGAATGTGAAAAGGAATGAAGTAAGAGTACCCATACAGCTGCAACTGTATTTTCAATGTTTTATTTCCTTAAAAATATATAGATATAGATATAGATATAGATATATATATAGCAAATATGGCAAAATATTAAGAGTTCCTAAAACTTAGTGGAAGGTATATGGATATTCACTATATTATTCTCCATAGTTTTCTGTATGTTTGAAATATTTTCTAACAAAATATTTTCAAGAAAGCTAGTGCATTTGAAGTTTTATGTTTCTTAATGAAAATAATGGGGGAGGGGGGACTAAGCTGCTTTTGTGTGTGTGTGTGTGTGTGTGTGTGTGTGTGTGTGTGTGTGTGTGTGTGAAACGGAGTCTTGCTCTGTCACCCAGGCTGGAGTGCAGTGGTGCGATCTCGGCTCACTGCAACATCTGCCTCCCCAGTTCAAGCGATTCTCCCGCCTCAGCCTCCCAAGTAGCTGGGATTACAGGTACCTGCCATCATGCCCACCTAATTTTTTTTATTTTTTAGTAGAGACAAGGTTTTGCCATTTTGGCCAGGGTGGTCTTGAACTCCTGACCTCAGGTGATCTACCTGCCTCAGGTGCAAGTATTTGTCTAGGATAAATAATTTAAAATGGACTTTATGTGTCATAGATAATACACACTTTCAGTTTCAAAAGGTCCTGTAAAGCCTCTAAAGTGTGCCGGTTCACACCCTCAGAATGTATAAGATTGCTTAGTTTCCCCACATCCTCATCAACACTTGATGTTATCAGGCATTAAAATATATTGTTTAAATTTTTTAGAGACAGGGTCTCACTCTGTCACTCAGGCTGGAGTGTAGTGGCATTATAGCTCACTGCAGCCTCAGACTCCTGGGCTCAAGCAATCCTCCTGCCTCAGCCTCCAGAGTAGCTAGGACTGCCAGCACATGCCACCATGCCCAGCTAATTTTTAAAAATTTTTTGTAGAGATGGGGTCTTGCTATGTTTCTCACGCTGGTCTCAAACTTCTGCCCTCAAGTGATCCTCCTATTTCAGCCTTCTAATGTTCTGGGATTACAGATGTGAGCCACCATGCCCAGCTAGACATTTTAAATATTGCAAATCTGAGTCAATAATACTGTATTATGCACTTAAACATTTGTTAAGAGGGTAGATCTCATGTTAAGTGTTCTCACCACACACACATCCCAAAAAACCCCAAAATAACAAGAACAAAGGGACACGAGGAAACTTTTGGAGGTGACAGAGATAGACATCTCTGTCTATTACCTTGATTGTGGTGATAATTTCATGGGTGTTTGTATATGTCCAAACTCATCAGGTTGTAGACATTAAATATATGCAGCTTATTGTATATCAATTATACTTCAATAAAGCTGCTTTAAAAATCAATAGGCCGAGCGCGGTGGCTCATGCCTGTAATCCCAGCACTTTTGGGAGGTCGAGGTGGGCAGAACACCTGAGGTCAGGAGTTCGAGGCCAACCTGGCCAACATGGTGAAACCCCGTCTCCACTAAAGATACAAAAATTAGC
This sequence comes from Homo sapiens, assembly GCF_000001405.40. NCBI lineage: Eukaryota > Metazoa > Chordata > Mammalia > Primates > Hominidae > Homo > Homo sapiens. The sequence goes on from NC_000002.12 coordinate 197,141,073, forward strand.
TGGGCATGATGGCAGGCGCCTGTAATCCCAGCTACTCAAAAGGCTGAGGCAGGAGAATCGCTTGAACCTGGGAGGTGGAGGTTGCAGTGAGCCGAGATCATGCCACTGCCCTCCAGCCTGGGCGACAGAGCAAGACTCTATCTCAAATACATACATACATACATACAAATCTGATTGAAAAAAAGAGCATCTCTTTGTTTTAGTTTCTGGTCTAACAATAAGGTTAGACATCTTCTAATATGTTTGATTACTAGCCATTTGTAATTCATTTTCTGAGAATTACTTGTTCATATTCTTTACATATTTCTCCCATTTTTCTGTTGTTTTTTCTTATTTATATTTACACACTTTTATCATTATTATTATTATACCGCATTCTGAAAATTTTTAGTTTTATGCAGATCCAAATTTGGCTTTCAATATTAAAACTCTTTCAAGGAGAAAAATGATCCCACGCATGCTGAACCTCATACAGTGACCCACACCCGGGGTGTAACGACACCAGCATTGTTCGCGTGTAGCTTCAGAGTCCCTTGAGAAATTTCAAGGTGATTAGAAATGTAGGCAATGGCTTCTTTCAGTCAGTGTTTAAGTCCTCCATTCCTCCATTTCTCTTTTTCATGGAGGTTGAATAGGCAGCTGCCAGGAAAACCTCCTCTCCCCCATAACAAAAATTATTATAACAAAACCAGAGTTATCTGAATGGAGACGCAAGAAGCATTTCATCAGTGTCATCTCTTGCTGCCAGCTTCCTCATCCTCTTCCTCTGAACACTTTCAAGAGTCTTGTTTACATGTCAGAGGGAGATGTCAGATGGTTTTGGCTATGAATTGAATATTTATAGCTGATTTTTTCTAAAGGAAGCTTCACATTATTTACCTGCCTGTCAGGCACCATTGTGCACTGAAGGACACAGTCTGCATGTCTAATGATTTAAAGGCAAATGCTTTTGTACCCAAGGACATGTTAAAGCTTAAACATGAAAATAAGCACTAGGGTATATTGATTCTTCAGAAACAAAGGCCCAATCCATCAGACATGATCTGTAATTACAAACTAAGGATGTTCTTCATCTTATCCCTGTTACCTCTTAATTTTATTTTCATAGAGATCAGGGGTGAAGTGAACTCTGGGCATCTTTTCCAGAGGCAATATTTCTGTTCTGTAAGCCATGTCATCTAGAAAGAAGTAGAATAAAGAAAACGGAAGTGGTGTGATAAGGGTGGACTGAGTGTGACTGAAAAATCTCACAAGCCAAAGAGAATAATTTCTTCCCAAGCTTAACTTATCTAAAGTTTGGCTTTTAATTGTTGAAGTAAACATGAAAAGTCATAAAAATATGATTATAATATAACAAAATCAGCTTGCTATTGATTTTTTTAACAAACCAAATCATACAGCACAGGAGCGCTTCAAAACAATTACCATAGAAGAGGGTATGATAATTCCATGAACGTGACAATTGCTCAAAACATTTAACAAACTCTCCTTGGAGTTGCCTTTATGGCCAATTTACACACCCACCAGAAAATGGCTTATTACTTTATAATTGCACCACATTTGTAGGCCAAAATCAGCATTGCCTGGTTTAATCACCCCTCTTTCACCAGATAAAAAATATCAAATTCATCCTCAAAGGACGAATATTTGTTATGCATAAGGAATCAAAAGAATGATGTGCCCCCAGCTCTGGAAATAATTTGCATTGAGAGTAAGAAGCACATTTTGAAAATTTTTGGGAATAATTTTGCAGGACTACCACTTGTTGGGTTGCATAAATTCTATGGCCAGATGTGGTGGCTCATGCCTGTAATCCCAGCACTTCAAGAGGCCAAGATGGGAGGATCACTTGAGGCCAGAAGTTCGAGACCAGCCTGATCAACCTAGCAAGACCCCATCTTAAAAAAGAAAAAAAAAAAAGTAAATTAAATTAAAATTTAAAAAATAAATTCTAATAAATTTTACTTAGTAGTTATGCCTCACAAACACTCCCGCATTAGAGAGTACTTCCAGTTTTCTTCTTTCAACCCAGAACCCTATAATCCTTACTTGTCCTCAGAGTTTTCTCTGTAGGATCTTTTTTTTTTTTTTGAGATGGAGTCTTTTTTTTATTTTTTATTTATTTTTTTATTTTATTATTATTATACTTTAAGTTTTAGGGTACATGTGCACAATGTGCAGGTTAGTTACATATGTATACATGTGCCATGCTGGTGTGCGACACCCATTAACTCGTCATTTAGCATTAGATATATCTCCTAATGCTATCCCTCCCCCCTCCCCCCACCCCACAACAGTCCCCAGAGTGTGATGTTCCCCTTCCTGTGTCCATGTGTTCTCACTGTTCAATTCCCACCTATGAGTCAGAACATGCGGTGTTTGGTTTTTTGTTCTTGCAATAGTTTACTGAGAATGATGATTTCCAATTTCATCCATGTCCCTACAAAGGACATGAACACGTCATTTTTTATGGCTGCATAGTATTCCATGGTGTATATGTGCCACATTTTCTTAATCCAGTCTATCATTGTTGGACATTTGGGTTGGTTCCAAGTCTTTGCTATTGTGAATAGTGGAGATGGAGTCTTACTCTGTCACCCAGGCTGGAGTACAGTGGTGCGATCTCAGCTCACTGCAACCTCTGCCTCCCAGGCTCAAGTGATTCTCCTGCCTCAGCCTCCTGAGTAGCTGGGATTACAGGCACCCACCACCACATTCAGCTAATTTTTGTAATTTTAGTAGAGATGGGTTTCATCATGTTGGCCAGGCTGGTCTTGAACTCCTGACCTCAAGTGATCCTCCCACCTCAGCCTCCCAAAGTGTTGGGATTATAGGCTTAAGCCACCACACCTAGCCTTTGTAAGATATTTCTACTGTGGTCCTTTTTCTGTGCACTCTGCTTTCTATATCTCAACCCCAGTATCTTAACTCTTAGCCACTGATTGGTTCTCACTGATCTCTCTGACTTAATCCAGATTCGACCAGTTCCCAAACAGAAGCTAGAGTCAGGAGGGAAATAAAGCCAGACCCTGGACTGGCAGTTGTAAGAAAGTGAAATTTCCAAGGGCTGAATTCTTCGCCAAGACCTTGTCTTCCCTGTCTGCTCAGAGGCATTCAGGGTTCTATCCACCTGGCTAACAGGAGATAATGCCAGCAGGAATTTAGCAAGCTTGGGTTACACCATGCTCTGTAGGTTAATACAACAATGGAGAACACAGCTATAATGGGCTGTTCTGGCAAGGCCGAATTATTTGTCCAACATGGTAATCATTAGCACCTCATTCATTATTAAATTAGGAAACAGTTTGGTTGGATTCCCTAAAGGCTCAGCTGCCAGACACAAGCTCAGAGATAAAATCATCATGCTCTTGCAATATTATGAACTTAATATATAAATTGAGTAAAGGACTTTTTGGGAAAATAAAAGTCAAGTGAATTCCAAGAGTTTGCCTCAGCTTCCACAGGTAAATAAAATTGCTAAAAAAGAAAACTTTCCCAATGCTCCCCATGCCCTAAGTCTTCTTAATTTGATGAGAGGGAGGAGGAAATTTTCCATAGCACATTGAACCAAAATTATGCTAAAGAGATTAAGAGCTCAGAAATTCCAAGACCAAACAAGTGAATAGATTAAAATATATGCAACAGCTTCTCCCAGCTCTACTAAATCAGCCAGAGTTGAAGAGAGGCTGGTGGATTCTATGCCCTTGTGAAGGTGATGTGAAACCATGTTTGTCAAACAATCACTGGCCCCAGATACAAGAAAAAAAAGAGACTGGTTGACTTCATGCTGCAGAATTAAAATCTCCCCTTTCAGATGTAGAAACAACAACAACAACACAAAGTTGGCATATAAGACAAAGTTCTGAATTTGTACATTCATGAAACATTCCTCTGAGACTCTGAGAGGTCTATTAATACAACATTTAAGAGGTGGGTGGGCTGGGCACGGTGGCTCACACCTGTAATCCCAGCACTTTGGGAGGCCAAGGCAGGCGGATCACAAGGTCAGGAGATCGAGACTATCCTGGCTAACATGGTGAAACCCCATCTCTACTAAAAATACAAAAAATTAGCCAGGCGTGGTGGCACGCGCCTGTGGTCCCAGCTACTCGGAAGGCTGAGGCAGAAGAATCGCTTGAACCCAAGAGGCAGAGGTTGCAGTGAGCTGAGATCACGCCACTGCACTCCAGCCTGGGCTACAGAGCAAGACTCCGTCTCAAAAATAAATAAATAAATAAATAAAATAAAATACAAAATAAAAAAGAGGCGGGTATAGCTGATGGGGACCAATAGATGTCATACCACAAAGTTCTTTATTTTATACCTCCACTGATTCTGCCTACAATTTTCCACGGGCCAAATTGCAATTGCCAGGGCAACCAGCCAGGTGTGCATTGGCCCTTAGTCTGTGCCAACACCAAACAATACACATTTGTTTGGAACATGGCCCTGGGACATCTTTAGATTTGTTGGAAGAAAGGCCTATTCTCAAAAGCACAAGAAATGCCATGTGAAATCTAACCTAAGCTCCATGTGACCATCAGGAGCGTGGGGCACACGTGTTTTGAGGCACAGAACACTTGTTTCCTGGGGAAACCCACCTCAAGAACATGAACACAACAAAATAAGGGCCGTGTTGCTTATGCATCACAGCACAATTCTTGTTTCTTGTCCACAGTGTTCACCACATCTGCTTGAATGCATGTCTCAGCTCCTACCTCTGCAGAGCTTACTTTAAGATGCTACAGTTCCCCTTTCCTTACTGCAAACAAAGGCGAAAACTTACTATAGGCCTTTTGACTAGTCTGTAGGCAGTGGCACTTCCTCTAGATGTTAATCTCCCAAACATAAAAGAGGAAGAAGAAAGACAGCTTGTCTGTGAATAATCTACAGTGAGACATCTGCACATGCTCAATTCATTCCAGGATTTGTCTAGTAAACACTCAAGGGAGAAAGCATATAATGGTTTTGGAAACCTGTTTGGTGAGATATACTGAGCATACAGGTTTCCAAAAATTAAACCACTGGCATTTTTAAATCTGATGAAATATTTAAAATACATTGAAAAATAAAGACAATAGCATCACAAAGACCAGTATAAACACAAATCAGATTTAAATGTTTGCTATACTCCCTTCTAAATTTTTAAACATAAAATATTTTACAGAGAGTTGTAGTAGTTCTTTTATAGCCTTCCCTGAAGACATTTTTTACTTAACCTGCCTACTTAGAGGTAACCACTAACCAGAAATCAATATGGTTCCTTGCCTTCCATGTTTTTATGCTTTCATCACATAGTCACAGTCATGTATCCATAAGTATAACAGTATTGTTTTGCAGCCCAACTTAAATATATATAAATATACAAACACATTTAGTTGGCATATAAATCTAGGGTGTGCATATATATATGGCATATATACAGTGTGCATATATAATAGCATATATAGTGTATACATGCTATACATAGTGTTTATATAGCATGTATATATAGAGAGAGAGTATATAGTGTATACATGCTATACATAGTGTTTATGTAGCATGTTTATGTAGTGTGTATATATACTCACTATACATAGTGTGTATATATACTCACTATACATAGTGTGTATAGGTGTATGTTCATGTAGACTTTAAACTAGTTTTATTTCCTTTTGTATAATAAAAAAATCAAAATATATCCAAATGTACTGAATTCATCTACAATGCTGGGCCTGACTAGACAGCCAGGAATCAGACTTTCAAAGCAAGATAAAAATGTTACTGGAGAAGTCATTTTTCAATAAGAACAACTTCTTGCATTTTTCTTTGTGTAATGATAAAATCGCCTATCACATAAACTTCCATGAACATAACAAAGGAATTTTGCTTGGGTTCACTGTAGTAGTCAATCTAGTAAATTGGTTATTTAAATTTTTATTTGCAATTGACTTTTGAGTATAGCAGTTATTTACCTGACAAAATCAGGAGTTCAATGATCTCTGCATCTCCCAGAAATGCGGCCACATGAAGAGGGGTTCGTTTCTCAGAATCCTGAAATACACAACGTCAAAGACATACAACAGGTCAGTGGCAGCTGGAGGTCCCTTTTGTAGACATAGTAAGACGTGTCACTCACTCTGTGGTTAATGCATGTGGAAGAGTGTGAACACCAAACATTCGAGTAACTTCTGGTTATGCATTTTCTCTCAACATACCCTATAGTTACACATAACAAAGCATTCCATTTTCTGTGTCTGTGCTTGGTATTTGCCCACTTGCTGCTTTTACTGAAGCCCAGCTGAGGTCATAGATGGATCATTATGCCCTGGATGATGAATTTCAACTTACAGTATTTCCAAACCTTCAGGATGGTTAAAAAAAAAAAAAAAAAATCTAACCTACCATAGCAATATAGTTCAAAGCTTTCAATGACTTATTTTCTTTCTAAGGAAACATAGTGGAATGGTTCACAAGGACATTAAACATTAAACATAACTGTGGTCATTTTCTCCTTTCTATGCTTGTTAATTGTTGTTTGGACCACTGCCCATTCATGAAATACTTACTGAATGCTTACTCTATGCCAGAAACCATATTCTGGGGACAGAGGGATGACTACAACAGGCCTGGTCCCTGCCCTCATGAAACTCACATTCAAGTGGGAAGGCTGACAATAGTATACTAGACAATAGTATACTAGATACACATGAGATTATTTCAGATAAAACACCGTATGGGATTAAGTGATTCAGGAGATGGGAATAAGAGTGGTCAGTGAGGCCTTTCTGAGAATGTTGACATTAAGGCTGAGAGCTAAGGTTGATATTATCTCTGTTTTATAGATAAGAAGACTGTAGCTCAAATTTTAAAATTTCCTCAAGATTCCACAGGTATATAGCACAGTCAAGATCTGACCTTCACCCAGCAGACTTCAGTCTGTATCTTTGGCAAGGCATTGAACAGATTGTGCTGAAAGGCAGCATGGTAACATGCAAGGGAAAAAAGCGTTGCTTCCTCATCTGTAAATTGGCGATAATAAAATCTACCTTAGAGGACTGATAAGAGGACTAAAGATCATATAAGTAAATAAAGCCCTAGGCAAGCAGGAGATAAGTGCACAGCAGTGCTCCATACGAAGCCCATTATTGTCATTGGCATAGAGAGTTGTGTGATATCTTTCCTCCAAAGACTGAAAACTTCCTGGAGTAAAGAACCGGCCTCACTCTTCTTTATCCCCATAGTAGCAGCATACTTGGTGCTCAGCATAAATTGGCTGAACTAACTAGTCTACACGTATGGTTTCTTCCACTAACTTCTATTGACTCCTCCATAGCAATGGTAACCAAAGCCCATCTGCTATGTCTTTAAGGTTTCTCCTAAAACTAGCATGTATGTTAGTTTCAAGTTTCTTGGATTCGCTGTTGATTTTAATCATTATTCCTTTCATAATTTGATTATATAATACATCTAACAACCCTTGATTAGCCCAAGGATATTATTCCATTTTCTGACAGTCCAGACCCTCTGCTCTTCCTCTGTCTCTCACAGATTATTGCTTTTAGACATTTCATGACTCACTAATATCTAAAACAGATGGCAGGCAGGGGACACAACAAGAATTGATCTTCAAACCAGTCTATTTTTTAGAAAGTCTGGTAAGTAGGTTTTATAAAGAATGCACTACCATTAAGTAGACAAAAAGGAGTTTGGATTCACTGGAAACTCATGTTGTCTATGTATGGCTGCAGGCAATTACTATGGAAAAGTGAAAATAGGGCAGTCATGCAACTATAAAATAATGGCATGCATTGGAAAATTCAGTACGATATATGACTACAATCAACCTTGTTATAGATATATCACCCTATCTTTGAAAATAAAGATTCAGTATTTGAAATCATGTTAGCTTATTTGAGAATCAAGTGTATTAATTTGTGCAATGAACTATATAAGCTGAGAACAGATTTTCACAAATGTTTTCTATTTCTATTGATAACCCTAGATGCATTTTCCATTTTAGCCTCATGTTCCCTTTGAATCCTCGCTATATCTACTTAAAATTTTCTACTGGGATTTTTGGATAAAAGCTATGTAATTACATGTTCTTTTGTGAACTGAATTGGTTTCAGGGTTTGGTTCAACAAATTAAACCCTGCCTAAGTGATTTAAACAGGGACTATTCCAACCCAAATTATGACTTCATTTGACCTGAAGCAAAGGCAACTCTATTTGAGATCTTGGCCTCAAATAAAAAGCTAAGAAAACTCCAACATCCCTCCCTACCTTGCAAATCTGGTTGGCCTGTCATGATATGACTGGTTTTGCTGATTCTGTGGCCCCTTTTATGGCACAGCTTGTTCAAACCAAAGTTTCTATAACATAAAAAGGGTGTGTTGCATGAATACTGTAAAAATTCTTGATGATGAATCCCAGTGTTCCTGTTAATATGTGCTTAAAGGTTTCTGGTAGTTTCCAGAATAACTATGCGAATTGATACTCTCCTTTAGTGACATGGCACAGACAGGTAACTGCAGAGAAGACTTGTATTCAGGCAGTACTCCTTTAGTTCTCCAAAGCAGCAGAACCACAGAAACAATCACAAGTGCTATTAAGACCTTAACCAACATAATAGTGCATTTCCACTATTGACCAAGGGTTGCTAACGTCTTCTCTTCTAACAAGGAACACCTGATCATGAGTCAAAGCGTGAATGACCGAGCCACAGTAATCACCATGCTGGATAGAGAGAAATCAGCCAGGAGGTAGCACTATGTCCTCTGCCTAGGTAGAAGGCCACTCTACTTTGCCATAAGCTAAACTAATGGAATAGGAGATGGAATAGAAGGAGGGCGAAGGTTCTGGAGAAAAGAGAATAGTAGTAATAATACTGGTTAAAATGGGTTCTAGCCCAATGACATCCTTAGGGTGTCTAGAAGAAGAAACAAATCTAGCTGGTTATTATGAAGTGCTTTTATTTTTATTTTTTCCAAATATCTGCTCAACTATTCTACTACTCCATCTCAAAACATTCCTATCAGAGGAGTCACACCTTTTACAACTGTGTTCTTCAGTCTTATTATCACCATTTAAAAGATAAAGAATCTGAGCCTAGGACAGTTTGTATGACTTAACCCAACGCAGCAAACTGATGCCAAAGAATTAGGTGTCCTGGCTCCCAACCTGAAACTTTTTTCTTTATAAAAATGAAAGTGGGCTGGGCACGGTGGCTCACACCTGTAATCCCAGCACTTTGGGAGGCTGAGGTGGGCGGATCACAAGTTCAGGAGATTGAGACCATCCTGGCTAACACGGTGAAACCCCATTTCTACAAAAAAATACAAAAAATTAGCCGGGCATGGTGGAGGGCGCCTGTAGTCCCAGCTACTTGGGAGGCTGAGGCAGGAGAATGGCATGAACCCGGGAGGCGGAGCTTGCAGTGAGCCAAGATCGCGCCACTGCACTCTAGCCTGGGTGACAGAGCGAGACTCCATCTCAAAAAAAAGAAAAAAAATGAAAGCAAGAGCATCTTAGAAGTTCATGTGATAGTCTAAAAACCCTTCTACTATGATCCCTAAGAAATCAGGAGGAAAATGTGACGAACATACGGTAAACATCATTTTAAATGAACTGAGAAGAAATTAAATAGAAAGGGGTCAGAAATGGAGGGTAAATAGAGAACCAAAGCCGCAGGCACATGAACTTAGAGTGCAGGGATAGGTCAATACACCAGGGGCTTGGGGCTTAACACTTGCAGGCAGTGAGAGATAAGGCAGAGAACTAGAACTGCGACCTCCAAGCAAAGAAAGACCCTTGAAGTGGCCTTGAAGAAAGACTCCTGAGGTGAAATAGTGGACTTGGAAAAAAACAATGACAAACACTCACGTAGGCAGATGGCAAAGAGATGCCTTGTCCCGGGTTCTTGGTAGGGGAATAAAAATGTTTCCACTGAGCATTCACATCCCCAGAGTCTGCCCTCATGTGGTTTAGAGCTTTGAATTCACATTGCCTGTATAGTCTGGGAATTTACTTTTTTTTTTTTAATCCAGGAACTTTCAAGTTGAAAATATGCAAAAAAAAAAAAAAAAATGGGTTTTAGACCAATGATACCCCTAAGGTCCCTAGAAGAAGAAACAAAACCTAGCTGGATAGATATGCCCTCAATCCAGTCAACCTGGGACACCCACAGATTAAATCTCCATTGAAAATGAACTCACAAGCCTAAGCCATAAGACTCACGTGGAAACGTTCACCATAAGCAAGAGTCAGCAGACTGAAGAACCAGCAAGAATTTGAGATCACAGAAGAATGAGATGGAGAACAGGGATGACATTTAAAATAACTTAAGACACAAAGGACAAAGCATAAGGGGGAACACCCCCACTATTTTTGAAAAACAAACAAAATTTGGAGGAAGAGATAATGAAGCAAGTATTATGGAAAGCAGTACCAAAACATGATGCTAGACAGCATCTAAAATTTTGGTCTAAGAGGGATCAAACTCAAAGAATAAAAAAAGAAAGGGGAGGAGAAAGGAAAAATAAGCACAGGAACTTTGGGCTACGTTTTACAATCATTTATTCAGCCATATTATCTAGACATAGATATTTATTTAGAATCTATTATATGCCAGACATTGTGGTACACATTAGGGATACAAAATTTAAAATATCTAGCCCTCTAACCCTAAAGAAACTTGCAGTCCACTGATCAGTTTCTAAATGTAGGATATTAGAATAAAAACAATAGCAGGGAAGTGGCAAATAGTGATATCCATGATGTTAAATGATTTGTGAACGTATCAAATGCAATAAGACAAAAATATCTTGGTGAATACTTCCCCCAAACCCATCCATATCCGAACTGGCCTGTGCAGTAAGTCTCAACTGCCAAGAAAAAAAAAAATCTCTTCTGAATTGGGAATTAAACACATCTTGCCCAGGACTCCCTAAAGGTCCTATTGGCTCCAGCTTATCTGGGAATCTTGGAAGCCCTCAAGGGCCAGCCTTCTGGGTCAGTTAGTGAGCCTAGCCTCTATCTTACAGGCTGGCTCAGGGGTAGTTCCTGGATCAAAATTGGAATCCAGTACCAGGACAGGACCAGAGCAGCATTAACCTATAGTGGCCGAGCTAAGTGCATTATTTGCATTCATTTCCATCTTTTGCCCAAGTGGACTCTCTGTGATGACCAATAGTTGAATAGTTACATAGGCTTTTATAACACCCATGAATATAAGTGGGGAAAATAACCCAAAAGCAGGTGCAGCAAGATTAACACACACTGAAATGGCTCATCAGCATAGTTTTTAAAGATTGTCCAAACATCACAAAAAGGAAGGTCTTTTTTCATCACCCAGTAGCTCTAATTCCACATAGTCCTTTGCAGACAGATTCAGATGCATGAGAAATGAGAAGACCCAGGTTCCTCCAGAAGGAAGGATGGTAAACCCTCCCATTCTACGAATAGCCAAAGATACACACAGCCAGCAGGGGTCTGAGCTAAATTTGCAGTATGTCTCAGAGAGATCAGGCAGAGGAAGTTGAGCTGTCTGTTTACCAAAGAAGAAGCAGATAAAAGAAAATAGGGAACTTGAAGTAGGTACATGCAAAGTGAGTTTGACATGGGCAGAGAGGCCATTCTGGTAGCTAAAAATACTGTGTAGACAGGCAGACTGAGGGGCACCCTACGCCTGTTTTGAAGATTAAGAATTGTTACATGCTTTGGAAATTCTCAGCTAGAAGTACATGATCTAATCTGCATTCTAAGTAACTGTCATACACCAAAACAAACATTCCACCCTGTATATGAATATCTTACATACCAAGACAGAAAGATGGAGCAATATTAAGAAAACAAGCCTATGAAATACAGAAGTTAAGTTTGGGCCGGACGTGGTGGCTCATGCATGCAATCCCTGCACTTCGGGAGGCTGAGGCAGATGGATGGCTTAAGCCCAGGAAATTGAGACCAGGAGACCTCGTCTCTATTAAAAGTAATTTTTTTAAATCAGCTGGGCGTGGTAGCATGTGCCTGTGGTCCCAGATACTTGGGAGGCTGAGGTGGGAGGATTGCTTGAGCCCAGAAGGTCAAGAGGTCAAGGCTGCAGTGAACTGTGATCACACCATTGCACTCCACTGCACCATCTTGCTCTGGGTGACAGAGCAAGACCCTGCCAAAAAAAAAAAAAAAAAAAAAAGAAGAAACAAGAAGAAGAGGAAGAAGAGGAAGAGGAAGAAGGAGGAGGAGGAGGAGGGTTCCAATTATCAATCCAAACTTCCAAATTCCCACTAAAATTAAAGAAGCTGGGAGATAACTGACAACCTAGGCCCAACTACCTTAATGTGATATTGAACAGAGATCACTAGAGGCAAGAAGATGTCTAAAGAAACTCTGAACACATACACACAACAGGTACCTCGGAAGTATTTCAAATTACATGAGGACAGGAGCCAAACGACACAAAATGGGAAGAATGCTTGGCCTTAAGGTGGGGAATTAAAAGAAGGTTAAAGAAGAAAGGAAAGAGAAAGACAGAAAACAAATGCCATGCTTCTTTTGAAATTTTTCATGTTTACTTTCAATTTTTAACATCTCATAAATACACAGAAATACAGAAAGTAATAGTCCCATATGTGCCCACCAGCAAAAACAAACATGTTAACATTTTTCTATGTCTCCTTCAGAACTCTAGTTTAAAAAAATACTTTTAGGGATAAAAGTGCCATCTTCAGAAATGCAAATGGTTCTGAAAATAATTTGAAGTATGTGTTTGCATGTGTGTGTTTGTGTGTATAAGAGAGAAAGGTGGGGAAGGGAGAGAGAGAGAGAAAGTGGGAAGGAGGAAAGGGATTAGGTTGTTTTTAATTCTTCAAACCACTATTAAAAATGGTGTTGCAGTGTACACCTTTGTACATGTCTGTCTGTGCATACATGTGAGAATTTCTCTGAAGTAGATACCCAAAAAAGGAAGCACTGGATTAGGGTACACACACACATTCAATTGTATTAGGTATCCCTAAATAACTTCCAAAGTATTAATAGTTTTACTAATTTACACTCCCACCAGTTACATTTTAGTTCCTTTTCCTAACATCCTCGCCAATATCTGATGCTATCGGCTTTCTTTTTTTTTTTTTTTTTTTTTTTGAGACGGAGTCTCGCTCTGTCGCCCAGGCTGGAGTGCAGTGGCGCGATCTCGGCTCACTGCAAGCTCCGCCTCCCGGGTTCACGCCATTCTCCTGCCTCAGCCTCCCAAGTAGCTGGGACTACAGGCGCCCGCTACCACGCCCGGCTAATTTTTTGTATTTTTAGTAGAGACGGGGTTTCACCATGTTAGCCAGGATGGTCTCGATCTCCTGACCTCGTGATCCGCCCGCCTCGGCCTCCCAAAGTGCTGGGATTACAGGCGTGAGCCACCGCGCCCGGCCACTATCGGCTTTCTTACTCCTTGCCAGTATGTTATGCCTGACATGGTACATTCTGGTTTTTTCAACTGCGAACTGCCTATATGTATCTTTACCTATTGTTAAATTTGGTTATTAGTCTTTTCCTTGTGTGTGGAGTTTTTTATATTGTTTAATTCAACTTTCAATGAAAATTCAAGTTATGTATTCACCTAGACACAACAGAAATGAATCAATGTTTTCCCCAAGTTACCATAAGAGAAAAATTTAGATTTACAGTCCTTATTCATCCCTAATGCATGCATTGTCTCATAAAGCTGAATTTTCCTTGTGTGGAGCCTCCCATGCCTCAAAGGTGACAGCAAATCTCTGTCCCAACATGCTCCCACCACCACACAATTGTATTCAACCATCACACTCTGCTGGTATTGTAACCCATTCATTTGAATGTAACATGGATATATATTTCTCATATAGAAAATATAGATATATTTTCTATCTCTAAACATGTTCAAATTATGTTATACTCTCAATATGATATCTAACTCCTGAAACGAAGAATCACGCACAAGAATTAAAATGATGATAAAATAAGAAAAATAAGAATGCCAAAGACATTTTTATTTTATCTCCCTTACATAACTAGACACTGGATATTTTATTGCACTAATTTCTAAAAATCAAATAATGTATATTGAGCAAAACTTGTATCAGAGAGTTTATATTTTCAAATTTGATCCTTAAAACAATACTGTGAAGTAAATATGAGCATCCCCATTTCACTGTTGAGGAACCTGAGATTTTGAGGTGATGAGTAACTTGTCCAGAGTCACAAAGCTAGTAAGTGGTAAAACCAAGATTCAAAACCAGATCTGATTCCATTGTTCACGCTCTTGCTGGCTTTTGGATGGTTACAAGCCTTGGTAAATACAATGAAAGTTATTCTCCATTATAATTAGCATGCTTGCCCTAAATACTCTAGACCCAAGGGCAAAAGGCTTGTATGTAAAAAAGTACAAGCAGGCAAGAAGAATAAAATTGGAGAACTAACATTACCTGATTTCAGAGCTTATTATAAAGTTACAGTAATCAAAACAATATGGTATTGGTGCAAAGAAAACTCTGGTGAAAGAATAGCCTTGTCAACAAATGGTCCTAGAACAATGAGATATTAAACTTTGGGCCATACCTTGAACCCTAAACAAAAATTAAATCAAAATGGATCACAGAACTAAATGTAAAACTTAAAATTATAAAATATCTAAAGGAAACATAGGCAAGATCTTTTCACCTTGGGTTAAGCAAAGATTTCTTAGATATGACATCAGAGCAAAACCCATAAAAGGATAAATTGGTAAATGGAATTTTATCAAAATGAATAATGTCCACTCTTTGAAACACACTGGTAAGAGAATGAAGATAAGCCACAGACTGGGGGAACATATTTGTAAAGCATATATTGGATAAAGGACTTCTATCTAGAACCTACAAAACAACTCTCAATAACTATGAAAGCAAACAATCCAATTAAAAAGTAGGCAAAAGATTTGAACAGATATTTCACCAAAGATATACAGATAGCAAATAAGCATATAAAACAATGCTCACCGGGCCGGGCGTGGTGGCTCACACCTGTAATCCCATCACTTTGGGAGGCCAAGGCGGGCGGATCACGAGGTCAGGAGATCAAGATCATCCTGGCTAACATGGTGAAACCCCGTCTCTACCAAAAATACAAAAAATTAGCCGGGCGTGGTGTCAGGCACCTGTAGTCCCAGCTACTCAGGAGGCTGAGGCAGGAGAATGGAGTGAACCCGGGAGGCGGAGCTTGCAGCGAGTGGAGATTGCACCACTGCACTCCATCCTGGGCGACAGAGCGAGACTCCGTCTCAAAAAAAAAAAAACAGTGCCCACCGTCATTAGTCATTAGAGAAAGGCAAATTAAAGCCATATTACATACTTATTAAAATTGCTAAAATTAAAAGGACTAATGATACCAAGTGTTGGTGAAGATGTGGAGGAACTATAACATTCAGGCACTGCTAGTAGGAGTGGGAAATGATATAGTCACTTTGAAAAACAGTTTGGCAATTTCTTAAAAACTTAAACATACAACTACCATATAAGCTAGGTATCGTACCCTTGGGTATTTACTGGAAAGAAATGAAAGCATATGTCCATACAGAGACTTGCACATGAGTATTCCTAACAGCTTTATTTGTAATACCAAAAACTAGAAGTAATCCAAGTTTCCATCAAAAGATGAATGGACAAACTTATTTCCACATAATGGAACACTACTCAGCAATTAAAAGGAATGAACTATGGATATATGTCACAACATGGATGAATCAAAATAATTGTGTGAGTGAAACAAGTCGGGCAAAAAAAAAGTACATATTGTATAAATCCACGTACATAAAATTCTAGAAAATGCAAACTAATACACAGTGACAGAAAGCAGATCAGCAGTTGCCTGACGGGCCTAAGGGAGAGACTGGGAGGGGTAGCAGGGAGGGATTTGAAAGGGGAACAAGGAAGCTTTTGGAGCACTGTATATGTTCATTATCTCAATCATGGTAATGGTTTCATATGTCAAAACTTCGCAAACTGTACACTTTAAATATGGGTAGTTTATTGTATGTCAATTATATTTCAATTAAGCGGTTTCATAAATACATAAGCAGGCAAATAAAACACATTCTCACTCTTACGTAAAGTAAAAAAAGGCATATTTAAAAGTTAAAAATACCCCTAAGCAACAAAATTTATTCAGTTAATAGAAGAAAAGAAATAGCAAAATCGAATTAACCAATAGTGGGTTAATTTAGAGGCAGCTCATGTTATGCCCTGGTTATGTGTGGATGTAAAAGTGAAGTTCTTACAAAAGAATGGCCTGTTGGCTTAAAATCTACAGGCTTTAAAAATAGGCACAACCAGCCAGGCGCAGTGGCTCACGCCTGTAATCCCAGCATTTTGGGAGGCCAAGGTAGGTGGATCACCTGAGGTCAGGAGTTCGAGACCAGCCTGGCCAACATGGTGAAACTCCCTCTCTACTAAAAATACAAAAAAAACTAGCCTGGCGTGGTGGCACACACCTGTAATCCCAGCTACTCAGGAGGCTGAGGCAGGAGAATTGCTTGAGCCCAAGAGGCAGAGGTTGCAGTGAGCTGAGATCGTGCCACTGCACTCCAGCCTGGCCGACAGAGTGAGACTCTGTCAAAAAAAAAAAAAAAAAAAAAAGGTACAACCAAGATTCCTCTTCAAAATCTCTTAGGTTATTTTGTTTCCTAAATGAAACCTTTGACAAATGTGTACTGAGTAAGGATGTAGAAAATAAATCTAGAAAATTAAGTACAAGTGGGAAGGTAAATGGTTTATGCCTAACCTTTGAATACACTGCAACATGGCAGCACTGGATTGACATAGAACCCTTGGGATCTTACCACTGTGCCCAGACATTCCCAAGTGACAGAAGCCCTTTTAAAGGGTCTCTGCTGGGGAAAGTTGATAAAGTACCAACTATTTGTAAGGCCCTGATATCACTTGGCCAGGAATATTTCTTGAGAGCCAGTGGAAACAGAACATGGGAAAGGGTTCTGGTCCTTAAGTCCCACAGAATGAAAAACTGGCCAAGACGCTGTGCTTTGGTGCCAGCGAAACAGGAATATACAACCACCCACTGCCAAGATAATCATCAGGAGCTTCTGATGAAAACCGAAGCAGGTCTTCGGAGTACCACCTTCCCCGACAGCCTAAAAGCTAATAAAGTTCACAATTGTTCTATGCATGACCCCAAGCATATTAAGAAGGAGTGTCTTTAAACTTAACGCATTTGTTGAAAAGTTTTCCATTCCGTTCTTGAACACATGGTGGGAATGTTTTACTGCTAAGTGTATTTAAGGAAACCCACAGATTGGAACTGCTCTAACCAGTGAGGCGAGAAGTCTAGTTTCAGTTACGGCCCCACCACAGGCTCACTGTCTCTTTTAATTAATTCATTAACCAATTTATTAAACAAACATAGATTAATGAGAGGCAGATAACTAAAAGAATAACATAATCATCTGGGAAACTATCTCCTATTGATGAAAGGGTAAAAAGAAGGCAGCTGCTAGTTTTTCACCACTGTAAGGGGCTAGCAATGGTGAAAGTTTGTCATCAGATAAATGAACACACAGTGTCAGGATCAAAATCACAGGAGAGGAAGCTAGAATTACAAAATATTTAAACTTAACCTGGAAGGGCATCAGAGACATCCGGAGAGTTTAATCGATTGGCTGAAGGTCACACAGCTCTTGATGGCAATGGTGGAATCTTTCATTCATACAATAGACAAAAACATTTACTGGGGATCCACCATACGCCAAGCACCGTGCTCAGACCTGAAGATGCAGCAGCCTTCAAGGGACAGGGTCCCTGCCTTTATGACGCCTGAAAGAATCTTGCTTTCTTGACTCCAGGCAGGGGACATTCTATTACAGTAGACTAATGCTAGATTAAACACACCCATCAGCAAAGAGCAAACAAACACACACACACACACACACACATACACACACATACACACGGTATTAGAAAAAGTTAAACAGAAAGAAACTGTGCAATGAAAGGAGATGCTCAAAGGCATCTGCTCTGGATATAACAATAACTCCTAGCTATGGGGTTCCCCCTTCTTCCTTTCCACTCCCTGGAATTAAAAGCAAAAGCTTATATATAGAACAGTTTCTGTGGTCCACAGAAAACCATTTTAACAGAAATGATTAGTAGTTCTTTCCAAGTTTTTTTCAACCTCCAGGTGGATATTTTAGAAACAGAGCTTATGTGTAATACTCACAATAAAAATCAACAATGCAGTTTTCTGGCCGAAGATATCAGATCAGCACAAGACACTAAGATGTTAACACTAATTATCTCTGGGTGAATAATTTTATGGGCATTCCTCACTTTCTACTTTGTTTGACTGTGTTTCAAGACTTGCAGTTTACAAACAAGAAAATAAAATTCCTCTTGTAAATAATAAAAGACTTTCCTATTAAAAAAATACAGGTCTGCTCTAGCAAAAGCTTTTCTTAAGTAATCACAAATAGTAAAGCACTGGACATTATTTCCTGTCCAAAGACTTCAATACCTTGTAGTAGGTTCTGAATAATTGATATGTGAGTGTGTTTCTTTGAAAACGACAAAACATTACATTTATGATTAAACATGGCAAAATTGTAATTTGTCTAATGATTCATAAAGTTGCCAAGTACTGTTCTATACAGTGCATCAGCTGATTCTTAAGAAAATCCAGACAGACTGATCAAGTATGTATTATTGTCCTCATTTTACAGGACAGGAATTAAGGTTGACTCAGAGTTAAGTGACTCACCCAAAGTCACACACCAATATTTGGTGACCCTGGATTTCCTGACTCCACATCCGCTGCTCTCTCAACACCACTAGGTAAGGCATTAACTAACCATTAAGAATTCCTCTCTAAGAAAGAACCTGCTTCATCCTCCTCACAGCATTTTGGAGGCCTTTGGTTCTACCCAAATCTTCCTTTCTTATCTAATCTTTCTTATCAGGTGGCCTATATGATAGACACACACACACACATACACACATGCACACGCACACACATACGCATGCACTTTCATTATAAAAAAACAAACTCTGGAGTCAGAATGACCCAACTTTGAATCCCTCCTCTGCCACGTATGAGCTGTGTGACTTTGAGTAAATAAATCAACCTGATTACTCATTTTTCTTTTTCATTCTAAAATGAAAAATAGGATTACCTACATGCAGGCACAGATTAGATGTCCAATAAATATTAGCTCCTCTTACTACTATTATCAATGACATCTCTGTGGCTTATCCCAATTTTTTTAGTTCTCCTTGATGACTATAGAGGAAAATAAGGAGATGCAGACAGATCCTGGGGGGAACAAGTTTACTGGCAAGAAGTTATATTTGTTTACAAGTAGAAGCATTTACTCTGCCCACAGCCAGCCAATAGCAGTGCTTGCCTGCCTCCTCTCCCCTCCATGAAGTAGTCAACCATTGCATCTTGTATCCTGGCCATTGTAGCCTGTCCTATCCCAACCCAAAGGTAACTGAAGCCTCTCTCATACTCTAGAGTCGGGCCTTCCATTCTTTATCCTTAATCTCATAGGACCTGCAGCAGTCTCTTCCCCTGGTAGAATCCCCTAAAACACCTATATATCAGCGACTCTCACTCCCTGCTCAGAATATATCCCTGCTGCCCTGAAGGCCTCCTTTCCCATCCAGTCTCAATATCTGAGCAGAGTCAGATCTGGTTAAAACTGGACAGATGGGAGCTTCCCTGGGGGTTTGGATGTTGTACCCTTTCTCTCCTCACCCAAAGCTGAAAACCTTCAAATAAGTCAACCCCAAGCCAGAACATCCTCACCAAATCTTTCTGACACTTGTCAGGAAAATTCTGCAGGCCAAGACTCCTATGTTATCAATAGAAGCCCCTTCTTAGTAACTTAATTAGAAGTAAATCCACCACAGACTCATTACAGGTCCTCAGGCAGATAACCAGGGGGTCGCTTTCTGTATCAACAAAAAAAAGGAAGTATTCTTCTATGCCCTTTCTAAATTGAGCCAGTGGGACAGAAAACCGAACACACTACAAAGATTCCTAATGGAGTATTCTGCTTAGTGAGGCTAGACCTCAAAATGGCAGGCTTCGAAGCCCCTTCATTACAGATTGACACGAGTGCTCCCAGAATTGGGAGATGGCTACGTAACAGCACTTTTCGAAGATAAGGCATATGGGAGATGCATCTCTACCTCCAGGGCAATGTCAAATAAACCTACACATACTTGAGCACACCCAGCAAAAAAACGGTCACTAGGGATGCATTTAGCCTTCATAAACTTGGGCTGTAGGGGGTGTTTTTCCCTTTTAAAGGGAAAAATTTAAAGTTTAAAGCAACTTTAAATTGCTTTGTATTTCAGGACTAACTAGTATTTTTTCACATGGGCTAAGAGGCCCTAGAATCCACACTTGAAAAACCTTGCCTCTGAGAGAATCAAGAATGCAAGAATAGAGTCTTCTCCTACAAAAATCTCAAATACTCATATACTCAACACCAGAGAGGACACAGGGATATTGCATTCCATGGATGGATTAAACACTAATATATATTTGGATGGTTTGCTTGCTTGCAATTACTATCTTTTCTCTGTTGTGTTTATGTGTTCATGGAAGTGAATAATTTTTAATTTAAATGTATCTTGCTTACCATATGTATTTCTGAAAGTGGTCTACATATCAAATTGTGAAAAACTGATTATTTTTTCCATTGAATTATAAAATAATGACTAGAGGACACGGGGTTCAATCAGCTGAGGATCCTGGGGCATCACCTCATGTCTACTCTAGATTGGAAATCTTTGTGTCTCTCTCTGGGCAATCTGACCTCAAGATGGAACAGATCCAGGCATATCTCTCTAGCACATCAGACTTCCACTTCCTCTAGATAGGGAAAGTTAGCTCACACCATGCTACGGTCTCGTGACTTGGAGGGTCTGCTCCTCTATCACCTACCTTCTTTCCACCAGCCCCTAGTCACTGGCGTGCTTCATACTCAGTCTTGAAATCCCCAGAAGACCCCATTACTATTCGTGATCCATCTGGCTAAATGCCTTAGCCCACAGTGTGTTCTGGTATGTGGCATTTTCCTCTCTATAGTCCTCAAGTCAATGCTAATCTTAGATCACTCCCCAACTTCACCCCCAAGATGATATGCTTATGTTTTAAGCACAGCTGTTCCAACATGATTTTCTCTTCCCACCCTAAATGTGACAAGACATTGAGGCTTCATTCCCTGAATGCCACTGAACAAAGCCAACAGAGCTCTATGACCTTTGGTCTACCTCTTATGAACCGTTTTATTTCTAAGAATTGGTATTTCCTCCTCTATGAACCTGATGAGCTCCTTCTACCTTCTTCCCACCAAAGCCAAGACTGCTGGCAGTGGTGCATTCCTGTCCAAAAGGCGAGTCTCAGACGGAAATGTAGAAGTGTGATGCTTTGAAATACGGCACAAAACAACTCCCTCTTGAGAACCAAGGACATTAGACATAAGGACAATGTTTTATTTTAAAGCCACAAAACAGGGAGCCTCTAATTTAAGATTTTTGGGTCACTCGAAAGTCTTTTCACACTGAGCTCAAGTGTCCTTTCCTCTGAAACCTCTTCTGGTTCTCCACCCTGCATCCCCTCCTCCATGCTATAGGCTTCTGGACAGTACCATCACATCTAACTGCCTGCTTTCCTTTTTCTGCCTGCCCCTAACTGGGCTATGGGTACAGGGCAGAAACAGTCTTATTCATCTCTGTATCAACCTAACAACACATCTGGCATACAGTCAGTGCTCAATATATGTCTTGCAGGAATAGAAAGAAGTCTTAATGCATCTTAAACTTTTTATCAAAGCCTATGCCACAATAAGAAAAGGGTCTGCCTATATGAGGGCGGCCTGCAGGTTTCTGTGGTGAGACAGAGAACCGGTTGTCTACTAGGGTCTGGATGGAATCAATGGCTTGGTTTTTTTTGTGGTTCTCATCTATCCCTAACCTTGAGTGAAGATAGCAACCACCTCAGTCCATCACAGGCAGGGCTTGGCCTTGTTTCAAAGCTGTTTGACCATCTCAGAACCCTCAGCCCTTCAGGCTTCCTATCAATTCTGTTGTTCTAAATTAGAGCCATGACTTGAACCTGACTTACCCAGTGGGTGAGAAAAACAGGCTTGCTAAGGTGGTACCTAGAAGCTATGAGGCTGGGTTAGCATTCCACAGCAACGATGCTCACCTGTGTCCCCTCCTATGAGGGCTGCCTGCTGTGCAGTTCTGGTTTCTGTGAGACCTCAACCTGCAATAATCCTTAGAGAGTGACACTATGTCCACAACCAGTCCCACAGTGCCAGTTCCTGGGAGGCCAAGTGGCTTGTTGAATAGGAAACCAGCACTGAGTTTTTTAAAGATGTGGGACATTTACTTAGTAGTCTCTGGCTAGCCCCAACATGCGCATGAAAAAATTAGAGGCTCCCATTAGAATGAAACTACTGGTGTGGAACATTTCCAGGCGTAGGAAATCTAGATGTTGGAACAGTCATGGAAAGTGGAAGAAGTGGGCTGGTGATCTTTAACAGGCCAGGGCAGGCCCAGTGCTGGGAGGGAGGACTGGGGAGCAGAAGGTTAACACCAGGCTGGAGTGCAGTGGCTCACTGCAACCTCCACCTCCTGGGTTCAAGCGATTCTCCTACCTCAGGCTCCCGAGTAGCTGGGACTACAAGCGCACGACACCACGTCCAGCTAATTTTTGTATATTCAGTACAGACGGGTTTTCACCATGCTGGGCAGGCTAGCCTGGAACTCCTGACTTCAGGTAATCCGCCCGCCTCGGCCCTCCAAAGTGCTAGAATTACAGGCATGAAGCTCCGCGCCCGGCCACCACTATTTCTTAAAAGGTGAGGGTTTAAGAGATTACAGTGGGGGAGTGGATCCATCCGAGTGCTTCAGAAAGTACAAAAAGAAAAGGAAGCCGGGTCACGTGGAGTCCTTACTCTTCTCAATCCCTCAAGAATTTCCCAGAAGGATGGACTTTCCTAAGAGGCTGCGGTGTGCTGCAGGCCCAGTCCTGGTCCAGCCCTGTCGCTGGGCTAGAACCAGAGTTGGTGGGGAAGTTCCATTCCCGGGGAGCGAGGCTCCTTTATTCCCACCTGGCTGAGTGGGGGCTTTCTACATTCCTCGGGTCCCGGGAGGCCTGGCCTCTGACACCGCCGGCTGCGTCTGGGTAGCAAGACCCCTTGGTGCCTGCGGTTCTTGACCCCTCTCTGGCAGCACAAGGTCAAAGGTGTGGGGAGGGGCGGGAGGCGCAGCTGCGGGGTCCCTGGAGTTCCCTGGCGGGGCCTGGTAGCGGAAGACCTTTCCCTCTGAGGCGCCCCTCTGTTCTCTGGGGGCGGCCACACTGTGGGGTCGGGCAGGTCGCACCCTTCCCCCAGCTGAAGAGCAGCGCTCAGAAGAGCCCTTCCCCCACCGCAGCGGCTCCTGGGTGGGAAAGAAACAAAGGCCGGCTTCGCGGCCGCTCGGAGCCGGGAGCATGCGCGGTGAGCCCCCTCCCCTGCTGCTGCGGGGTTCCCGCGCCCCAACCCCTGCCCCGGACCTCAGGTCGCTGGCCCCTCCTGCCCCGGACGTCCGCTTTCTCGCCACCAGGCCTCCGCTCATTTGGGCCTGCCGCCTCCTCATCTTCTGCAGCCCAACCCTCAGCCTCCTCCATGCATTCCCAGCAATGCCTCTCAGAAGTAGTTGTCCCTTCCTCTGTGTTCCCTGGGTTTTGAGGGTTTTTTTTTTCCATTTAGTTTATTCTACCTTGGTTTTTAGCCATCTCTGAGGATGGCAGTACATCCTAGTGGGCCCTGGAGGCGGAAGAACTGGGTTCAAACCCTGCCCCCTGCCACTTGGAGCCATATAACCTTAGGCAAGTTACTAGATCCTCCTCTAAACTACTGTTTATTTGTCTGTAAAATGGGGCTAATAGAATCATTCTCCCTACCTCCTGAAGATGTGTGAGATGGAATGAAATGATGCTTAGAAAGCATTTGGCACAGTTCCTATCACATGGTTAGCACTCAGCAAATGTTGCCGGTTAGGATTTAACCCATGTTTTCACCCTTTCCTCAACACGCCCCTTCTGGCTGGCTGGCTGAATTCGAAAGACTGAGCAAATTCCAGAGTAAACAAGATGGCACCATCGGAACAAGAGGAAGGAGAATATGTCCAAGGGCCAGGTAAACATGCTCTCTAACAGGTCCCATGACTGGAGATGCTCAGGATCAGAGGAACAAAATGGAACGTGCCAGACTCCGTGGGAGGTGTCACCTGACAGAGGAGCTGACCGGACAAGCCTTCATCTTTAGTGAACAAAATCTAATCCTTGGCACAGCCACTTGTAATTTCTGGGGTGACAGAAAGGTCGAGTGAGCACGACCACAGTGAGTGGGTCACAAGAAGTGTCTCTGATCTCAGGTTACCTGTGATCAAGTACCTGTAAGCAGCTAGGAATAGTGATTGGGAACCAGAAGGCCAAATGTAAGAGGCACTCAGCACTAGAGATGCTCAGAAAATGCTGTTCCATGTCTAGAAGATGATGGATAAGTTAGTCAACTGCTGGAGTTTTCCTGGGAGCAAACACCATAAAATACAATTTGTGGAAGCATTACTGATGAGATATGATGCTGGCATATATAGCATCAGGAACCATTTACCCTAAGACCTAAGCAATGAAAGAAATGTTTAATAGTAACTATGAGCATCTATTGGTACGTGATAGCTTTTAAACTTGGACTTCTTTTAGTTCAAAATCATTTATATAGTGATAATGTAAATGATTTGACTCATTTTATGACATGAACAGAAGGATTTTCTAATAATTTTTACAATGAACATAGAGATTCCAGGCAAGTTTAGACAAAAAGACATGACACTGTTCTTGCCTTAAGTTCATACTTTAGTAGAGGGAACAAACATAACTTTGTAAGTTCCAATATCCTGTTTTAATCTATACCAAAGCTTAAAAGTTGAACCCTAAATCTGCCTGCAGATTTTGCTTGACTGTTACAGAGGTTTGTAAAATCTAAAGTGGAATATCTTTATTGGGGTATGAATGGTCCAGTTCAGTACAACCCCCACCACTCCCTAACACCTTCTTTACACAATGGCACTGCCTCCTGGATTCTGAAAGCTTTTGAGTTGGCAAGCAGGATCTGTACTTTTCTTTCTAAGTATGCTTATGCCTTTGGCCAAAAGCAACACAATTTGGACCCAATAAACTGCAATCCAAAGACGTGCTCTGAAGGACATGTAATGCCATAAACTGTTATGGGCAGCTTTTGAGAGCCAAGCATTGTGATAGGTTCTAGGGATACAAAGATGAATGAGTAAGGATCCCTGTTCTATAAGCACTTAAGATACTTAAATGACAAAGGCACCAAATGAAAGCGAGGAATATTGAAAAGAGGATGTTATGTGATAAGGATATGGCTACAGAATTTAAAGTTTGCTGATTCTAGACAAAAAGTAAATTCTTTAGAAAGAAATATTCCTAGAACAGAGAAGAAGAATCACTGACAATGATTGTTTTAAACATATGCCAGAACCTGCTATAAGCATTTTTCATGGATTATGCTCAGAATGGGATATCCCCATTTTACAGATGAGGAAATAGAGGCACGGAGAGATTAATTACCTAACCCAAGGTCATATAACAGCTGGTAGACAGCAGAGCCACACTTGGAACCAGGCACTCTGGCCACCAATGCTCACACTCTTAGCCACTATTCTATGCTGTATCCTAGAATAACCTATCGCTAGGCTATATTGACTTCTTGCAAATACCATTTAGGAACCAAATATTTTCTTTTCAAGATAAATCAAGTCAATTCTTATGTGATATATAGTGTCCTGAGAGAAATTACTTTGTCCAAGAATAAAAGCATAACATCATAAGTGACAGGTCTAGTTTTTAAGCTAATAGAAATTAATATATGTGGTATTTTTGTTTATAAATCAGTCTGAGTTTATACTGTGTGAATCATTTTCCCAAATTCCAGTCACTCTTGCACTGTGCTGAGAAAAATCAAGCCTCCTCAGGTGATGTGTATGCACATCAAAGTTTGAAAAGCATTAGCTATAAGGTAGAAATAAGACATTTGCCTTTCAGCAGCGCCTGCCACCAATCAGCCAAAAGAAAAAAAAAAAGTCTTTTTGAACACATACATTTTTATTCTTTCATAAACTTCATATACATGCCACTATATTATCATATTTAATATGCAATAAGATACACATAAAATATACATTTTAATTTTTTAAAAACAGATTGAAGTAGATATTTCATTGCCCCCAGTGGATCATCTGGCACACTTCCTAAGATGCCTATATTCCCCTTTTTGGAATCTACATACCTTACATCAAGGATCTTATCTAAGAGCTAGACCATCTATCTTAGATGGGTATCTTCCAATCATCGAAGACTTCCCAGAACCCAAATCAAGAATAATTTCTACAGTTAAAGAAAATACTGTGTATTGTTACTTTGTCAATGAAGCCCACCAGAATGCATCTAAGAGCAGGGGTTTTGGGAAATCTACATCCAGGTGATGTTTTTAAATAGTTCAAGACCATTCTTCTATGTCTTAATTTACAAACATTCTCTAATAAGCATGAACTATACTTGGTTGCTTCACCTCCCGTGGCTGGGCATGTGGAAGAAACTGAAAAAATACTTGTTAACTGCATGACTGTCTTCCAGCCAAAGTGATGATCTTTGTCATCTGGTTTCATGCAAAACATGCAGATTTTCCCCTTTACCATACTCTTCTTCCCTAAGAGTGAGACTATCCCAGAGGCAGCATGTTGAGCAGAGCCATCTCTTTTTATCTAGCATTCTATTGGGCAGAACATGAATTTAGCTACCTGTAACATATAATTCAGAGATTCAAGAGTTTTGCAAAAATGACTTGTCTTTGGAGCCTTGAGCCGCCCTGTCACAAGTTCAACAACCTTGTGGCTGCCTTGCTGAACTGAAGCCCTGGCCACATGGAAAGGCCACATAGAAGTGTTCAGGCTGACAGCCAGCATCAGCCACCGGACATGTGAGTGAAGTCACCTCTAGATGATTCCAGCCCCCATCTGTCAAGTCACCCCAGCTGACAAGTCTTTCCACAGAACAGAGAAAAGCTATCCCACTGTGCCTGTTGGAATTCTTAACCCACAAAATCCATGAGCATCATCAATTGGCTGTTTTATGCCACTAAACTTTGGGGTGGTTTTTATACTGCAATAGTAAAAGTCTCTGTGAGATTCTGAAGTGCTCTCTGAATTATTATAGAAAGACAACATTATGTTTAGTGTTAAATGGCCTTATTTATTTTCAAACTCAGGGTAACCAGGCAGTCATTGATTATTAAAATATACAGGGGACTCTAACAACAAGATTTATTAAACCCCATCATCATTTCCTTTGTGTACCAGCAAACAGCCAATTACTACATGTGCAGAATAATGGTGGCAATTGTCACTTTGCTGTCCCCTGCGAAGCAACTCTTTAGTTCTGTCTCCTCTCTCAGAAATGAATTGCTCCTTCTCCTCCTCTAGCTCTTCCCCTTCTTCTCCCTATTGCTCAGGCTGGGAACTCAGGACTCATTTTTAGATGCTCTCTCTTCCTTGCCCCTCACATTGAATCCATCATCAAATCCTGAGTGGTCTACCTTCATGACACACTTGGAAGCAATCTGCAGCTCTCCCCATGTAGAGGTTAGAAGTACCGTAATCCATGTGAGTGGCGCCCCCTAGAGCTCATGAGTACATGGCGTCATGGCCACTGCAAACACCCTACTTCAGGCACATCATTTCTGCCCTGACCCCAACTATGGTCTTCCTGCTGCTCTCACAGCTTCTACTCTCCCTGTCACAATCTGTAATTCACACAACACCCAGAGTGACTTTCCAAAATATTCTCCAGAACATTGTGCACCTAAGTGGAATCCAAACTCCTCGCTCAGCTCTGATGACCGGCCCCTTTCTTGTCTCCTCTCCAACTTCCTTTTCTACCACCTTCCCCCTCCTTCACTCTCCTTCAGCCACACTGGCCTTAATTTTCTTCTGGGAAGTTGCACTCTCTCCCCTAACCCTCCTTGGGGCCTTTGCTCCTGTCTTTATCCAGCCTGAAACATTCCCCCCAATCTTCTCATGGCCCCCAATTTCTCATGGCCAGTCTCAGCTTAAATGTCACTGCCACCTCAAGAGACCTTTCCTAACTACCTTTTGTTAGTATCATAGCACACTTGGCTTTCTTCATAGCAGTCTTCTCAGTTTATAAGTACCTATTCATTCATTTCCTTTACCTGTTTACTTCCTTTCTCTCCAATACACTGTAAACTCCTGATGCAAGGACCAGGCCTGTGTCCACCACTAATACAACCCCAGCACCTGTCATGGTGCCTGACACATAGCAGATTCTGTCAGTATATGTTGAGTGAATAAATTTACTTGCATACTATGTAGCAGTGGATTGTGATACCCTACTCCACTCCCACCTCCAGAACATCTGTTTTCCTCCCAGTTGACCACGGACCAATGGTTCTCAAAGTGCAGTCCCCAACCAGCAGCATCAGCATCACCGGAACTTACTAGAAATGCAGATTCTCAGGCCCCACCCTGGACCTCCCAAATCAGAAGCTCTGAGGGTAAAGCCCATCAATCTGTATTTTAACAAGCCTTCCAGGATTCTGATACACACTCAAGTTAGAGAACCACTGCCACAGACTATTCCAGAGACTCTAATTCTAGAGCAGTATGTCTCGAGGTATATTCCACTGGCTCTGAGGGATCATCCCAGCTGTTAAAAATTTTTTAAAAAAAAGAGGGAGGAGGCCAGGTACGTGGTTCATGCCTGTAATCCAAGCACTTTGGCAGGCCATGGCTGATGGATCTCTTGAGTCCAGGAGTTCAAGACTAGCCTGGGCAACATGGCAAAACCCCATCTCTACAAAAAATACAAAAATTAGCTGGGCATGGTGGTGTGTGCCTGTAGTCCCAGCTACCTGGGGGGCTGAGGTGAGAGGTTTGTAGGAACCGAGGAAGTTGAGGCTGCAGTGAGCCATGATTATTCCACTGCACTCCAGCCTGGGCGATAGAACAAGACCCTGTTTCCAAAAAAAAAAAAAAAAAAAAAAAACTGGGAGGCATTCAAAGCCAAATGACATTGAGAAACACGGTGTTCAAGAAAGTTAAACAGATTCCCTTATGGCAGGAATTCTCAGAACCTTTAATATGACAGTTACCTTGTAAATCACTAAAATACAAGGAAATTTGTGGTAGAAGTGCTTCCCAAGTTTACTTGGCCACAAAACTCCCTTTCTTTCCCTCCTAAACACTTGTCAGACTTGTTCTGGACTCTGAGAAACACACTTTGGAAAATGCTGTCATAATGTAGTCTTCCCTAGAGAAAATCTTTCTAACACCATTCCAATTCATTGTGCCTAGAGCAATATTAATAATGACTGAGTCACTGGCAGCAACTTCTTTAAGCTTTGTGCATCTTTATCTTTCTTAGACTTGAAAATAAATGCTTAATGCTAAACACATTTTCATATGTCTTTTTAATATCAGTAAAAAGATCAGATTTTTGTTAAAGTCTGAAATGTTCATGAAGGCAAATATGGAAGGGTAGAAACTGGTGGCAATTTCAAGTTGAATTAAAATGAGATGCAGAGTTTAGAGTCTCTTTCCTGTATTAGAGTAGGCAGCAGTGAGATTCTCTATTTAAATTGTGAAAGTTTCTTTAATGAGCATCAGAGAAGCGGCTTCATGTTTGGGGCACTGGAAGAGCCTTAGTTTTCTCCCCTAGTTGATGGGGCCGGGGGTGGTGGAGATTCCCTGATGATGGAGTGGCAAACTGTGCAGGTAAATTATTGGTCCCAGCTGACAATCAGTACTTGAGAAGGCTGAGGCAGCTTAGAAATAGGAAGTTAAAATATTCATGCCAAGCATCCAGCGTTTGTTTAATCAGGGCTAATGATTAGTTTCTTAATGAAATTTTACAAGCTCAGTTGAACACAGAAAACATTTGCTTCTCTAAAAGCAAACAGGTCTGTTTCTATTATAATCAGACATCTGAACCACAGAAGACCCCCAGCCCTTAGGAGTACAGAGGTGAATCTGTTCAGGAACTTCCGAGTTTTCTTTGAAGATGATAGTGGCCAAAGAGTGATGGGAGAAGGAAGCTGGCGATCAACAAGATTTGAAACTGCAGGATCTAATGCCACAGACCCTGACATAAACTTTGGGCAGTTGTGCTAAACACAGCAGCTCTCAAGTAGAGGGACAGATGATCAAAGGAGCTAATATAGTCAGTGGTTATGCTAGAATGTCTGTTTGGGAGGGCTTTGGAGTGACAGTCTAACTGGAACTACTTTTACATTTCTGGCAGGCTGTTCTTACTTAGGTTATATGAGAAAATTAAATAAAATGAAATTTAAAATTCAGTGAAACAGGAGAAGGAAGGATGATTAGGGAGAACAAAAGGGATTTTTAGATCAGTGAAACTATTCTGTATGATATTATAATGGTGGATGTAAGATATGCACTTGTCAAAACCCACAGACTGTACAACACCAAGACAGAATTCTCATGTAAACTATGGACTTTGGGTGATCGTCAAGTGTCGGTTTGTCATGATGATGTTCATCGATTGTAACAAATGTGCCACTCTTGGGTGGGATGTTAATAGCGGGAGGAAGCCAACCATGTGTAGGGGCAGGTGGTATAGGGGAAGTCTCTTAACTCTGCTTAATTTTGCTGTGAACCTAAAACTGCTATAAAAACTTTAAGCCTTCTTTTAGAAATTCAATTAAAAGGTTTCAAAAGATGTTTTAAGTCATATTTAGTATAAGATGGAGAAAACAATTGCCTAAGTCAAAAATTACTCCCATTATTATTACCATGTCCGTTATTTTTCTTCTTTTTTTTTTTTTTTTTTGAGATAATGTCTCACTCTTGTCTCCCAGGCTGGAGTGCAGTGGCATGATCTTGGCTCACTGCAACCTCCACCTCCCAGCGTCAAGTAATTCTCCTGCCTCAGCCTTCCAAATAGCTGGGATTACAGGTGCCCACCACCACACTCGACTAACTTTTGCATTTTTAGTAGAGAGGGGGGCTTCACCATATTGGCCAGGCTGGTCTAGAACTCCTGACCTCAAGTGATCCACCCAACTTGGCCTCCCAAAGTGTTGGGATTACAGGTGTGAGCCACCACGCCCGGCCCCATTATTATTCTTAATAGCTTGAAGAAAGTGGTTGATAAAGGTGGTAGGTAAGCTGAAAAGCTCTCCCGCCACCACCAAATCCCCCTACCCATGTACTTCCTGACACTGTTGAGTGTAGGAGTCTAGTGCTGTAAGAGCCCTGGCTACACCAGGAACGTGCAGTGATGGAACATTTCTACCTCTATTGCAGTACTGACGTTTCCTCTGTGATCTTGGCTTACATGTCTGTCTCACTCACCTGATTGTATGATCCAGCAGGGCAGGAACCCTGTCCTATTCATCTTATTTTGTTTGTTTGAGACAGAATCTCACTCTGTCGCCCAGGCTGGGGTGCAGTCACAACCTCCATCTCCCAAGGTCAAGCAATTCTTATGCCTCAGCCTCCCAAGTAACTGGGGTTACAGGTGCCCACGACCACACCCAGCTAATTTTTTGTATTTTTAGTAGAGACAGGGTTTCACCATGTTGCTTAGGCTGGTTTCACACTCCTCAGCTCAAGTGATCCGCCCACCTTGGCCTCCCAAACTGTTGGGATTACAGGCTTGAGCCACCACACCTGACCAACTGTCCTATTCATCTTATAGTCCCAACCCCTAGCACAGCACCAGGAACACGGTAGATGCTCAATAACTGTCTGCTGATTGAATAGAAGTGAAACAGCCAAGGTTAAATAGATAATTTAGCTGTCTGCCCTATATGTTTTAAAATTGTTTTTCCATACTCAAGTTTAATAAAGTTTGAGGAAATATGCTAACCAAATTTATTAGTTTGCATTAAAAAGACCTGTTTTGAAATTGTTAAATGGCTAAAGTCTGACTGTATCTTTAGAAACAAGATATTCATAGTACAGCCCCAACAATTTCTATAAGCAAAATGCAAAACAGGATCAATCATGTGATCTTTCTAGAAAAGTTTCACACTGAGCCCTAGACTACTAAGTCATTATTCAAAATTATGGGTGGTAAAATCTTCCTTAACTTTTTCAGTGACACCTACAATTATATCACAAAATATTCAAAACCCTTTCTAAATAAAACTTTGTCCTCTAGCAAGTATTCTTTTAATAGGAAGCTCACAAAGAGGATATTTAAATGTGTCCTAAAGAAAACCCAGGCACTGCAGTAATTCTGTACCTATATTTGAAGTCGAGTTGTCATGTTATAGCAAAAACAGACTTCCCTGACATTTAGAATCTTGTCAAAAGCCAAGTTCTGAATATTACTTTAGGGCACCTTGACACATTTGTTCTCTAGTTTCCCTGCTTGAGAGAAAAACTATCAAGGTTTTCTAATATGGGAGACCTATATATTGAAATGTATCATTTCTGAGGGAAATCTATTTTTAAGGTACCGAGAACAAAGTCAAAAGTCCTTGAAAAAGAGATTTTTATAATTAAATGGATTCAATGGTGCCAAGTAAAATTCATTCCCTAAAAATACAACTTACAGCCCGGGTGTGGTGGCTCACACCTGTAATCCAAACACTTTGGGAAGCCGAGGTGGGTGGATCACCTGAGGTCAGGAGTTCAAGACCAGCCTGGCCAACATGGTGAAACCCCATCTCTACTAACAATACAAAAATTAGCCGGGCATGGTAGCACATGTCTGTAATCTCAGCTACTCGGGAGGCTGAGGCAGGAGAATCACTTGAACTCAGGAGGCAGAGGTTGCAGTGAGCTGAGATTGCGCTACTGCACTCCAGCCTGGGTGACAGAGTGAGACTTAGTCTCAAAAATAAATAAATAAATAAACAAACAAACAACTTACAATGGTGTTATTTTTACAAACAGTACAGTCCTTATGAAAATTCTTACATGGTTCTCTTGCTATCCCATTTTTCTAAGGTATATGACTTAATAAGTTTTTAAATTTTTTTAATGGTGGTAAAATACACATAACATAAAATTTACCATCTTAATCATTTTTTCTAACTCATGTTTATTATTTGTACAATCGTTAGCACAGGTCAGAATCAGAGAGCCTAGGACAAAAGGAGGTTGATAGAGCCATGATTAAAAAGCTGTAACTAAGAATGGATCCACTGTGATAAAAGCCTACAAGGAATATCATAGGAATATGAAATATATGAAGTAAATGCTCATGTATCCACATAGATGAATCTGGAACATATAATGTTGAGTGAGAAAAAGCAAGTTACAGACCATACAAACTGTTCACATATGTAACGTTTTTAAAGATACACAACACTGTTTATTGTTCTAGCATTTATGTATATATGTGCACATAAAGGTATTGATAAAATTAGAGTATATAAAGACAAGGATAAAACTTCAGGACAGTGGTTCCCCCTGGGGAGAGAGGCGGGGAGGGAGGTGATGTGTCAGGGAGATTAAAAGAGGCTTCAGCTCTGTTCATGCGTTCCTAGCCAGTGCTGGCACCACTGTAGGTGCAGGTGACTCAACCATAAGCAAAGCCATGATGAGCTCATGGAGCTGAACAGTTAGTGGAGAAAGACAGAAGACAAACAAATAAATTCACTACATATGTCAGGTGGTGAGAAGTGCTAGGAAGGAGAAGTTAGAGGTTGATTAAGGGTTGCTATTTTACATGGGAAGATCAGGGGAGGTGTCCCAGATAAGGAGGCATTCATGCAAAAACATGAATGACACAAGGGTGTGAGTCTATGTTTACATATGGAACAAACCTTTAAGTCTATAAAATTTTATGATGGTTCTTTTAAAGTAAATATGGCAAAGTGTTAACATTTATTCTTAGTGGTGGGCTCTTGTTGTTTTTTGAAAGTTTGAAAATTTTCATAATAAAAAAAGATTTTTTTAAACGCACTGTCTATTACTGAAAGATGAGGAGGCAGGATGTCAGACATCTCTGGATCTTTTCCAAATGAAATATCTTGAGCCTGTGACTGGAGGTCCTATTTCTTTAAGTGTTCTTACATATTGGGACTTCCTGAGAAAAGCCGGTAATGGGCAATACTTCCCAACCATTAGGTTATGCATGCTTGTTTGCCTATCTGTCCATCTTTGCTTCCCAAATAAAACGCATGCCTGCTCAAACATGGAGTGTCCCCTGCTTGAAAGAGACAAGGTCAGAAGATGAAGAGTCAATCCTGCATGTGTGTTTTCAGTAGGAGAAAAGGCATATATGAAAAGCAAGTGAGGATGCAAGGTATAAATCAACATGAAGCACTGATGACAAAAGACAGATGCTGGAGGGAAAAACACACAGTGTCGGTACCACTGAGCTGAAGAGCCACCATTTAGTATGTACTAGTGTCACCCTTCTCCCTCCCTCCCCCAAAGAAAGGGACATGGTATCATGTTCTGTTCCCAGGTGCTCAAAGCAGAAAAAAGTTGCAGCAATGTGATTCCTTCAATGCTTTTTGGAGTTAACATAAATTGACCAAGAAAGTACACAATGAAGTATTCAGGGTGTCAGCTCTAGTGCTACATCTGTAAGAAGTATTTTAAAAATATTTGGTGAATGAATGAATGTAACTGAGGTTATTCATGACAGTATTACATAAATGATACATATTTCTGTACTCAGAGCATTTCCTAGGTCACAAAAGGCTATTACATACCATGGCAGAGACTGCTGTTTTACCCCAACATCTCTCTTGCTTTCATAATAGGAACCCTGATTTTTAGGTTCCTAAAAGTACATCACCACCTAATGCAGTTCCGGACAATATATAAGCAATTGTGTCCTTAGTGGAAGTGTCCTTAAAGAGGGAGGGCATACCCTTCTTCTGCCTTCTTCCTTCCCACTAGTTGGAATTTGGATGTGATGGCTGGGGCTCAAGTGGCCATTTTGAGCAAGGAGATAGAAGCCATCTACCAAGGATGGCAGCACAAAAGGAAACAAAGATTGGACTGTGACACCATGGAGTGTCATGCTAGTCCTGGACAGCCTATCTCTGGACTTGCACATGGGAAATAAATAAACTTCTATCTTATTCAAAACTTCGAAATTTTAGTAAACTACATGTCTACTTTACTGAAAACTACGGTTTTGCTGTTTTTGTTGTTTCTCTGTTGAATGCAGCCAAATCTTACCCTAACTGATATACATACATCATCTCATCTCCCTAACCACACCTTATAAAGTTTATTATGATGCCCACATTATAGAACTGAGGCCAGAGGAGGTTAATTGGCTTGCTCAAGGACCCATAGAACCCAAGACTTCTATCTTCAAGCCAAGCCCAGTGCTCTCTATACTCATAGTTGTATTTTGGTGTGACTGATATGGATTATTTACCAATAAATGAAATATATTAAGTGAGGACATAGCAGCTTGGCTGTAAAGGAATTATATCAGCAACTCTGGACATGAGCTTGTAGGAGTAGGGAAAACCAGAAAGAGGTTTAGAAAGGGGAACTGAGAGATTAGGAAAAGACAGCCTGTGTTACATGCAGAAAGACTTTAGAAAGTACAAAGTGAGAAACCCATTTATACTATCCTACACTGCCAGAAATAGCCTTCTGAGCAGACAGTTGGCAAGTGACCCGGGTATAACCAGCTATGCAACCTCCTGGTAAAAAATCTTACCTACCTCTCCAACCCCCTAGGCTTCTTACCCTAACTGAATACCATATACACATTTCAGGTCTTTTAAAGTCAGTGTTTCAAGGGTATAATAATAATAATAATAATACATCTACAAACTTACAGTTGGAAGGCCCTCTGGCTGTCATAATCATATAGTTATTTAACATTTGAAACCTAAAGCAATAGGTCCTTGGTAAAAATCAGGGCCGGCACAATTAGTTGATCTAAAATATACTTTATATCCTTTTCATTTAAACATGTCTTTTAAGAATAATCTGGGTATGTGGTTACCTCTGCCCATTCACTTTTGAAACGTAAGAGTTATTACTTTTCCAAAAAGCTTCTTAAAATTTTTCTGATTACGTTTTTTCATTGTAAAAGAAATTGGAAAGTAAAAGGTATCTGAAAAGTTTTAATTGATTTTTAGCTTGAGCAAAACTAATAATCCATTTTCCATAATTTATTATATAAAATGTGATGATGGTAGAAGAAAGAAAAGAATTCTACTAAGATGGCAACAGGTCCCACCAACACCACTTCCTCAGGGTCCAGCTAATCCCATGAGAAGAGCCCTTGCAATATGTAAAAGATGGGAGCGCCATTATGCTTGTCACCGTGAGTAGTAAGTACCACGCCACTGAAATGTGCTCTACACTTATTCAAACTGACAAATACAATGAACACATTTTAAAAGTCAAATCTTTATAGTAAAGCAATTTGGGAAGCTAGTTTGCTTTCTCGTGAGTTTGTGTGTGTGTTTGTGTGTGTGTGTGTATATATTTATATAAATTTTTTACCATTTCTAAATATAATACATGGTCAGTGTAAAAAAACTTTAATAATACATAAAGAAATAAAGAAAAAGGCAAAAATCCCACCACCAAGATTCAGCTATAATTAATGTTTTGGAGAATATTCTTCTAGATTTCTTCTTCTATACCCACAAATACACATGATATCTGCTGTTTAACAACTGTTTCACTCAAAAATATATCTTGAAGAGCTTACCTTTCAATATGTAATAAATACATATGCAGATAAATACAAAGCACACTTTTTAAAGATAACATGATACAACCTCATGTGGATGTTCTGCAATAAATTTAAGAAATAACCTATTGGTTGTTTGCAATTTCTGGTTATTATAAACCAGATAGCAACAAACATCTTTTTGTATATATAGTTAACCAATTATTTCTCTTAGGGTGAATCCCCCACAGTTAGAATGTTGATGCATACTGCCAAACTGCCCTCCAAAGGGTAGTACAAATTACTCTCCCCAAAAAGGCATCAGAGTGGTTGGGATTTGATTTTCATCTTTGCCAACTGGAGGGTCAAGAATGACACCACGCTGAGCACAGTGGCTCACACCTATAATTCCAGCACTTTCTTTGGGAGGCCAAAACAGGAGGATAACTTGAGGCCAGAAGTTTGAGACGAGCCTGGGCAACACAGCGAGAACTTGTCTCTACAAAAAGTTAAAAAATTAGCAGGGCATGGTGGCACACTCCTGTAGTCCCAGCTACTTGGGAAGCTGAGGCAGGAGGACTGCTTGAGACCAGGAGTTCAAGGCTGCAGTGAGCTATGGTCATGCCACTGCACTCCAGCCTGGGAAACAGAGTGAAACCCTGTCTCTAAAAAAAAAAAATTTTAACTAAAAAAAAAGAATGACAGTATATCATTGTTTTATTTGAATCCTTAGATGCCATGTGAGGTTGAGAAAAAGATAAATAACCAAATAAAGAAATGGGCAAAGGACATGCAGAGGCCACTCACCAAAGAAAAAATGCAAATAGCCAAAAAATATATTAGATGTTTACTTGATTGACAAAGGTAACCACCTTTTCCATTATTTTTATCTTTTCTATTATGCTTAGAAAGTCCTTCCCCATACCAAGATTGCAGAAATATTTTCCCCTTTTTGTATTCCGCTGTTTTCATCTTTTTATTTTCTACATCTTGAATTTACCTTGGTATAAGAAATTAGGTAAGGATTCAGCTTTACATATTTACATCTATCTAGCAGTTGTCTCAATGCCATTTATTAAATAATCCATTCCAGCCCCAGTGATTTAAAATGCTTCCTTTGGCTGAGTGCAGTGGCTCACGCCTGTAATCCCAAAACTTTGGGAGGCTGAGGCAGGAGGATCACTTGAGCCCAGGAGTTTGAGGCTGCAGTGAGCTATAACCACACCACCGCACTCCAATCTGAGTGACAGAGAGAGACCCTGACTCTTAAAAAAAAAATGCATCCTTTATCCTATACCAAATGTCCATATATAGTTGCTTCTAATCCTGGACTTTCTAGTCTGTTCTACTACTTTGTCT
Organism: Homo sapiens; assembly: GCF_000001405.40. NCBI lineage: Eukaryota > Metazoa > Chordata > Mammalia > Primates > Hominidae > Homo > Homo sapiens. The sequence goes on from NC_000002.12 coordinate 197,179,164, forward strand.
ATTCCTGTGCCATTAACATACTGTTTTGATTGCTATCGTTTTGTAATTTGTTTTAATATATTTTATGAAACCCTCCCCTCATCAGTTTTCTTTTTCAAGAGTTTCCTAGCTAGTCTCACATGTTTATTCTTCTAGATAAAGTTTAGAATTATTTTGTCAAGTTTCCCCACTCAACTCCTACCACCAAATCGCCCTGAATTTATACATTAATTTCAAACAATTACCATCTTAAGTATTGTCTTCTTTCTACCTAATAATGTGCCTTATTTATTCACAATTACATCCTCTGTCCAAATGCGTATCTAATATGAAGAAAGGGCCATATCCTTTATGTTTACATGCTCAAACTACTTACAAAGTACATTTTTAATTCTTATATTTTTCTTTGTACTACAAAAATGTCCAGTAATTGCAAAATAATACTAATGCCATACACTTGAAATGTTTCTCCATAGCTCCAAAACATCCATCTCTAGTATGTGAGGGTACAAATCATATACCATTATAAGATTTGTCTCTCTTTTGGAGGCTGGGTGTCTGGCCTCCATGTCCAGTGCTGGAGAGCTCAGGCCTCAAGCTGCTGAGCATCCTCCATAGGATAATTAGTGATGATGCAAACCAGACCTGCCTTTGCACATTTTAAATGGCCGTGAAGCCACATCTTTGAAGCCTGCTCAGTGCTGCCTGGAGTTCATAAATCATTCTTTACAGGGTATAGGTCAGGGCTTCCAAACTACAGCCCCACATCCTGGGCAGGGGTCCAACAAGGGGGGCGTGGATGAGAGTGGATGGGGAGTGTGACAATATTGTCAGGCATGTGCTGAGAGATGGGCACCTACCCTCAAGACAAAAAGCACCATTCTCAGATCTGTGAAAAAACCATCAGCTTTCCTCCACCTCCCCCACCCCGGCCCCTAATCAGCGAGCCAGAAACAGTGTCAACGTTTAAAGTGCAGGCCACTGCTCTTCCCAGAACACTGGGGCCCTTGGCTTCGCAACCATGGCATTTACTTTCCAGATGCATGTGGCCAGAGAAACCTTCATCACTGAATATTTGCTGATCTCATCCACAGTTAGCAAAACGGTGACCTGCAGGCCGGATTTGGCCCACGGATGTGTTTTCTTTGGCCTGCACATTGTTAGGTCATCTTTTGGAACCGACATTTAACAATTTAGAGATTTCCTGTATTTTCTCTTAAAAGTCTGAAAAGCCTGGGCCACACTGCACCTGCATTCCTGCAGGGTGCTTGATGAGAGCTGAGCCATTCATCACTCGTGATCACTGTGCACTTCTATCATTTATGGGACCTGAGTGTGCCACCGCCATTCCCTGCAGCCTCCTTACTCCCAGTGGTTTCTGATTCAGGTCTTGTTTAGAAGGTGCCCAAGTCTCTAAGCCGGCAAAACATCTCAGTCCTTCATCTTCATATCAAATTATTTATTAAAAAGAAAAAAAATCAAGTAGGATATATGTAGGTGAGAAAAATACATAAAAATCTAGAAGTTTAAAAAGCTGGGCTACATAGTTTGTATTTCTAATGTTTAAGAGTCTTAGACATAATATAATCAAGCAGAGAAAAACTTAGAGAAAAACTTAAAGAAGATATTAAATTGATCATCCCAAGTTCTTTGAGTGGAGCCATATTGAGTCCTTCTGGGTGGATTTTTAAAATATACTCTATTTTAAAAGAAATAGTGCAACACTTCAACATACACATACACATGCATACATATTACAAGCTTGCTATTGTAAATGTGCCTTATTTCTTTGAAAAGTCCCCTCATCATATAGTGTCTATTTTTTTTCTCACTTGGCTCTTGAGATTCAATAATTAATCCATCTGAATTAATTCCTGTAGTCAAGAATGGCAGCTGTAATAGGTTTCTCTCTTGTTTACTATACATTCCTTAGCAACATAAGCTTAGCTTGCACCTCCAGATTTATTCCATTGTATTCACAAAGCATCCCATTTTGGAACTGGAGAGAGTAAGCAAAATACACCAATCTACTTGGGTCAAATCCTATTAGAGCAAATAATAAGTGTTAACAGCTTTACAAAAAAAATTTTTTATAAAGTAGATGGATTAAAATGATCAACTTGGGGACAATTCAACTGAAAAAAGGATATTTTTGAAACTACTGAAAACAAAATAAAATGGAGGATGCACTGGATATTAAATGATATTGAGGCATCGTTGTTAATTCTATTTGGTATGATAATGTGTGTTTCTATTAATGATACTTTAAAAAACGAAATAAACATCATGGATTTGCTATCATGTGAGACTCACAACCCTTGGGACTATAATCTTTCACAGTTGTAAGAGACTTTAAACATTACCTCGTCCAGGCATGGAGAGGAAGTTTCAATTTACGTGCACTTCAATTTCATAGTACTATCCTGAGAAGAAATTTTAGTCTCTAAGACTCAAAGGAAAAAAAGTGCCATGAACCATTAGCAATGTTGGCCAGGGTCACAAGATAGGAGAATGGGGCCATATGTGCTACCATATTAGTCACCTTTCAAACTTCCAGTCTAGCGGTCTTTCAGGGAGCTTACTTCTTGCCAATTCGACTCATTGCTTCTCTAGACAGCTCTGTCTATTAAGTTAATTCTTATCTTTTGAGCTAACATCTTATTTTCTATAGCTTACAACCACATGACATAATGACAAGCCTAGTCTAGTTCCGTTTTAATTTGACAGTGTTAACTTAAACTATTTGGGGCCATTCTCTTGTCCTCTCCAAGTGTGAAACATCACCAGTTTCTTCAACCACTCTTCACATAGCATGGTTCCCTCCCCATCATCATCATTCACCACTGACAGGCGTCACTTTGTCTCTGTCCCTGTTCCAGTAGGACACAGTAAAAGTGTCCTCTTGACATCACATTGTCATAACATAATCCTCAAAATGCCTTTATTGAATTCAAATTTTGGTTTATAAAATCTCTGCCTTCCAAATTTTGAAATCAGATGCTATTCTCCATCTTGAGCTCAGTTTGGTTAGTCAGGTGGAGGCTTCTAAAATCTTTCTAGCTATCTGCCAAATCTGCGTCGATTTAAATAGATTTCTCAGAGTGTACAATGATCATCCCATATTTCCAGGCCCTGGTATGCCATTAACCACAGAAACCATAAAAAGACTCAGTGTGCCCCTCCTGACCCTTCAGTGGCTCCTCAATTCAATCTACAGATTTTCAATCTTACAAGGAGAATTTCCAGTCTTACAAATGATACCTGAGGGAAACTAACTAAGCTGGATGCTTCCTCTATTCAACAATTTATCCTCATTGGGAGAAATGAACTATAAGCTACCAAAAACTGGCTCAGCATAAGCAATAAAGTAGGGTTGAGTCATTCAGTCAAATGTGCTGCAAGGACTGGACTAGGCGATTGAGCAGATGACAGTGAATAAGATAGTGACCATGTCATCAAGCATATACAGTTTTCCCTCAGTATATGTGGGACATTGGTTCCAGGACCCCCACATACACTACAATCTGCACATATTCAAGTCCCTGAGTTGGGCCTGCAGATCCCAAATATATGAAAAGTCAGCCCTCCCTGTATGCAGGTTTCAGATCCCACGAATGTTGTATTTTCATCCTGCCTTTGGTTGGAAAAAAATCTGCATATAAGTGACCTGCCAAGTTCAAAGCTGTGTTGTTCAAGGGTCAGCTACAGTTTTAAGCAGTAGTCAACAGTGATTAATGCAGTACAAAGAGCTGTGGGAGTTGAGGGTAGAAGTAGGTTTCTTTGGCTGGGTTGAGAAGGTGGTAGAGAAGAGAGCAGAAAGGAAGTGAGAAGTAGGACAACTTAATGGAGGAAGTAGTAGGTATGGAAGGACACATGGAATTGGAAGGGTGGAGAAGTGAGAAAAGGGTGAGAGAATAGAATAAATCTCAATGAGTCAAGTCATGTGGTTAGTGGGGCACAGAGTTTATAAATACTATTGGGGGAAATAAAGTCTGGAAAAACACAGAGGCCAAGCTGAATAAGATGGCTTTCTATATCAGGATCAGTTAATGAATGGGTGATTTACACCAGAGAACATGTGACCCATCAAAAAGCGTGGAGAGGTGAGGGCAGGGAAAGGTGAAAAACTCAGAACCTAGGACAGAAAAGCATAATTAAGTGAATAAATGAGGGGAAAGAAAGAAAAGCAAGGGGTAAGAAGACAAATATGGCCTTCCAAGTTAGTGAGTAGTGGCTCCTGCACTATTTATTTTCCTTCCTTGACATTTAAATACATGGTTATCAGCCCCTTTTCCCCTTTGAAATGCACCTCCAGGCTTAGCTCTCCAATCCTTATGTGTCCTCCATCTGTCTATGCCTTTTCTTAACAACCACTTCTCTTAAACTACCTAATCCACCCCCAGCAAAAATAGTCACTATGACTCATCCCCAAGGGCATTGGCAAAAGAAAACCATGACAAGAGGACATGCTGGATAAGTGTGGGGTCAAATGATCTTTGTACACACCTGAAGGAGCAGAAAGGGGGAGTTAAAGGGAGAGTCTAAAGAGGGGTGAGTAGAACAAAAGGGCCTGTGGATCCCAAAAAGTGGTAACATCAACCTAAGAACTCAGGCCCTCCTTGTGTTCTTTATCCATTCATTCATTCATTCATTCAACCACTCTTGTGTTCATTTCTCTCCCTCCCTCCATCCCCTGCTTATCTGTTGCCACACACCCAACAGCCCACAAAGGCAAAGCAAATTCCTATATATCTCTCAAGCCTCAGGTTACACATCACTTTATCAGGTCCTCATGATTAACCTTCTCCCTACATAGCATCCCGGATTTTTTCTTTCAAAACTGCATCACAGTGTAATTTCTCATTTGTTGACTTCTCTGCTATGTTGTAAGCTCTATCATGGAAAGGGTGCCATCTCACTGCTGTGTCCCTAGCACTGAGCACACAGTCTCAACTCAATACATAACTATGGATGAATAAGACATCTCCCAGACAAATAAGTGGCATCACTAGAATTCTCTAAGACCAAAAATTGGTGTGGCCAAGATTGCTAACTACTCACTAAAATCCATGCCGTCTCTTTGGGGGCACACAGATACACTAATTCCTTACTCTCCCTCGTAGCTAGGTATGGCCATGGCTAAATTCTGGTCCATGGAATATAAGTGGAAGTGATGTATGCTAATTCCAAGCTGACCCATAAAAATCCTTCCATGGTGGCCGGGCGCAGTAGCTCACGCCTGTAATCTCAGCACTTTGGGAGGCCGAGGCAGGCAGATCACCTGAGGTGAGGAGTTCAAGACCAGCCTGGCCAACATGGTGAAACCCTGTCTCTACTAAAATATAAAAATTAGCTGGGCATGATGGCGGGTGCCTGTAATCCCAGCTACTTGGGAGGCTGAGACAGGAGAATCGCTTGACCCGGGAGATGGTGGTTGCAGTGAGCCGAGATCACGCCACTGCACTCCAGCCTGGGCAGCTGAGCGAGACTCCATCTCAAAAAAAAAAAAAAAAAAAAAAATCCTTCCATGCTTTTCCTCCATGCTCTTTTTCCCTTTGGGGTGGCAGGACTGCACACAACCCCTGTGGTGATCTTAGAGGCCACATGTTGCTACCTGGGATCCTGTTTGGAAAAGGACCACCCCTCTAATATGTTCATAAAGAGACCTAAACTTCATACATCATACATCCATCATACATTTAGGGGTCTATGTGTAACAGTAGTTAACCTATCTAATTCAGTGATAAGTTACAACTGAAGTTAGGCTCCCCTAACCTTTACCAGCTAGCAACTGTTTTGTCACTTTCCCAAAAAGAAATGAAGGCCATTCAGGGGCCAGTACAAACTTTTTTGGTATGTATGACAGAACAAAAGTTCCATTTGCTCATGATCATTAGGAAAATATAGTAACCATGGCTTGGGCTTCCCTGGGCTTGGGCCACAGCCACAAAACAGGCTGGGTGGATTCCCGTGATGTCAGAACACTGGAAAGGGAGCTTGCTGGCCTGGCCTTGGCTCAGAAGCACAGGTCGCAACCCGCAGGCCCTGGACAAATGCCCAACTGCCTTCTGGAGTAGCCTGTCCCTGGCCTCATCTGTGCTTACCTTGCAAAAATGTCACAAACCATTGTCCTGTTGTGCTTAGTGCCAGCTGGGGAGAAGCTGCCAAAAGCTTTTGCAAAAGCCACACCAACCTGCACTGCCATGGAACAATGGCTACACCAAATGACTCGCCTTCTGAATAAAGCATTCAGCCGACCAGACAGACGTAATCCACCTCCCTGTGGCAAAGCTCCTCTTACACTGAAGATGTAGTTGACAACTTCTGTTTCTACTTAACACTAGAGACTTTAAAGAGAACTCCTCTCCCTGGTGGACTTCAGTATTTCACAATTGAATTACATTAAGAGAATTAGTAGCATGTACTGTACATAATTGCTTGTTCAACTCAAATCTAGGAAACTACTAAAAGGGTAAATCATTGACTAAATCATTTTACCTTTCTTTATTGAAGGTTTGTTTTTTTGTGTCAGGACCTTCCAGATACAGTGATTCTTAATCTTTTGGGAGTCAGATACCTTTTTAAGAACTTGATGAAATAGTTTGATTCATTTCACACAAAATATGTATATAGTGCACATATCTACTGCCTGTGACTTCAGAGGGCACACAGGATGCCTAGTTCACCCACTGATCCCAGACCCAGAGTCATGAACCTTTTAGGGCAAGGGTCAGCAAACTTTCCCTAAAAAAACAGATAGTAAATATCTTTGGCTTTGTGAGCCACTTATAGTCTGTTTCACAACTACCCAATTCTGCTGTTGCAGTGCAAAAGTAGCCACAGATAATACATAAATGAATGAGTATGGCCGTGTTCCAACAAAACTGTATTTATGAACACCAAATTTGAATTTCAGGTCATTTTCATGTGTCACAAAATATTATTCTTCTCTTGATTTTTTTCTCAACACTTGAAAAATAAAAACCATTTTTAGCAGGAGGCCTGCAGAAAAAAATGTATGATGTACCATAGGTTGCCAACCACTGCTGCAGGGCATGGGTTCCAGGGGTTCATCACCTTGGAAAAAAAATTGCACCTCTATTATCACTGACTTCTGATTGGAATTTAGCATTTCCTTCCACTATGAATGTAGGCCATAAACCACAGTAGCAACATCAGTAACTGTAATGCTGTCACCAGCAGAAATCACAGGTATGTTCATATAACATTAGAGTTGTTGCACACAACTCAAAATACTGATTATGCTCATCACTATATTTAAATTATGCTCACTCTTAGATCTTCTGCTGTATCTGGTTATTTAACCAGATTTTTTTTTTGAGGTAGGGTCTTACTCTGTCAACCAGGCTAGAGTGCAGTGGCGTGATCAAAGTTCACTGCAGCCTCGAACTCCTGGGCTCAGGCAATCCTCCCACCTGTGCCTC